>NC_000001.11:59553835-59856865 GCF_000001405.40 Homo sapiens | reverse complement strand
CACTGGATAAACATGAGGCCCTGAGCAAACAGGAAGGCAAAGGCAGAATTTCAAACTGCCTAAGCACTGAAGGTGTTTTATAACACACATACTGTCACAGCCTTTACCAAAGACTCAAGGCACCTATGGTAATCTCTGACCAATCATGAACTAACCACTGTGGTAACTGAGCAGAGACTTCAGTGGCTACACAACATAAAGAATGTGGGCTTTACAGAATTAGTCCCAAAAAGTCACTTAAAAAAACAAACAGCAACAACAATAAACCCTAAGAATGGAAAAAGTCTGATTTCCAGATTTGAAATTTTATATTATTTTAAATGTCAGATTTTCAACAAAAATACAAAATACACAAACAGAATAGCCTATACACAGGGTGAAAAAAAAAAAAGAAGTCAACAGAAACAGCCAGTGAGAGTGCCAGTGGGTAGACAGACTAGACTAAGACAGAGAGAGCTATTCTAAGTATGTTCAAAGAACTAAAGCAAACCATTTGTAAAGAATTAAAAGAAATTATAGCAATGTCTCACCAAAGAGAGTATAAGAGAATTTATTAAAAAGAAATAACTAGAAATTTTGAGTTGAAAAGAACAATAAATGATATGAAAAATTCACTATAGGGGCTGGTTGTGGTAGCTCATGCCTGGAATCCCAGTACTTTAAGAGCTAAGGTGAAAGGATTGTTTGAGGCAAGGAGTTCAAGACCAACCTGGCCAACATAGTGAGTCCCCATGTCTAAAAAAAAAAAAAAAGCAAAGCAAAACAAACAAACAAACAATTCACTATGGGAGGCTGAGGTGGGCAGATTCCCAGGAGCTTGACCAGCCTGGGCAACATGGCAAACCCTGTCTCTACAAAAAAAAAAAAAAAAAAAAAAAAAATATATATATATATATATAATAATTTATATATATATATATATAAATTAGCTGGGTATGGTGGAGTGTGCTTATAGTCCCAACTACTAGGGAGACTGAGGCAAGAAGACTGCTTGATGCCCAAGGGGTTGAGGCTTCAATGAGCCATGACTGCGCCACTGCACTCCAGCCTGGATGACAGAGCAAGACCATGTCTCAAAAAAAATAAAATAAAATAACTAGATGGGCTCAGTGCAGACTTCAGCAGAGGAGTATCAGAGAGCTGTAGGACTCCCATCAAGTATGCCAATATAACAGGAAACCCAGAAGAAGAGAAAAATTGCTAAAAACTTGCCAAATTTTATGAAAAGTTATAAAATTTCCTTATTCTTTAAAAGTAGCACATGCATGCAAATGTTTACTGCAGAACTATTCATAAGAGCAAAATCATGGAATCAGTCTAAATGCCCATTAATGACAGATTGGATAAAGAAAATGTGGTACATATACACCATGGAATACTATGCAGCCATAAAAAAGAGCAAGATCATGTCTTTTGCAGGAACATGGATGGAGGTGGAGGCTATTATCCTTAGCAAACTAACACAGGAACAGAAAACCAAATACCACGTGTTCTCACAAGTGGAAGCTAAATGATGAGAACTCATGAACACAAAGAAGGGAGCAATAGACACTGGGGTTTACTTGAGAGCAGAGGGTTGGTGGAGAGAGAGGAGCAGAAAAGATAACTACTGGGTACTGGGCTTAATACCTGGTTGAGGAAACAATCTTTACGATGAATCCCCATGGCATGAGTTGACCTATATAACAAAACTTCATATGTATCCCTGAACCTAAAATAAAGTGTTGTTTTTTTGTTTTTGTTTAAAAGAAAAATAAAAGGTTTGCTTTAGTTCTTTGAACATACTTAGAATAGCTCTCTCTGTGTTAGTCTAGTATATCCACCCATTAGGACACCTCACTGGCTGTTTCTGTTGACTGCTTGTTGTCGTCCATTAGGACACCTCACTGGCTGTTTCTGTTGACTGCTTGTTGTCGTTGTTTTACCATGTATAGGCTACCCTGTTTCTTTGTATATCTTGCATTTTTGTTGAAAACCTGACATTTAAATAATATAATATTTCAAATCTGGAAATCAAATTTTTTCCAACCTTGGATCATCAATCTACAGTTCTAAGAAATTCAACAAATTCAAAGTACAATAAACTAAAAAGGATCCACACACCTGGATATATCAAAGTCAAACTGCTGAAAGCCAAGGGCAAAGCGAAAATCTTGAAAGCAGCAAGAGAAAAAGGATTCATCACTTAAAAGGAGCCTTAATAAGATTAACAGCAGATTTCTCATCAAATAATGGAGGCCATAACACAGTAGGATGACATAAAATGCTAAAAGAAAAAGACTGTCAAACAAGAATTTTATATCTAGCAATACATCTTTTGAATATGAAAGATGAACTGAAATTTTTCCAAGAGTAAAAAAAAAACAACAGAGAATGTATCATTAGCAGACTTTCTCTATAGAAAAATACTAAAAGGAGTCCTTCAGGTTGAAATAAAAGGACACTACTGAGAAATTTGAATTTAGCCAAAGAAACACCACCAACAGAGGTAACTATATACACAAATATATTTTAATGGCTGGGCGCGGTGGCTTATGCCTGTAATCCCAGCACTTTGGGAGGTCGAGGCAGGTGGGTCACAAGGTCAGGAGTTTGAGACCAGCCTGACCAACATGGTGAAACCCCGTCTCTATTAAAAGTACAAAAATTAGTCAGGCATGGTGGCATGCGCCTGTAATCCCAGCTACTCAGGAGGCTCACGCAGGAGAGTCGCTTGAACCCAGGAGGCAGAGGTTGTAGTAAGCCAAAATCGTGTCACTGCACTCCAGCCTGGGCAACAGAGGGAGACTCCGTCTCAAAAAAAAAAAAAAAAAAAAAAAAAAAAAAATATATATATATATATATATATATATATATATATATATTTAAGATTAATGTATTTTTAACTCTTTTAGTCTACAATTTGATTTAAAAGACAATAGTATAAAGCATTAATTATAAAACAGTATTAATGAGTTTATAATCTATAAAGATGTAACAGCATAAAGCAGAGGGGAGGAAAAGTTTTTATTTTGGAGTAGTTTTCAGTATACTATTGAAATTAGGTTTACCATTTACTCTAAATGGATTGTTTCAAGGTAAGATGCTAATTGTAATCCCCCATAACAACCATCAGAAAATAGCTTTTAAAAACTTGTAAAAGAAACTAAGGAACTAAACTGGTGTATTGAAAATGTCTAACACAAAAGGCAGTAGTAGAAAAATGGAGGAGAAAAAAAGACATACAGAAAACAAAATAAAATGGTAGACCTAAATGCTATTTTTATCGGTAATTACATTAAATGTAAATGGATTCCAAACTCCAATTGAAAAGCAAATACTGGCAGAATCGATTAAAAATGATCCAAGTAAATGCTAGGTGAAAGAAATAGATCTTAGTATAAAAGACACAAATATAGTTTGAAAATAAAAGGGTGAAAAAAATGATGCAAACAGTAACCAAAAGAAAGATACAGGGCTATACTAACATTAAACAAAACAGACTTTAAGATAAATATTGTAACCAGAAAAAAGACAGACATTAGAAAAATCAATCTATCAGGAAGATATAACAATTACAAACATAAATGAACCTCACAGATCTAAAATACATGAGGTAAAAACTGACGGAATTAAAGGGAAAAAGAGATGATATAACAACAATTGGAAATATCAGTATCCTACTTTCAATAATAGAACTATACACAACGATTCAAGGTAGAATACTTGAACAATATTATAAACCAACTAGACCTAACTGACATATATAGAATACTTTACCCAACAGTAGAATACACATTTTTTAAAAATCCACATGGAACACTCTGCAGAACAGACCATATGCTAGGCCATAATACAGGGCTCAATAAATTTAAAAGGACTGAATGCACACAAAGTATGTCCTCTGACCACAATGGAATTAAATAAATCAATGACACAAGGAGATTTAGGATATTCACAAATATATGAAAACTGAGCAAGATACTCATAAGTAACCAATGTGTCAAAGAAGAAATCATAAGGGAAAATAATTCAAAAGAATTAAACGAAAATGCAATATGCCAAAACACAGGATGTAGCAAAATAAATCCTGAGGTAAATTTACAGCTGTATCTATATTAAAAAAAATCAAGAAAAATTCCAAATCAATAACTTAACTTTCTATCTTAACTAGGAAAAAAAAACTTATATACAAAGGAATTTGTGTTCCTTTACCAATGAATTATTAAAGATTAGAGTAAAAATAAATAAAATAGAGAATAGAAAACAAATTTTAAAACCACAAGTTAGTTATTTGAAAAGATCAACAAAATTGACAAATCTTTAGCTAAACTAACCAAGAAAAAAAAAAAACAGAGAAATTCAAATTACAAAAATCACAAATAAAGGAGAGGATATCACTACTTAGCAAAATTCTCTTGTTTCTCACAGAAATAAAGAAGAAATAACAATAAACAACTGTATGCCCATAAATTAGATAAATTAAATTGACAAATCTCTAGAAAGAAACAAACTAGTAACACTAGCTCAAGAAGTCATAGAATAGCTGAATAGACCTAGAGCAACTAAAAAGATTGAATTAGTAATTTATTAACTTCCTACAAATAAAGCTCAGGCCCAGAAAACTGAACTCCACAAAACATTTAAAGAAGAATTAATACCAATTTTCATGAACTTTCCCAAAACGTAAAAAAGCAGGGAAAATTTCTCAACTCACTCTATGTGGCCAGTGATACCAAAACCAGGTATGACCTCACAAGAACATTACAAACCAATATCCCTTATAATACCGATGGAAAAATCTTCAATGAAATATTTGCAAACTGAATCTGGCAATATACTTTTTAAAGTATATATTATGAACAAGTAGAATTTATCTCAATAATGCAAGATCGGTTTAACATGAAAAAAATCAATGTAATACATCATATTAATATAATAAAGTACAAATACTATATATCATCTCACTGATCCAGAAAAAGCATCTGACAAAATCCGATACTCTTTTAGGATAACAGCATGCAACAAACTACGAATAGAAGGAAAATTCTTCAACCTTGTAGAGGGCATCCAAAAACAAAAACGAAAACAAAGAACTCACAGCTAGTATCATACATAATGGTGAAAAATTCAATGCTTTTCCCCTAAGATCAGAACCTAAAGAATGATATCTGTTCATGCCACTTTTATTTAACATTGTACTGACAATTCTAGCCAGTACAACTTAGCAAGAAAAATAAAAATTATCAGAATTGCAAATAAAGAAGTAAAATCAATTCTATTTGCAGAGGTCATAATCTTACATATAGATAATCCTGAGAAACTTACCAAAAAACTATAACTAGTAAACAAATTCAAAAAGGCTGGAAGATTCATGATCAATGCACAAAACTCCATCAAATTTCTACATATTAGCAGTTAACAAATCCAAAAATGATATTGATAATTTTATTTAAAATAACAACAAAAAGAATGAAACACTTAGGAATACATGTTTAAAAGGTGCTAGTCTTGCACACTGAAAACTACAAAACATTGTTGAAAGACACTTAAGATCTAAATAAATGAAATGATAGCCCACATTCATGGATCAGAAAATTAATACTGTTAAGTGGCAACATTTCTAAATTAATCTATAGATCAAGAAGTTCTTATAAAAATCTCAGCTGCCTTTTTTTTGCAAGAATTGACAAGCTGATTTCAAGATTCACATGAAAATGCTAGGGAATCAGAATAACAAAAACAGCCTTGAAGAAGAATAAAGTTTGAAAACTCACCCTTTCCAATTTCAAAACTTAACTACAAAACTACAGTAATCAATAATCAATATATGAGTGTGGTACTAGCATAAGATTAGACATACAACCCAGTAGTAAACCATTAAAAGACCACAAATAAACCCTTGCATTTATGGTCAAACGAATTTTTAAACCTTTTTAATTATTAATGGAGGTTATTTTCTGAGCAGTTTTAGGTTTTTAGAAAAATTGAGCAGAAAATACAGAGTTCTTTTACATTCCTCTTACCCTCTTCTCACTCTCAGTCTCCCCTATTATTACTATCTTGCATTTGTGTGGTAATTTGTTAGAATTGATGAGCCAATGCTGATACACTGTTATTAACTAAAGTCCATCATTTATATTGCAGTTTACTCTTTTTGTTATACACCCTATGGATTTTCACGAATGTATAATGACATGTATACACCATTAAAGTATCATGGCCAAGTGATTTTTAACAAGAATACCAAATAATTCGATGTAGTAAGAATAGTTTTATCAACTGGTGGTACTAGTACAACTGGATATCAACATACAAAAGAATAAAGCCAGATGCCTACCTCACACCATATACCAAATGGATCACAGACTAAATATATGAGCTAAAACCATAAAACTGTTTAAATGAAAAACACAGGGTAAATCTTTGTACCTTAGGTTACACAGTGGTTTTTTTAGAAACATCACCAAAAAAAGACAAGCAACAAAAGGAAAAACAAGTAACTCTGATCTCATCAAAATGTAATACTTGGTGCTGCAAACTATATCATCAAGAAAGTGAGATGATAACACACAGAATAGAAAAAAAAAACTGCAAATCATATACCTGACAAGGAACTTGTATCTAGAATATATAAAAAACTATTCCAACTCAATAATTAAAAAGCATATAACCTAAGTAAAACATTGGCAAAGGATTTGAAGAGACATTTTTCCAAGGAAGATATACAAATGGCTAATAAGTACATAAAAGATGCTCAACAACATTAGTCAGTAGAGAAATGCTAATCAAAAACACAATGACATGCCAATTTATATCCACTAGGATAGCTAAAATCAAAAAGATAATAGGTGATGATAAGGATGTGAAGTTAAACTTGGTTACCATATGACCCATCAATACCATTTCTGCATATATGCTCAAGAAAAATGAAAACATATCTAAATAAAAATTTGTACATAAACATTCATAGCATTATTCATAACAGCCAAAAAGTAGAAACAACCCAAATGTTCATAAACTGGTGAATGGATAAACAAAATGCCGTATGTCCATACAATGGGGCATTATTCGGCAATAAAAAGGATACAGCACTGATATATGCTACAACACGGATGAACCTTGCAAGAGTCAGTCACAAAAATCACCAAGTGTATGATTACATATTGCAGAAAGACTAGGAAAATCTGTAGATAGCAAGTAGATTAACAGTTATTAAGAGTAGGGCTGAGAGGATTAGAGTGCAGGGTAAACGGTGATGGGCATGAGGTTTCTTTTTAGAGTGATGGCAGTGTTCTAAAGTATGATTATGATGATGGTAGTATAACTCTGTGAATATATTAAAAACCAATGACTTGTGAAAACCACCTTAGGTGAAATTTACGGTAAGTAAATTAAATCTTAATAAAGCCATCGCAAAATTATTATCTATGGTCCTTGATCCCATGCAACTGACAGTCTAGAATTAGAAAATATTCATTGAGACTTATGACCTTGGCTCTACCATTTCATCTAACATTGTGAAGAAAACTAAAAAAATTGAAAGAAGATGTAAGTCATTTTTACAAGACACTTTTATGTCAAAAAATTCAATCTGGAGGAAGAGAGAACTGGTAGACATCACCACGATTATAGAAACAGCAAGGGCATTACAAAACTAAAAGAACAATGAAATATTCCTTATCAATTATATCTATGTTTACCTCTTTTTCCTTAAGTAAAGCTTCATGTTTTTCTTCAAGCCGCTTCATTTCAAACGCTAGTGTGTCTGCCCTCTTGGATTCGGAGGAAAGTTTAACATGAAGATCTTGAACCTAATGTCAGAAACAAAAGGAAAAAAGGTCCTTAAAAGTATATAAGTGTATAAATCTCAATAGTCTTTCAGAATTGAGTAAATGAAAAACTGATTATGAATAAATATCTACACTAAAATTGCAGTCTAATTTTAAATACTTGTGGAAAATAACATATAGATAAGAATTAACATAAAACTAAAAATATTCAAATAATAGTTTTGCCAAAGAAATTAAAAGTCAGCCTACTAATGCTATTTAGTAAACAGAAAAACAGAATTTAGGTTACGGCTCCATTCTCTAAGGCATTAACCCTGCTTACCAGAAATGCTAATAAACAATAAAATCTCAAAAGAAAAAATAATTTCAGGAGGCAGTAAAAAGGTAAAAGACCCAGATAACTCAAACTCAATTATCAATCCTTGAATTAAAATTAAAGAAAGAAATTCATCAGAATAAGTTCATAGCTTATTACATGCAACGCTTCTCAATTTCTTTACCATTCTTAAGACATCAAAAGGAATAACAAAGTTAAACTCTTACAATTTTATCAATTAAAAATTAAGATGTTTCTTACCTGCCTTTTGTATGTTTCTAATTGTGTACGTGCTGCATTTGCTTTTTTTAATTCTTCTTCTAAGCTGACTGTATTATGCATATACATCATGTTGGTTTCCTGTAAAGTTTTCACCTGCTTGCGAAGGTCATTCAGATCTTGTAGCTTCTGACGATATATCTCAACTGTTGACTCCAGTTTATTTGCTTTATCAGAGGTAGCCCTATAATCATAAAGACTAAGCATTACTGTACAAAAACTAGTATATACTCATAATTTTACTCTGGCTATAAAATGAATCTTCCAAACTATCACAAAAAAGAAAAAAGAAAAGTAAATGTGAGTGAGTGAGAAGAGGAAATTGTAAACTTTGTAAGAACTTTGGAAACAGACTCTAGCCTAAATCCATTTAAAGTTCAACCTATTTGGTATAAAGCCATCAAAATAAAAATGCTTCAAATCTGACACACTAATTTATCAAACTGTTTCATATATTAGCACAATGAATAAAAAATAATGATTTGTACATAAAATTAAACAAATCAGCTGCTCTGCAGCTTACAGGCCAACCTTCCTTTGTGTACAACATTCAGCATAGTTTCCTTCCAAGTATTTGACTCAACTGTATTTAGGACGTTGATTAAATTTATAAACTTGTCAGGCAAAGCACTTCCCTTTGGAGTTGTGCTTACCTGACTTAAATATATAAATAAACGAACAAACAAATAAACCAAATCACTTCACTATCGCAAGCAGGTCCAAATTAATGGTTACACAAATTTTGTTTCAAATGAGTATTAAGAACTACAAAAAATAATTAAGAAAAATTAACAAAAAAAATAAAGATCACGTGGACAGACTGTTCACTGAGTAACATTTCACATGAAAAAAGTAAATATAAACTTTATATTGCCAAATGACAATCCTCCCCCAAAAAAAGTTAGGATTCTTGCCTATATTTGATCTATAGTTTATCAAATGTCAAAATATGGATTGACATTTCCTTACACAAAAATTTCCTTACACAAAAATTTCACAAAATATGACAGGTACAGGGAGGTCAAGTTAAATGTATCTATAAGTACTCCATTTATAAAATTTTAATTAAAGGTCTCATTTTGGGTTTATGGGTTCTAATGTGAAAATGTCCTAATAAAAATTGAGTATTATCCATGAACTGCAAGCCCAAACAACAAACATAAAAGAAGTTAAAACTATCAGCCTGGATTAAAAACTGATCAATACTTGATATACAGGAATAATCCTATGAATCCCTGATTAAAATATGAAATACTCAAATTGACTAAATAGCTCAGAAATGGCATAATTATATTTTTTAAGACATGCCATACCTAAGAACATCTATTTCATCTTTCAGGGCTCTTGTTTCTTCTGCAAGACTAGTCAATTCATCATTCCTATGCTGGAATTCGATTAGCTGCTTTTCAAGTTCTTCACAGTGAACACGGTAATCATCTTTTGCAGCTTCAAGCCTTGAACAAATAAAAAAGTAAGTATTTATAACTTCCATGATTTGTTATAATTATATAATTGTAACTTGCATGACTATATATGCAAATGCATATATAACACTCAACACAATAAAATATATGATGAATAAAATATGTATCAATAAATGCCAAAAGACTGAAATATCATGGACCATGTTCTCTAATAATAAAGGTTAATTAAATTAGAAATCAGTCGCAATAAGAAGTCTAGAAAAGCTTTAAATCTTTGTAAATTAAACAACACATTCCTAAATAACCCACAAGTCAAGAAAAAAAATCACAACAGAATTTAGAAAAAGTTTCAAACTAAACAATAACAAAAAGACAAGCAATCAAATTTGGGGGACAACAGTAAACCAGTGCCTCTCAGTTTTAAAGGTCTATGTTAGAAAGAAAGAAAGAATGAGAGAGAGAGAGGGAGGGAGGGAGGGAGGAGGGAGGAAGGAAGGAAGGAAGGAAGGAAGGAAGGAAGGAAGGAAGGAAGGAAGGAAGGAAGGAAAAGGAAGGAAGGAAGAAAGGGAGGGAGGGGAAGGAAGGATTAAAATCAATGATCTAAGTTTCAACTTTAAGAGGCTAGAAAAAGGAGAGAAATTTAAATCCAAAGTTAAGTATAAAGAAAGAAATCTAAAACTAATAATATAGAAGGCCAATAAAGGATGTTTGAAAAGATTAAGAAAACTGATGAACCTCTAGCAAGAGTGATCAAGAAAAATGAAAGAAAACCCAAGCAATATCAGGAATGTAAAAGGGTATATCATCACATCTGCCAGAATCATTATAACGATAAAAAAAGAATATTATGAACAACTTCATGTCGATAAATTAAACAACTTAAATAACCATAGACACTGAGTTTTAAGGATAAGAAGAGAATATTATGAAGAACTTCATGTCAATAAGTTCAACAACTTAAATAAACATATACACTGAAAAATACAACTTACCAAACTGAACACAAGATGAAATAGGAAATCTGAAAAGCCCTATGACCATTAAAGAAATTAAATTTGTCAGGAAAAACACACTCACAAAGAAAACCATAGGTCCAAATTGTGTTACTGATAAACTGTATCAAAATTTAAGAAAGAAATAACATTTTTACATAAACTCTTTCAGAAAACAGAAGAACAGAGAATATGCCTCAGTTATTCTATGAGACTAGTAGAACTCTGATAAATCCTGAACAAGACATTACAAGAGACAAAATTTAGACCAATATCTATTATAAAGACAGTTATAAAAATTCTTTCAAATTATTAACTGAATCTAGTCACATATACAGGATAATAAAGTATGAACAAAGTGGTTTATCTCCAGAATGTAGGTTTTTAACATTCAAAAATCAATCAATATATTACAAGAATGAAAAAGAAAAGCTACACCATCTTTTCAAGATGCAGAAAAATCATCTGACAAAAATCAACAGCTAATCATGATTGAAAAAAAAAACAAAAACAAAAAACTTTTAGCAGGGTGGAAACAAGGGGAATTTCCTCAATCTGACAGAAAGCACATCGAACAACTCTACAGCTAGCATCATACTTGACGGATCCTAATTGCACATGATCCCTCTAAGACCAGGAAAAAAGCAATGACAGCTGCTCTTGCAACAAGGCAAGGAAAATAAATACAAGACAGAAATAATGAAAGGAAGATGTAAAGTTCTATTAATAGATGAAATGACTGTAGATTCCATAGTCTGTGTTCCTCTAAAATTCATGTTGAAACCTAATCCCCATTGTGGTGGTATTAAGAGGTGGGGCCGTTTGGGAAGTGATTAAGTTATGAGGGCTCTGTCCCCTTGAATGGGATTAGTGCTCTTATGAAAGAGGTTAAAGGGACCTAAGGATTCAGCAAGAGGAAGCCATCTTGGAGGCAGAGAGCTATCCCTCAAACAGACACTGAATCTGCTGGTACCTTGATTTTGGAGTTCCCAGTCTTCAGAATTGTGAGTGGTAGATTTGTTCATAAATTACCCTGTCTAAGGTATTTTGTTAAAGCAGCAGGAATGGACTAAGGATTTCTTTTTTAAATCTAAACAAACTACCAGCTCAATAAGTGAATTTAGAAACTTTGCAAGATATAAAAGTTTCAATATATTTAAGATACAAGTTTCAAGGTGTAAGATCAAAGTTTCAATATATAATTGTACATCTATCTACAGATTAGCAGCAAATTTTCACAATAATTCTGAATTTGCATTTACAATAGCATCAAAAACAAAATACTTGGGTAAAAAATTAACAAAAGACATACAAGACTTCTATGCTAGAAACAATACAGCACTGCCGAGTGAAATTAAATATTTAAATAAATGAGACTACATTCATAGATAGGAATTCTCTATATAGTTAAGATATCAATTATACAATCCAAATCATAATCCTGAAAAGGTTTTTAGTAGAAACTGATCAGCTGATTCTCAATTTTATGGGAAAATGCTAAAGACTTAGAATAGCCAAAACAAATTTTGAAAAAGAAAGAACAAAATTGGAATACTTACACTACCAGATCTCAAGAGTCATACTCTAAAACCATAGTAATTAATATAGTGTCATACAGGCACAAATTTACTAACAGAAATGAAATGAGAGTCCAGAAAAAGATCCCAATTTTAATGGTTATATCATTTTTCACAATAATGTGAAAATAACGTGGCTTATAAGAGAATGTCCTCATTCTTAGGAAATATGCACTGAAATATACAGGGGTAAAGAGACATGTGTCCAACTTTCTCTCAAATGGTTCAGATAAAAATATGAAAATTATATGACTATATACAGAGATTGCTAAAGCAAATGGAGAAAACTGTAAAATAATTGTTGAATCTGAGTAAAAGGTGTAAAGAAGTTCCTTGTAGTATTCTTGCAACTTTTTTAGGGAGTTTGAAGTTATATCAAAATTAAGTAACAAAAAAATATGTATAGTACAATTAGAGTGCCTGTCCTCAAGGTCTTATAGTTCATGGCTGAGTGGTATGCACACAAAAGATAATCAATGTTTATTAAAGGTAAGGATACATGACTTTGTTAAAGAAATATACAAGTTAAAATGAAAAGCACCTACTTGGCTTACGATTTACATTTTTTTCCATTTATTACAGGGTTACCTATCTTATTTGAGAAACTCCTTGTTCTCCCCAGGTTTCAGCAATCACTGCCTTGAACTCCTATTGGCTGTCCTATGGCCTTGATTTGGTCCTTAACACATATTTAAATGGTTTTGTTTTTATGTGTATCTCCCACTTCCTAACTGGATGTTAGCCCTGTGATAACAGGAACCACTTATACCATCTGGTATTTTCAGGAGCTTAATCAGTATCCTAAAGATGCTTAACAATGCTTAGTAATTAGCTGTTAATACTGTGACTTTTTGCTACTGGTATAATAGACAGAACTCCATAAAATGATTTCCATTAAAAATGCTACCTGAAGTTTTCTTCCTGTAATTGTTCTAGTTGTAATTGTGCATGAAAATACTTTTTTGCAACCACTGTGTTTGGATCATCAAAAGAGCCATCCAACTGGTCAAGTTTTTCATTCATCATCTCATTTTCAGAAACCAGTGAATTCTTTTCATCTTGAAGTGTAGTCACCTAAGAAACAAATACACATACATAAGCACCAGTAGAAAAAAAACAAAAAAATAAAAATTCTTATTAGAGTCTAGAGTTCTGGATTCTAG
This sequence comes from Homo sapiens, assembly GCF_000001405.40. Lineage (NCBI taxonomy): Eukaryota > Metazoa > Chordata > Mammalia > Primates > Hominidae > Homo > Homo sapiens. The sequence continues at coordinate 59,843,342 of NC_000001.11, read as the reverse complement.
ATCTGACTAAGCCATTAAATAGCTTGGTCTGTCATACTAGATGAGTTCTAAGGATCCTTCTGAATGCAGAATTCAGAGTCTAGGAGATGTAAGTCAAAGAAAAGAAATCAAATCAATACACATATGGAGAAAATAGAGTAACTATATCTTTAAAATGCTATGCCTGCCTTTGTTTGGGGAAGAAAATGTTTTCAAGTCTCTAAAATTTGATGCACAAATGAAACTTCAAAAAATTAATTTGTCTCCTCTTTTAGGTATAAACTAATTTTTAGAATGATGTCACCTGCTAAGCCAAAATATACACACATATGTTCAAAGTTATCATGATAGGTTGAGAGTATAAAATTATCAGTCACATATCACATATTCAAGAAATAAGCACATTTGGTTAATGATTCAATAACAAAAAGCTAAGCTGTTTCCATTTGTACATTTAAACTATTTGCTTATGATTTAAAACGAATAAAAACATGTTAGTGTAGAACCACATCATTATCAGTACCTGGAGCAATTTTTTTTATTCATATTTTTAAAACATGCATGATTTTCTCTCCTGGTTCTACTTCTTTTCCATTTAAAAACATCTTTAAAAATGTATAGCTAAGGCTGTGTCTTTTGATAAGGCCAGAACTTTTACATATGATTAAGAATTAGTTTGAAAAACCATTGATTAACCTATTCTGATTTCCAGTGTATTACTGAATAAGTTTGCTATCCATATCTTCAAAACATGTAATTCAATCCAGTTATGTAAATATGACTACACATTGACACAAAGAACTAATAGGAAATTAACATCAAGTGATTGCCCTGAACACAGTATATAGGCAAGTTACTGTCTTCTAAATGAGAACTACAAAGTCTGGGAAACTGTCCCTGGGCAGACAATATAATGAAATAACTTTCTATTCCCAAATTCAATGCATGCATCCATGCCTATTATGTAAGCTGTTTAGTGACTACTATTACCTGTCATGCATAATAATTCTAAGTGATTCAGATACAAAAAAGAATAAAGAGTTTCTGCCCCCAAGACCCTTACAGTAGAAATGTAAACAATTATGTAAAAGATGTTGAAGGTGCTTTGATAGAAGTACACTATAGGGTAAGGGTAGGGCACAAAGAAAAGAATATCTCATTCTAGCTTGAGTGTAGGGGCTGTCAAAAAATGACTGACAGAGGAAAAACAACACCCTCAGGCATCAAAACTGGGTAGGACTCCTCTAAAAACGAATAGGACCAAGGGCAAATTTTAGTTTTGAACACCTGGTGAATAACCAATCTTGCTCCTATCCATATGCTTCAATGTGGCTCCAGAGCCATCTCTGGCACAGACATGAGTAAGAAGGGTGCGAGACAGGCACATTCCTTGTTCCCACCCCAGAACCGTGACTTGGAACACTGGGTGGTGGTTCCAGGCATCTCCTTCAACAAGCTCTCATGGTGATAAGTTCAATCTGCACCTGTCTCTGTCTCCCTCTGTTTGGGATTTCTGCACTTTTCACCTAAAACCAGATCATATATCCTTTATTATTTGTTACAAACACATAAATCTTTAAATGCAGAATTTTGTGTTCTTTATTGAATAAGAATTTCTCAGAAGACTGTACCTAGATCCTACAAGAGAATGGTAATACCTGAATGGCTCAATCTTCTGTTTTTCCTACAAGGTATTTTACAGGGTGAATATGATCCCATTTAAAATGAACACATTTCAGGTACTTTGCATGTGTCTGAAGGTATATGTTACAATATGTAGTTAGGAAAGGTGCGAAGGAGAACAGATTAAATTTCCCTTACTTGAGACACTTACTTCATTCAAATACAGAGGACTGGTTTTTACAGATGAAGTTAGAAGACCTGAATTCTAGTGCTCCCACTGCCCTAAGTGACTAGTCACCCTAACCAAGTCTTTTCCTTTTCTTTATTTCCAAATGCTTAAGGGTTAGAAGCATTATCTAGCCCTGTCATTTTAGATATTTACTTCCTCTAGCAAGGATAATGCTACCACACCTTTGCTCCTTGCCCTTACACTTTTCAGAGAATCAACTACAAATTTAGCTCATTATTCAAACAAAAAAATGCCATTTACATACAGCATATTATGAAGGTACACTTAACCTTCTGTACACCTTTTTCTAGACTAATTGCATAATATGCACATTTGTATTTTAATGTAACAGTAACATCATATGCAAACAATAAACACAGCACTTCTGTGCCAGGCTCTAAGTGCTATATATATGAACTCATTTAACCCTCACGACCACTCTGGGAGATATATGCTATCATCACTCCATTTCTCAAAAGAGAAAACTGAAGTACAGGATAATTAAGTAATGTGCCTGGAGCATATAACCAGCTAGTAATATGCCAGGTTCTGAATGTAGGTAGCCTGGTTTGACAATCTAACCTCTTAACCATTAACTATTGTTGCTCATGCCAAGTTCATTTTAACATACATGTGCATATGAATACAAGATTATATACACACGTTTATATATACATACATGTTAGCAAAAATTTGCCATAAGAGACTACATACATAAATATGAACATGTACTTGAATTTACTGGGGGGGAAGTGTCAGGTACCACTTAATACTTCCATAAATTACCTCTACTTAATATTCACATACACAATATGAAGTAGAAACTTTAACTTTCCCATTTTACAAAAATGAAAACTGAGTTCTTATCTAAATAATTGAAATTTTAAAATTAGTAGAGTGATTTTCTCAAAGAAAGTTAAGCCAGCAAATTTCAACTATCAGAGAAAAATATTTATGAAATTAATACTTGAATATTCAAGCCTATAAGAAATCCTTTTAATGTTACCTCCATGAAGTCAAACCTAATCTACAAAACATAGTGCTAACTAATTAATTACAATAAAAATCTTCTGTAAACTTAAAGAGGAAGTTTTTCTCAGCTCAGGGTTTTTTCCCGTACCTGCATATCCAATTCTTCACATCTTTGCCTCAGCTCTTCTTTTTCTGCTAGTGCTTCCTGAAGTTCTTCCAAGGCTCTTTTAAGCTGAAATACAAAATGTCCTAAATCTTAGTAAATCGTGTTTTGACACAAATATAGAAAAATAGAAAAATATACTCTTCTCACAACACACATATACACTGATATGGGAAATTATTTTTTGAATTTACCTAATAAGAAATGACTCTTACAACAAAAAAAAGAGAATTTTAGGCCAATATCCCTGATGAACATCGATGTGAAAATCCTCAATAAAATACTGGCAAACCGAATCCAGCAGCACTCAAAAAGCTTATCCACCACGATCAAGTTGGTTTCATCCCTGGGATGCAAGGCTGGTTCAACATACACAAATCAATAAATGTAATCCATCACATAAACAGAACCAATGACAAAAACCACATGATTATCTCAATAGATGCAGCAAAGTCCTTCAACAAAATTCAACAGCCTTTCATGCTAAAAACTCTCAAAAAACTAGGTATCAATGGAACGTATCTAAACATAATAAGAGCTATTTATGACAAAACCACAGCCAATATCATACTGAATGGGCAAAAACTGGAAGCATTCCCTTTGAAAACTGGCACAAGACAAGGATGCCCTCTCTCACCGCTCCTATTCAACATAGTATTGGAAGTTCTGGCCAGGGCAATCAGGCAAGAGAAAGCAATAAAGCCTATTCAAATAGGAAGAGAGGAAGCCAAATTGTCTCTGTTTGCAGATGACATGATTGTATATTTAGAAAACCCCATTGTACCAGCCCAAAATCTCCTTAAGCTGATAAACAACTTCAGCAAAGTCTCAGGATACAAAATCAATGTGCAAAAATCACAAGCATTCCTATACACCAATAACAGACAGCCAAATCATGGGTGAACTCCCATTCACAATTGCTACTAAGAGAATAAAATACTAAGAATACAACTTACAAGGGATGTGAAGGACCTCTTCAAGGGGAACTACAAACCACTGCTCAATGAAATAAAAGAGGACACAAACAAATGGAGGAACATTCCATGCTCATGGGTAGGAAGAATCAATATTGTGAAAATGGCCATACTGCCCAAGGTAATTTATAGATTCAAAGCTATCCCCATCAAGCTACCACTGACTTTCTTCACAGAATTGGAAACAACTACTTTAATCTTCATATGGAACCAAAAAAGAGCCCGCATAGCCAAGGCAATTGTGTGCAAGAAGAACAAAGCTGGAGGCATCACATTACCTGACTTCAAACTTTACTACAAGGCTACAGTAACAAAAACAGCATGGTACTGGTACCAAAACAGATATATAGACCAATGGAACAGAACAGGGCCCTCAGAAATAACACCACACATCTACCACCATCTGATCTTTGATAAACCTGACACACACAAGTAATGGGGAAAAGATTCCCTATTTAATAAATGGTGTTGGGAAAACTGGCTAGCCATATGCAGAAAACTGAAACTGGACCCCTTCCTCACATCTTATACAAAAATCAACTCAAGATGGATCAAAGACTTAAATGTAAGACATAGGACCATAAAAATCCTAGAAGAAAACCTGGGCAATGCCATTCAGGACAGAAGCATGGGCAAAGACTTCATGTCTAAAACCCAAAAGCAATGGCAACAAAAGCCAAAATTGACAAATGGGATCTAATTAAACTAAAGAGCTTCTGCACAGCAAAAGAAACTATCATCAGAGTGAACAGGCAACCTACAGAATGGGAAAAAAATTTTGCAATCTATCCATCTGACAAAGGGCTAATATCCAGAATCTACAAAGAACTTAAACAAATTTACAAGAAAAAAGCAAAAAACCCCATCAAAAAATGGGCAAAGTGTCTCAAAAGAAGACACTTCTCAAAAGAAGACATTTATGCAGCGAACGGACATATGAAAAAATGCTCATCATCACAGGTCATTAGAGAAACGCAAATCAAAACCACAATGAGATACTATCTCACACCAGTTAGAATGGCGAACATTAAAAAGTCAGGAAACAACAGATACTGGAGAGGCTGTGGAAAAATAGGAACGCTTTTACACTGTTGTTGGGAGCATAAATTAGTTCAACCATTGTGGAAGACAGTGTGGCGATTCCTCAAGGATCTAGAACTAGAAATACCATTTGACCCAGCAATCCCATTACTGGGCATATACCCAAAGGATTATAAATCATTCTACTACAAAGACAAATGCACACGTATTTTTATTACAGCACTATTCACAATAGCAAAGACTTGGAACCAACCCAAATGTCCATCAAAGATGGACTGGATTAAGAAAATGTGGCACATATACACCATGGAATACTATGCAGCCATAAAAAAGGATGAGTTCATGTCCTTTGCAGGGACATGGATGAAGCTGGAAACAATCATTCTCAGCAAACTATCTCAAGATCAGAAAACCAACCACCACATGTTCTCACTCATAAGTGGGAGTTGAACAATAAGAATACATGGACACAAGGAGGGGAGCATCACACACCAGGGCCTGTGGGGGGTGGGGGGCTAGGAAAGGGATAACATTAGGAGAAATACCTAATGTAGGTAACAGGTTGACGGGTGCAGCAAACCATCATGCCATGTGTATACCTATGTAACAAAACTTCATGTTCTGCACATGTAACCCAGAACTTAAAGTATAATAATAATAAAAAAAATTGTTGTCTTTGTTTTACATGACCTCATTAACATTGAAGGCTACAGTCCCACAGAACTACATTTTATGTAAATCCCTGCAAAATATTTTTACAAGTATTAGAGAAGGCATTGTTTAGTTTTATTACAGAAAAATGTTTAGGAAAAAACACAGCATGTTTACATTTAAATAAATTATTTCTTTAAACATTTTCTTTTGAAATACTTCTTGAGATGACTGGCGACACTCATAAAAGAAGAAGTGTTTAAAAATATAACAGAAAAAGTACTTAATGCATTTGCCTCTCCTTTTACCCTTTACTCTATAACCCAGATTGGGTTATAAATGGGAGAAGAGTGTCTTTTCCCCCTGTAAAACAGTCCTGAAGGAAAGGAGCCTTGAGTACAGGGCCTTTGAGCTATTTCTTCAATATCAAGTGAGAGGATAGCAACAGTGAAAAAAATTACATTATTAAATAAATTAAAACTTAGCAGAGTTTGTTTTTAATTGTCCTCTATTTCACTGTGTTACCATACAGCATGGTCCAAATATACAAGTGTCAGAAGGAATGTTCAATGCCACTCAACTCTTTCAACATGATCACAAAAATCTCTGGAGACCAACACCACTGCCATTCAATTGGGATCATGCAGAAGAATAAACCAAATTTCACAGAAGAAAATATTATTGTATATGCTCTCTTTGTAAGCCTTATGAGAGTAATTGGCAAAGAAACCCTAACATTGCTTTCAACATTTTTCTTCCATACTAAAATACTCACCTGTTGCTCCAATTCTCCAACAGCATCATTTGGAGGAGAGCTCAATATTTCTTTACTCATCAACTAGGAAATTAAAATAATAAAATTAAGTATAACAATGTGATGTTTATGAAGTAAAATATATTTTCTTGAAAGGATAGTAAAATGATTTATATTTAGCTTTTCCTTGCCTTAATTTGAGGATCCTTAGAACGCTATTCAGATAAAAACTTTATTAGAGCCTTAACTTAATAACACAAATTCAAGCATATTAGTGAGGACACTATAAGTAAATTGTGCTTTAAATACATAGATATATTCAAAATACTTGTGTACTGACAAATTTCAATACAAGTCCTAAAAGACATATTACTGATAAAGAGTGAACACATTAAATAATTTTTAAAGGGATTCATATACATTATAAGTTAATACTTTTTTAATGCAGCCTTTTTGAGAAGTCATTTTAAAAGTAGGAGTTACGATTATATGAAAAAAAGATCCTGTAAAATAACTCTGAGATGAAAGGCAGATTTACTTATGTACAGGGATACTCTGAATCCAAACCAACAATGCAAACTCAGGGAGTACAGACTACAAAAGTCCTGTATGACGTCTCCCTCTAAGTCATGCCCCTTCCAAAGTCTGCTTTTCCTGAAGTCTCCTCTGCAATCCATCTCAGCCTTTTAGGCTGATATTAAGAATCAACTCTGCACCACATTAATTCTGAATCCTTCCTGGCTCAACTTAGATAACTAGACTAGCTTTAATCCAACTTACCTGGTAAAACTAAACCTAAGTACCACCATATTTGCTCACAGATCTAACATTTTGAAAATGCATATGGTATATATAAATGAAAAATTCAGGAAAGATTGTTATAACTGGAAGAAAAAAAAGAAAAAAGAAAAACTCCTGTCTGGTCAGAGACTGTTCTGGTCAGAGACTGTTTATCCTGCGTTTCCTGCTTAGTTGAAGTTATTTAAAGGAAGGGTCCCCAACCCCCAGGCCATGGACTGGCACCAGTCCATGGCCTGTTAAAACTGGGCTGCACAGAAGCAGGTGAGTGGCAGGCAAGAGAGCATTATCACCTGGACTCCACCTGCTGATAGATCAGCGGCAGCATTAGATTCTCATAGGAGCAAAAACCCCACTGTGAACGCTTCTTACGTGAATCTAATGCCTGATTATCTGAGGTGGAACAGTTTCATCCCAAAACCTTCCCCCTGCCCGCCACCCCGGGTCTGTGGAAAAATTGTCTTCCACAAAACTGGTCCCTGGTGCCAAAAAGGTTGAGGACCACTGATTTAAAGAGACTTGATAATATTAATTTATTAACCAGCTTTTAAAATGCAGAGGTACTAAAATTGGGCTTAAAGGCCTTTTAAAATATTTTTGGGGGTAAAAAAGGAAGACCCACTAGCTAAGGGGAAGTAAACTTACAACAAAGAGCAAGTTTTTAAAAAAGAAAAGCATAAAGTATGAAAAGTTTTGTATAATTTGGTTTAGGATTTTTATACTCATAGGAACATGATATAACTTACCTCTTGAATAGCAGTCATGACCACATGTTGAACAGACTCTTCCAGTGTCATTATATTTTGAATATGTTCTATGATTTAAAAAAATCAAATCTGAAAAAAATCTACTCTTTACACATAGTACCTTAGCCATCAAATTAATAGACTATAAAAATTCATCTACCCACAGATAATCCTTTATGTAAATACATTATTTGTCCACCAGTATGTCTTCCTTCCTCACCAAGATAAACTGAGTATTGTTAAGCAAATGAATTCATTCTTTCAAGATTGAGATTGTTGCAGTCAGTACCTTGAAATCATTTTAAAAATCAATTCATACAGCAAAATACAAAAGTGTGAAAGCTTTTAAAAAGTTATGTATCTAGGAATTGAATTCCTTTTAAAACTGGACAAAATTGCTCAATAGTGCTTAGAAGTAAATTATGAAAATATTACATATAATATTAAAATTTTTAGGATGCAACAAAATAATCACTTTAAGGCAAAATTACCACTTAAAATGTCAATTATAGCTTAGAAAAGGAACAGCTGATTAATTCACAAGAAAAACGTATGAGATAAAAGAGGACAACAAAACTAAATAGTAAAAACAAAATAGAATCAAAGCCAAAAGTTGGCTCTTTAAAAAAGACTAACGAAACTTACAAACCTGGTTAAGATTAATTAAGCAAAAATAAGTTACAAATAACCAGCAATGAAAATATTAACAAAGCATTAATCAATGAAAAAATAAAAATAATCACGATTACAACAAAAAATTACTAGATTTATAAATAAATTACTACTTGTCAATTTGTGATTAAATATTTAGAGAAGTTTTAACCTTCCATGAGCAAATGTCCCTGCTTTTATGAAAAACCCAATATACAGATCTTTAACTTTATTTATAAGTGAGAAATAAAAGCCTACAGAGAAGTACTGGCTTGTCCTAGAAAAAAACTTCTAGTAAATAGTAGAGATGGACTAATATAAAAATTCTCTGACACCTAGTCACTGTCCTTTTATAATTGATAAACTACAATTAATTTCATGTATTTTGTTTTATTTTTCTCCTTTCAGAGTTTGTAGGTAAATTTATCCCAGCTTATATCCTTTCTTCATTAGTCAGACAATGTTGAATGTTTTCCAAGGCCCTGGCTTGAAGTATTTGCATTTTGCAAACTTAAGCACTCAACATTATTCTTTCATAAAGGTGGTGTACTAAGAACAAGTTTGGATGAATCATGCAAAAAAACATCAGCGTCAAAAGTCTCACCACCGAAACGGATTAAAGCCCTCAAGGGAAGGAGGTCTGGGCCTGTTCAGTTCATCATTCATCATTACATGCAACCAAATATGATCCTTTTGTACTCAGCAAAATATGGATCACTGTGTTTGGATATACCAATATAATGCATCAATTCCATTTATATCATTAGACCACTTATCTGGAGGATATATTGGACAGATATGCTTCTGAATGGAGCAGAATATTATCTGAAGAAACTTGAATTATAAATTAGTAGCTGAATATTTATTTATGAAAACTGAATCCACATAAGGTTCTTACATGTAAAATAGACATAATGTATCAAATGAATAAGTACAATTTTTATTGACTATCCACTAAGTCTTATGTACTGGGTATATTAAACTAATTAAACTAAAATACATCTAATTTAGCCACTGAATATGAATATCAGAATCCAGGTACAAATAGGACACTCAAGGTATGCCACTTTTCAACGACAGAGTTGGGCTAGAATTCAGATCTTCTGGTTTACGTTTCAGGGTGCTTTCTGCCAAGCTTTAATAGTATGATTTAATGCTAGCTTATATAGCAATGTAGAAAGTTTCTAGAAAGTAGAAATCCTCAAATGATTGAAATTCACTTACCTTGCTTCTTTTCACAGTTGATCGCACAACCTAAAATAAGCTGGAGCAACCTCCCAAGCTCCACTGGATCTGAACATTCGGTTATTTGGTTTAAATCAGGGATAAGTGCTTCTGAAATCTGCTGCCCCAAAAACTACAATATTAAAATAAATTAGATCACTCATTTATGTCGGCTGCAAAGAATTTGCTACATTTAATATTACAATGAAAATAAATTATAAATTCACGAAACAACTCAGATAAAATAACAAATGACAAATAAATAATTATTAAAACCAGTTAGCAATGTTCAGGCAACATTCCAAAATTCTGAGTAACCAACCAAAAGCACTATATTTCCTTTTGGTTTCACATCAAATATCCTTTGATTTCACTGTCAGAGAGAAGAATTTAACTTAAGAAGCACTTGGCCTAGTCTACTATGATAAAACTTATGCCTGTCCATTAAATAATAAGCATATGTTAAGCCAAAGAATATTCATAATATTTTCATATATAATCAATTAACAGAGAAACACAATGTAAATCACTGTACTTTTACAAATGAGCAACAAATCTAATGGATTAATTTTTTTTCCTGGTCTTATCTTTCTTTTTCTTATTTTTTAGCTGATTAAAAGGGTTCTTGGCATTAAAACAGCTTCAGAATTAGTTTTAGGTATTTAATAAATTGAAAAATTTTAGAGAATATTAAACATTTTGGGAAGAAATTACAAGTTTAATTGTGTGACGACTTTAAAGAATAGAAACAAAAATTCTTTAATGGAAAAGTCATTCAAAAGCTGCCAATCATTCAGCAATAAACTCTCTTATATCAAAAACCCTACTAGAGAACTTGTTATGATGCTGAATAAGAAAAAACAAAACTATTTGACTAATGTACTATCTAAAGTGACTTTATAATACTACTTTTATTTTGCATTTTTTCCAATTTACTTGTATGAGCATAATCTCATTTATGTCTTTGCTACTGTTTACGCTGGGAAGAAATGTCAAAATATTGCTTTAAATAGAAAATTATTTCAATTAATTATAAAGTCTACTTTATAGTATTGCACAAAATCAAATATATTAAAGATGAAGGTAATTCTACTTGAAAATCAATTCGGAGAGTATCAATACCTAAGCAATGTTATCTTACAAATCAATATATCCAAGCTTATTTTCACAAATGAGCATTCTATAAAAATGACAATAAAACATGTTCTAATTATGACTTACATTCCAGTAAAATATTATAAACAAAAAACCAAGTGATTTTTCAGTCTTAAAGTAATTTTCGTATAGCATGATGCATTTAAACAAAGTCAGATGGTTTTCATACCTCATGATAATAACTCATAATTCCTTGAAGGACCTTCTTTACATTACTGGCCTAATGTGAAAAAAATAAGAGATTCTTATTTCAGATTAATAATGAAAGAAAAGTTATGTCAGCATGAAAGACAATAAAAACTTTCCCCTAATTAAAAAGAACAACAAAAACATTATAATAGAGTTCTATAAATACAAACACATGATGCTTTTTAACCATCAGAGATTTAATCAGTGTTTAGTTAAGTAGGGTGATTCTATTTAAAGTGGGTCACAATGAACTCAAGGGCCCACTGTAAAAATTTATACACAGGCATGTCCAGCTGCAGTCATGAGCAAGTTAACTGGGTTTTGATTTTCTCTCCTGTCACTAATAACTAGAAAATAAGACAAAATACATTAAACAATTGTTTGCAAGCTTTAGACAAGTAAGTAGTACAGAACTCTGCTTTCTGAAAGAATGAAAACAAACAGAAAATGGGCCCTACACTAGTACAAGCTTTCTGTCTTGAGGCAATTTTCAGACTACAGCATAGGGAGGTGGAAACCAAACACCAAGCCTGATGTTCTCACCGATTGAAGAGATAAGACATTAGAAGTTCAGGAAGGCCTGGGCAGTTTGAATTTGCAAGGCAGACGATGAAAAGATGGGAGCTATGGAATGAGCAAGCTCTGGAGATTTGTGTAAAATGGTTCCTTTGACTCTTTGGCTAAATACCAGTTTGCATGTGGATGGGTGAAACTGAATGTTCTTTCCAAAGAAATAACAATCCAGGGAACTATAAACTGAACCATTCCCAAAGATTATACAGGCCAAAAAATTTTTGAAATTCTCACTAGCCAGAATGAAGACACCATGCTACACGCACAAAACATTCACTAAAGACCCCCAAAAAGGTCACAGCTTAGTAATGAGTCTACTTTAGTCCTAAAGGAAAGAATAACTTTAGTTCTGCCCCCCACAATAGCCAAAAATAGGCCTTTAAAGGATCAAACTGATTCCAAGTACCTTAACTGCTTGCAAGAAGAAAATTCAACACTCCTCAAAAGAATATACTTAATTGGGAGGCTGAGGCAGTTGGATCACCTGAGGTCAGGAGTTCAAGACCAGCCTGGCCAACATGGCGAAACCCCGCCTCTACTCAAAATACAAAAATTAGCCAGGCATGGTGGTGGGCACCTGTAATCCCAGCTACTCGGGAGGCTGAGGCAGAAGAATCGCTTGAACCTCGGGGGCAGAGGTTGCAGTGAGCTGAGATTGCACCACTTCACTCCAGGCTGGGCGTAAGAGCGAAATTCTGTCTCAGGAAAAAAAAAAAAAAACTTAAAAAAAAAAATCAGCATTCAATAATAAAATTCATAATGTTTAGCATCCAATTAAAAAATTACTACAGATGTGAAGAAGCAGGAAAGTGGGAACCAAAATTAGGAGAAAACTCAGTCAATACACATGGGTTCAGAAATGAAAGATAAAAGAATTGAGACAATGTTAAAACTTCTAGTTTAAAGATGTTCAAGGATTTGAACAAAAACATGAATGTAAGAAATAGAAGGTTTTTTACAATAAAGAATCAAATACAGATTGTCAAACTGGATAAAAATGTAAGACCCAACTATTAGGTGTCTACATGAAACACTTTCAATAAAAAGACATAGGCAGATTAAAAGAATGGAAAAAGAAATACTAATGAAAAATATAATCATAAAAAATCTGTAGTGGCTACATTAATATTAGAGCTAATTTGATTTCAAATAAAAGAATATTACCAGGGATAAAGAAAAGCATTTCATAATAAGTGAATTCATTCAAGAACACACAAGAAATATAGTGTGTAATAAACTTAATAACAGAAATTCAAAATACATGAAGTAAAAAGCAAAAAAATGCAAAGGAGAAATCAACAAAATCGAAATCATCATTAGAGATTTAAGGGCTCTCTACAGAGTCTATACTACACTATACACATAGTATAATAAGAAAAAATATCAATAAAGATATGGAAAATACCACTATCAACAAATTTAACAAAATCTATATTTATATAACAACTGTAGAATGCATGCTGTTTTCATATGCACATGGAACATTCACCAAGACAGACCATAGGTTCGGTCATAAAATAAGACTCAATAAATGTAAAATAACTTCTCAATACAGAGTATTGTCTCAGATCTATTAGAAACCAATAAATAAAAGAAAGGCAACTGGAAAATCCTCAAATATTTTGAATTTGAATTACCTACTTCTAATTTACTCATAGGTCAAAGGAGAAAACTTTATAAGGGAAATTACCAAATATTTTGAACTGAATGAAAATAAAGTAACAGTCTGTCAAAATATGTGGGATGTGGCTAAGATGGTGGTTAATATTAGGGGAAAAAAGGGTTTAGAGTTGATTATTTAAGCTTCCACCTTAAGAAGCAAGAAAAAGAAGAACAGGTTAAGTGAGAGAAAGGAAATAATAAAAATCAGAAAAATCAATGGAATAGAAAACATACACTAATTCTTTAAAAAATAAATAAGTAAAATTGAAAAACATCTAGCCAGACTTATCAAGGAAAATAAATTCAAAAGACACAAATAACCAATAGCAGGAAAAGAAAAGGAAACATCATTAAAGATCAGTTATTAGCACATTATTAGCACAGTAATTCAGTTAAGGACTGTGTATCAACAAATCATACATCCTGTATGAAACAAATGTCCTACAAGACACAACAAAACTGACTTAAAAATAGAAAATCAGTTTGGCAGTTTCTTATAAGGTTAAGCACATACTTATACAACTTAGCAATTCCACCCAGAAATTCACCCAAGAGAAATTAAATATGCATCTATCCAAAGATTCATATATGAATGTTTGTAGCTGTTGTATTCACAATAGTCAAAAATGTTAAAAATTCAAACATCCATCAACAAGTGAATAGCTAAACAAACCACAAAATATCAGTCTAATGAAATACTGCTTAGCAAAAAAAGAAATAACTACTAATGCAGGCAACATGAATGAGACTGAAAAATTACACTGAGTGAATGAAGTTAGACAAAAAGAGTACATATTATATGATTCAATTTATACAGAGTTCCAGAAATGAACTCCATAGTAACATAAAACAGATCTATAGCTACCTAGGGCAAGGCTGGGGGTAGGGATTAATAGAGAATGGGCCTGAAGTGCATATTTTTGGTTAATAGGAATATTTTCTATTTAATTATGATGGTAGTTACATGAGAGAATACATGTGTTAAAACTCAAACTATACACAACAAAAAGTACTATAAGTTAATTTGAAAAACAGATTTGGTTAACTTAGTGCTAACTTTAGGACCACTGTTTGGATCAAGTGCTTCTCCCATTTGTTCTGCATACCTTTATTCTCCAGTTGTCCCCAACATCCTCTTTAATTCGGCTTAACCAAGATTCGTTAAACCAAGCTGCATCACTGAAACAACAACAAAAAAAATACTAAAGATGAAAATGTTTTTATTACACAAAAAATTAAATAGAGCCAACAGAGAAAGTTACTTTATGTCTTAAAGCCTATCCTTAATAACAATACTGAATATTACTTATATAGCAATAATTTATCATATTAAGTTATTTAAGTTATTTGCACCTTCAATTTAATAAACATTTACTAAATATTTAATACTAGGTGCCCTGCTACCAGGAAGATGCAAAAGTCACAACCGTGAAGAGGTAAAAAACCAACATTTTAATGAGTTTCTACTCTGTATCAAGCACTTGATATTGTTCCAAGTTATTTCATTTAAATATGATGGTAACTTGGCAAATACTCCATTATTATTTCCAGTCTTACTATTTAGGGAATTGAGGATGAGAGAGTCTAAGTAATTTGCCCTGAGTGATACTATTAATAGCACATGGCAAGGCCCAAAATTAATCTATTCAACTGAGTAGAATTAAGCAGAATGAGTTTAAATGAGAAGTCTACAAAGACAAGTTTAGTTTTAATGAAAAGCAAAGTCCCATATTGATACTGATGGCCAAGACAAAGAATTGCTATACTAAATTTTTGTGTATTTAATAAGGTTTTGAAGAACAACATTTGACTATATATAGTGAACTACATTAATAGACTTTATTCTAAACAAATATCTAGATGCTTTCTCTGAGTAAGGAATTGAGCAAGATTAATATGAAGATAATTTACCCTTTTGACTCTTAGAGAAGTAGTTATTAAAGGAGAAAAGTAAAAAGCACAAATAACTATACTCGAAGGAGAATGTGATAAATGTTCTAAGGGTAAAACAACTTCAAAATCACAGAATGTTTATGCTGGAAGAGGTCTTAAAGGTCTCATCTAAATTCTTACTTTACAGGTATGCCAACTAAAATAGGGGAAAAAGTAAAGAGCTTCTTTTCCAAGGTTGTAAATTGAATTTAAGAACGCAAAACTGAAACCTTTCTGCTCATATGTTCTAAAACCAGAAGATAACTCTTCTGGCTATGATAACCAAAAGAAAAAAAAAAATGGCTTCACTACTTTCAATTCATTTATTTGGAATTTGTAATCATTTTATTTTTTATTCATAATCAACATATAATAATTGTACATAACCATTTTCTTTTGAGCAGATTAATATTAGTTGTGCTCAACTATTCCCAGATGCCAAGTCTGCAATTACCGAAACAATTTATCTAAATGTGTAAATGCTACACTGCTAACCAGGTATTTACTTGAAATGACTGAATGAATCGAGTTAATGAGTCAAAACTGTCCAATTCACTTCCTTTTTATATCAGATTAAGTAATAAAAACTCCTAACCAGAGGAGTCACGCCAGTTGTGATGTTTAATGTTATGTGTCAACTTGGCTAGGCCACAGTAACCAGATATTTGGTAAAAACCCATCTGGATGTTGCTGGGAAGATATTTTCTAGATGATACTAACATTTAAATCAGTAGACTTTGAATAAAGCAAACTACCCTCCATAATGTGGGTGGGTCTCATCCAATCAGTTGAAGGCCTTAAGAAAAAGGCTGAACTCCCCCAAAGAAAGAGCAAATTGTGCCAGCAGATGGCTTTCCAACTCTAGCTGCCCTTTGAGTCTCTAGCCTGCTGGCTTACCCTGCAGAATTTAAACTTTTCATCCTCCACAATCACATGAGCCAATTCCTTAAAAAAAAAATCTTGGGCCAGGCGCATGGCTCATGCCTGTAATCCCAGCGCTTTGGGGGGCCGAGGCAGCCAGATCACCTGAGGTCAGGAGTTTGAGACCAGGCTGACCAACACGGAGAAGCCCGTTCTCTACTGAAAATACAAAAAAATTAGCCAGGCATGGTGGCACATGCCTGTAATCCCAGCTACTCGGGAGGCTGAGGCAGGAGCATCGCTTGAACTCAGGAGACAGAAGTTGCAGTGAGCCAAGATTGTGCCTTTGCACTCCAGCCTGGGCAACAAGAGCGAAACTCCGTCTCAAAAAAAGAAAAAGAATCTGCATGTGTGTGCACATGTGTGTATATTGAGACAAAGATTACACACACACTCACCCTCTACTGGTTCTGTTTCTCTGGACAACCCTGACTACCACCCCAGTCTTCTAACTGACCCTAAAAAAATCCAAGTATGTGATTCTATGCTATAATTACCTTTAGAAATTGGATCTAGATGTAATGTATTTTTCTCTAGTTTTTCCAAGATAATTCCTTTTGTCTTACATTCCTCCTCATCTTCCTTTCTATCTCAAATCAACTTTAGCCCAGAGAAATACTTTCTAACTTAGTAAAAATATATCTCCTGCTTTCTTATACACAAATTCACCCTTCTCAAACAACTATAATGGCAGTCAACCTTTTCCACTATTAAACTTGATCTCCAACCTCAGAAATCTCAGGGCATCTCTTTTTTTTTTTTTCCTTTTGCGCTGCAACCTCTACAACCTCTACATGCCTTAGAGTCTTGGCACCCAATAATTAGCTCCTTTTCTTATATTTCCCAGAACTTCAATAACACTCAAGGGATATCAAATAAGAAAGGGGACACAGGACTAATGAACCAAAATATGGTCCAATTATTTTCTAATAAAACTAAGTAAGAATTACTACATTTTAACTCCATCCGGTGTATTTATCTTCCACAGTTTTACCAACTGAATTCAGGTAGTAAGAAATACCTACTAGTTACTATAAACAATATAGTTGTGTCACTTCAATGTATACCCAGAGCCTATTCTTCTTGAAATATCCAGAAATCTTCTCTATTAACCCATTAAACTGTGGTCTATATTTTGGACAGTTGTATATAAAGTATAGATAGATGTTCATGTAAGTATGTCCATGGATAGATGTCCATAGATGGATGTCCATACTTACATGGACATCTATCTATACTGTACACATAACTATCTACACTTTATGTCCATGCTTATATGGACATCTATCTATACTTTATACACAACTGACTTTCATTTTATTAATACTGCAAAGTAAAAATCTATTGGGATGACTTCAGTACATTTCAATGATTACAGCTGGTTGGGAGCACTGAACTTGGAGTCAGACCAAACTGATGCAAATCCTAGCTTTGTTATTTACTCATCATTTAACTTCCAAAAGCAATTTCAACTACTTATACCTCTGTCCTCTTGTATAAATTGAAGGTAAAAATAACATCTACCTCACTAAACTAGTAAATTTTAAATGAAAGAAAGTCAAATAAGTTCTATAATGATGCTTTTATTTAGTATATATTCAGATGTTGGCTATCATGGTTTATCATGTTAAATGCTCAAATATCTGCTAAATGAATAAGCAAATAAATGCATGATTCTTAAGGTCTCTGAATATCCTACATTATCTGTCTCATTCTTCTCCCTCTTACAAAAAAAAAGTTTAGTCAAAGACAATAGGAACAGAGAGGTTAACTGGTGCTTAAAGTGAAGAAGCTAAGCCTTTCTTTTGAAGATATGGCACGCACTATTTACAGTTGTTCTGTACTATCAAAAAAGATATGTTTAAGTCCTATCCCCTGTGAGTGTGATTGAAATAAGGTCTTCATGTATGTAATAAAGGTAAGATCAGGTCATAATGAATTAGGATGGGCCCTAATCTGATATGTCTGGTGCCCTTATAAGAAAAGAGACACAGACAGAGGTAAGATGGCCATGTGAAGACAGAGTAGAGATACACTGCCACAAACCAAAGAATGCCTGGGACTACCAGAATTTGGAAGAGGCAAAGGAGAATCGTCTCCTAGAAGCTTTGGAGGGAGCATAGCCCAGAAAATAGCTTGATTTAGAACTTCTAGCCTCCAAAAGTGTGAGAGAATTGATTTTTGCTGTTTTAAGCCACCTGGTCTGTGGCACTTTGGTACAGTGGCCCTAGGAAACTAACACAGTTGTATAGTTTTTTCCCATGTGTTTTTAAAATAACTGAAGCTTCTACATGCATTTGAAAAAGAGAGTTATGTGCTACATATTCAAATTGAAGATAATAATTAAGAAACTGTAGAACCCTAGCAATAACTCCATGACTCTTTATGTCTAAGTTAAACAGTTTAGACACCACTTTATAAAGATATTACTATTTGGAAAAATATCTGCCTCAAGTAAATAGAAAAAAACTATTGGTTAAATTTTGCTGCTTCCTTAAAAAGCAGAATTTCTCTTCTAACCTTCAGTAACAATTTTGATGTGACACGATGTCAGCCACAATAGTCATCAATGCAATATGTTAAAAATTATAACATATTTGAGCTGGGCGCGGTGGCTCACGCCTGTAATCCCAGCACTTTGGGAGGCCAAGGTGGGCGGATCATGAGGTCAGGAGTTCAAGACCTGCCTGACCAACATGGTGAAACCCCATCTCTCCTAACAATACAAAAATTAGCCAGGCATGGTGGCATGCGCCTGTAATCCCAGCTACTGAGGAGGCTGAGGCAGGAGAATCACTTGAACCCGGTAGGCGGAGGTTGCAGTGGGCCGTGATTGTACCACTGCATTCCAGCCTAGGTGACAGAGCAAGACTCCATCTCAAAAAAAAAAAAAAATTGTAACATATTTAAAGTGCTTTGAAATGTTCAAAGACATATGGTAAAATTAACCTTTTAATCGGAATAGGACATACTGGTCCAACTAAGGAAAAATGTATGCTTTATGTCTCACTATCCAGGATCCAGACTTCTGAAAAGTTCCAAAACTGTAAAGGAGTTTAAAAAGAAAATAAATAAAAAGTAGCCCCTGGATGATAAGGAGGCTCAGACACCTAAGAACATATAAAATCAAGTGAATGAAGCAAAGAGAGAACGAGAGAGAAAGAGAGAGATATTTAGGGTTAATTTTAGGGCACTGGCCATTTGTTAATGGTGACAGAGAATTTCTGATTGACTATTTTATTGTTACTGCAGAAAAGCTCTTAGAAGACTGTTACAGACAAAAGAAAGAAGAAATAAAGAAAAAGCACAGAGAGGGAAGATCAGCATTAACAGCATAATCCAACAGACTGTGGAAAAATTAGCTAAAATTTACTGACTCTACTCCAAACATCAGGTCCAGTGCTAGAGCATAGGAGGTCAAAGAGCTATATGCATCACATCATGGTAAAAACAGGTTTCTTTTGATTGTATTCTGGCATAAAGCTACCAAAGCCCACCAAAACATATAGAAAGGACAGCTCTGAATGGGACTGTTGAAATGAGTGAATGCATACCAGCCTTACATTCATACCAACCACAATGTTGCTGCATCTACACCAATATTCACAACATAGCATGATGAGAAGAAGGCAAGGCATAAATTCTAGTGACAAAAAACAATGATGACTTTCTCAAATCATGAGAAAAGAACTATGTCCAGAATGTTTGGCTCTGATGAATTAAATCATTTCAAAATCAATTAAGATATAAATAAATAAAATTTTGTTTGTTTGTTTTTTGTTTTTTGAGACGGAGTCTTGCTCTGTCACCCAGGCTGGAGTGCAGTGGCAGGATCTCGGCTCACTGTGAGCTCCGCCTCCCAGGTTCACGCCATTCTCCTGCCTCAGCCTCCCGAGTAGCTGGGACTACAGGCGCCCGCCACCATGCCTGGCTAATTTTTTGTATTTTTAGTAGAGATGGGGTTTCACCATGTTAGCCAGGATGGTCTCGATCTGCTGACCTTGTGATTCGCCCTCCTCGGCCTCCCGAAGTGCTGGGATTACAGGCTTGAGCCACCGCACCCGGCCAATCAAACATTTAAGAAATATTTTTAAGACAGAATGGGAGTAAGGTATGTTTTACAATAACTGTCAACCTCCTCAAAAGTTAACATGTTAGTTAAGTTTGTCTTTTAAAGTATTAATCATAAATTAACCATTAAATCAGTCTATTCGCAAGAGATCATTTTGAAGATTCTAAACAAGTAGGATTTTTATATCATTTTAATTGTTTTTCTAAGACAGGCATAGGATTTTTGTTAACCCATCTAAAGGGTTTTCAATGTAAATCATGGCAAATCTTTACAAGATGATGGTGACAAATAATCTGACTATAAAACAGTGAAGACGAGATAGGATTCTGGTCTCAAAGTAAGCTAATATAAAGTTGTTATAATTATTAATTAATAAATTGTGAGTGCAGAATTGGCCTTGTTTGTCCTACTTAGGGTGCAGCTCATATTACAGACCGTAACCCTAACCCTTAAACAATGTTGGCAAATATTAGGGGAAAAATGGATTTAGAAACTTTTGATATTATATGATTACATAAAATGGGTCCAGCCTAAACACAACCACTTTATTAAAGTTTCCCAGTACCTGTGACTTCAAATTTCATTCATTCCTCATTTCATTATTGGTGAACTCATAAACTACTATTAATTCAGAAATACATTTTAAAATTTAATTCTTTAAAAATTTTTTCAAAATCCAATATTTTATGCTTCAATAATTTTTAAGATAATAATCTCCATGCACGGATACCTTAAAATGACAACAGTACAACCAAAGAAAACACCATAAGCAATTGTATCATTAACTTGTTTCTTTTATAGTTTTAAAATAGTGTGAACATGCTCATAACAAGTTTAAAATAAGTTAACTTGAATAAATAAGAATCCTGATCACATATCCAGTTAAGATGTATCTCTATGAACAAGCCAGGAATAATGAGGTGGTAAACTTTTTGTTCCCTACCTGCAAGAATGCCTTGGTGCCATATTCCTGAATATGTCACTGGGTAAGATAAAGTTGCAACAACCTTTGGAATTCAAGTCCAAGTTTTCTTCCTTGGTATGTATTGGGTTTACAATGCTTTTCAGGGAGAGTCTGACCACTACTCACATTTGATGAAGAACTTGTGCCATGGCAACTCCACTAGTCAGCTGTTTGACATCTTGACAAGGTGAGGCAGTATTGAATGTCTGCAGCTAAAATGACATAAATCAAATGATCTTACTGCTTCTTTATACCTACAAGGTAGCATTACAAAATGCAAACATAAATTGAAAACAGCTAAAAAAAACAAAAAAAAAAAACATGGTCCTGTTTTGTTTAAATGTAGACCCAGACAAACAAATGGAACTATGCTAATATGTCTCTATGGCTGTGTAACTTTATAAAAATAAACTAAACATTTCACAAAATCATGCCTAGGACATTAGAACATATTGATGCCATGCATAAGTAATACATAATTTGGAATAATACAAAACCAGGTATATAACTCTAGTCTTGTGTTTTGTCTATATTTAGCAGAACATCAGAAAAAGAACTTAAAGATAACCCAACATTTGCAACTTAAAATTTCACTCATATCATTTGATAGAAAAACAAAGGCTAGAAATGTCAAGTCTAAACCTACTTACAGTTTATCCATGAGCTCTGAAATAAGACAGGACTTCTGTTTCCTATCTAAAAATTGGCCTTACGTCTTGAAGAATCAAGCCCTATCTATCACGTCAAGTTGTTTCTATCTATTTTGGCTTTAGGTATACTAACTTTTCACATATATCTGTTAAATATTCATGTATATATTGAAGAGAAGCGGAATAATAACCTCTTTTTACAATAAGCAAATATGAGATAGAAAAAAATTTAGAAAGCAAATTACATCAGAGCTAAAATGGATCATAAACTTTCTAGAAAGGTAATCTCAACCTATAAACACCTTAAGTTAAATATACTATGATTCTCTTTTCCCACACATACTCACCCATTTCACTGTTCACTAATAATTTCTTAGTTTACCATTTAACTATCTTAATCCAATAAAATTCTCTCCCGCCATAATTCACTTTTAATGGTTCTGTGCATTTTCAGAGTTGGCAACTGGAGATTCAGACCTCCATTATCTAACACAACACAGATGAATGATACCAGCAAACTAAACCTAGCCAGTTATTTTCAAAACACACAGAGACACTTTACTAAGCTCCTACGCTATGTGAGACACTGTGGCACATGATGGGGCTACAAAGGAAAACCACCAGGTTTCTACCCTTAAAGCTTCAGTCAAAAGTTAAGGAGAGGAGGAAGAGACATAAATCATTTCTAGACAATATGGTAAGTCCCATGATTACAGTATGCACAAAATGTTCTGCAAAAAATGGGTGTCAACTAATCTAATTAGGGTTTGTATTTAGGAAAGGCTTCTCGGAGATGATTTCTGAATGGAAGGTCTAGAGGGAAGAGTAGCATATTTTCTAAGTAAAGAAATAGTCAAGGAAAAAAAGCTTCAGGAAATAGGAATATGATAAAAGTACAGATACATGAGAAGAGATATTATTTTTAGGGAACATGCAGTTCAGTATCACTGGATTTGCAGTGCAAAGAAGGCTGGGGAAGGGGTGACAACCAACAGGGTTAAAGAGACAGGACTCCAAAGGGCCATGACAAGAAGCTTGGACTTATTTTACACTTAATGGCATTATCTACATAATAAGAAACAGTAGAGTAGTTTCTACCTCACAAGATGGTTGGGGAATTAAGTGAAATAGCAAATATACCTATATCAGGGCCTGGCATGTGGCATAAGCTCAACAGCTGTTAGCACATTAGCTATGAGTCAGGGTTTCTCCAAGTATAGGGCCTAGAAACAATATGTATCAGAATCTCTAGACATATTAAATAAGAAAATCTCCAACTGATTCTTAAATATGTCAATTTTGGAGAACCACTGCTCTGGGTGATGAAAAATCACTGAAAAGTAATAAGGAAGAGTAACATTCTTTGGCATATTTTGGAGAGCAGATAGTGACACAGAGTAGCTTTATGCCTGAGTCAGGCAGACCAGTTAGAAGGTTCCTGCAATGGCTCTGATGACAAAAATAGAGTAGAGGGAATCAGCATAATATTGACTGAGAGGAGATGATGAATTAATGGAATATTTAAAATACAAAATAAGAAGGATTTTGCAACTGGGTGGATGTACAGGGAAGAGAAACTCCAAGAATTAGGGCATCTTTAAAAGGAAAATAAACTGTGACTTCCACTTTTCAGCCCTTCCAACTTAAACATTAACTTTTAATGTGTAACTTAGAAGTTACATCATTAACTTTTTACAAAATTGACACAATTCATGATTTTAAAAGGACAATTTCAGAGGCACAGAATACTAGGCAAAATAAGAGGTACACATGCTAAGGGACTACCTCCATGACCACTATGTTCAGATTAAAATCAATTTCCCCTCCTTCCTGCCATGGACATTGGAGTGTCTCTGAGAAGTTCTTAAAATAGCTGCAAAATAAATTAGAAAACAGAATGTAATTTGATTTCACTCAATTGAAAGGCTTACAACCAAGAAGAGTGAATTAATTAAAAAGCTTAGTGGGGAGGCTGGGTGCAGTGGCTCATGCCTGTAATTCCAGCACTTTGGGAGGCCGAGGCAGGTGGATCACTTGAGGTGAGGAGTTCGAGACCAGCCTGGCCAACATGGTGAAACCCTGTCTCTACTAAAAATACAAAAATTAGCCGGGTGTGGTGGCACATGCCTGTAATCCCAGCTACTAGGGAGGGTGAGACAGGAGAATCCCTTGAACCCGGGAGGTGGAGGTTGCAGTGAGCCGAGATCATGCCACTGCACTATAGCCTAGGCAACAGAGTGAGACTTCGCCTCAAAAAAAAAAAAAAAAAAAAAAAAAAAAATGCTTATTGGGGCGAGTGAGGTCAAAGCAGACAAAAGAAAATGTATTCTTTCTAACTAAAGTCTTTTTAGTGAGTGACCCAAAAAAGACAGACAGGGTTTCCACAGGTGTCTACCGCTAAACACAGTGTTCTGGCAAATAATTACCTTACTCTCTTCTATATTTCTAAATAAAACAAATAATCAGAAATGTGGAAATGCTGTTCCTAAACTACTTTAATATAAATGTCACAGAAATCAAGGAAAATGGGGTTTTCACAACCAACAGCCAACAAAAACTCAATCTTGGATCAACTTTATTTTCATATTCTCCTCCTCCAGCTGCTCATTACAAAAAAAACAACCATTGCTTTAAGTTTTAAGATCTTCATAAAAATAATTGAGGTTTTAATAATTTTCTAAATTTAGGCATATATTAATTATTACTCTTTCCTTCATCTGCCTGTCAAAGAATGCAAGAACCAAGAAAAACATTTAAATATATTTGGTCCAACCTTCTAATTTTATTGGTGAAAGTAAGGTCCAAAGATATTAAACAAATTTCCAATGTCACAGAACCAAGTAGCAGAATTAAATTTATCTTTATACAAACATTTCTTCAAACTCTCATACATGTCCTCCAACATGTAAATGATACCCACATTTACCCTTTTGCCCTGAATTTTCTGCTAAGTAGCAGTACAACATTTCTAAGAGCCAATTATTTTAAGACGGTGAGTTCCAAATCATAAAATGCAATTTTTAAAAAATTGCCACAAGAGGCATTCCTTCACATAACTAACTTTTCTTGATGACTTCTCTAATTCTGTTGATGTTGGCTCCATTCTCCTCCTAGCGCTGAAAGAAGAGTTATTCCCAACTGTCTTATCTCCATGATTTGGCCCCATCATAACTTTTTTTAATCTTCTATCTTTGAGCCAGGGTTATCATGACAAATGTGTGTGTTCCACTATCTCCCTTTAATCTATAGCCAAAGGAGACCATTTGTTTTACTACTAGTGTCTCTTCCCTGTGTCTGGAGAACTAATTTCCACTGATTTCTACTTGCTGAAATCCAACAATCCTCTATGACCCAGTTAAAAATTCACTCCCAAGTATTTATAAAAAACTAAGCTATATCACACTTAATGGTGAAACACTAGTCTCTGAGGTGAGAACCAAGGCAATGATATTTACTATCACCACTTTGATTTGGTGTCTTATTGGCAATAGTTGTCAGTGTTCTCCTAGGGACAGAGCAGAAAATAGGTCATGTAAGAGCTCTGATCCCAAAAGCCAACTGGATTACTTTAGAAAGTACTGTGTTATAGATAAGACAGAAAGAGGTTAACAGGTTACAGTGGGATAAGGGTGGGAGACAAACTTTAGAAATGGTTGTAACAAAGAGTCCCTGAAAAGCAACATCTGACCCAAGACCTGAATGACGGAAGCAGCCAACCACTGGAAGAACTAGAAAGAGAATATTCTAGGTAGAGGGAAAAAAATCCCTGATGCATTAAAACAGCTTAGCTTCTTCAACAAATAGAAAGTCAATGCAGCATGATAGGCTTGAAGAACTGTTGCTTGAGGTGAGTTTGGAGAAAGTTGGGTAGGTGAGGTAAGATCAACAGTGCGGTTGCTGGCAAAGGCAAAAATAATTAGTTAATTAAAAAAAAAAGACAGTAAACTTCACTGGAAATCATCTAAAG
Source organism: Homo sapiens (assembly GCF_000001405.40). Classification (NCBI taxonomy): domain Eukaryota; kingdom Metazoa; phylum Chordata; class Mammalia; order Primates; family Hominidae; genus Homo; species Homo sapiens. The sequence goes on along the minus strand of NC_000001.11, from coordinate 59,817,452 downwards.
AGGTAAAGAAAAGGCAACAGACAAGATAACCAGAAACCAAGACAAGATAATTTCACAAAGGAACCATCAAGTAAGAAAATGGTAATATAACACTTAGTGGATTTAGCAAACTGGTAATGAAGTGAAAGTCTTAGAGGAAAGAAACTCAAGGGTAGTGGGTTGAAGACTGAATGAGAGTGAAGCATAAAGGGTGAGAATAAAACAACTCAAATTTTACTGTGAAGGAAAGGGGAAATACAGTATGACTTTAACACGGAATAGTGGCTCTTTGTTCTCTGTTAAAAAAGGGGAATACTTCAGCAAGTTTATACATACAGAGAAAGGAGCCAATGGAGAGAAAGTAGTTGTAAATACAGAAAGGGAACAAATGATACAATAACGTTTTAAAAGAGGTGGAAGGGATGGAGTCTAAAGCCAGAGCCAAGGATAAGGAGGTGGTCATTTGCCCCAGAGGAATAAGAGTTGGGGGCTCAGGTAGAATACTGATAAAGGTTTGCTAAGAGGAATGTGAGAGAAACTGTCTGGTTATTCTTAAGTATGGGCAATGTTAGGAGAAAAGGTGCGTTTGACAGTAACAGCATTAGTAGAGGCAACAGTTTGCACGGTCATTCAATTTTCTCCACAGTGCTCAGCAGCCCAAGAGAGGACTGAAGAAAACGACCAATTTTACTCTGTTATCTGTGATTCCTTATCATTTGGTTTACAACATATTTGCAGCTTTTACGGAATTTTACCTTCCACTGTAATTACACACAGCTCTGGCTACCACTCCAGTCCTCCCCAGTGCCTAGCTCAACATTGGAAGTCAATAAATTCTGGTTAAAAGAGTGGATACAGTCACATAATATTTTAAAATATTACAACACAAAAGAAAATCCTGTGCTTCTCCACCACCTCACATGTAAATCAATGACATCATAAAGACTAAGCTTAACACTTCAGTCAATTGAGGTTTACAATAATGTAGCAGATTCGGATACACCCTTTAATTAGTCTGTTTTAACAAAACAAATCATTAAAAGTAATGTTGCCTTGTTTCTACGACAGTCTTAAATACAGCACTTCCACCCCAATACCTATTTCAAATGAAAATTCAGCTGAACAGTTAGCTAATTGCTTTTAACTCACAAACCCTAAATATTTGCATTCCACTAAAAGCAAAAGTTATTTACTTACAAAGTGTAAATGCTTTAAATTATGGCTATTTCCAATAGGCTTCACACATTTCCATAAACCTAGATTTCTCATTCTTTGGAATTAGATGCATTAGATCACTAGGGAATCTCAACCGATTACAGCCTCCTGATCCCGTCTGTTTACATTCCATCTGCACACACTCCCCTAGACGCAACTAAACAACTGGTTTGGGATGAGCATCATCAACAGCACCTTGTGGCTCATCAAACACCATCTTTACTCAATATGGGTTAAGAACCACACCTGAATGCCAGCACTGATATCTAAGTAACTCTAAGAGGTGGGATGTCATTTTGCTGACTGGAATATTGAACAATCTGGGGACAGATATGCCTGTCCAGACCCAACACAAATTAACAAAAATCCTAAACACAGATAAATCCTAAAGAAAAATGTCAACTCATTTTCTTTAAAGAAAATGCTGTCCATTTAGAGGAGGAGAGGGCCAGCGAGAAAAAGGGAAAACGACCCCCGACTCCCAACACATCTTTTTCTCCATACGGGAAATACAAACATCTCTTTGAAGCGGCTTCTACAAAATCGGATGTTCTAGAGTCCTGAAGGAGCATTGGTCCGGGAACTAAAACAGCCAGCCACCTCCTGGCCACCTGTGTCCAGGTAGAGCAAGGTAGTTTGAGGATGCAGGGTTAGGTTTCGGAAAGGGTCTTCACGCCCAAGCGGACCAAGGCAAGAGAGTCGGCGATCCAGAAAGTGGAGGGCTCGGGCGCTGTTCAGGGGGAGAAAATGGGGCAGCGGGGAGAAAAGAGGATGGGTGCTTGGTTCATATCCCAGCTGTTAGGGCACCAGGCAGGTCGAATCCTCTGGTTGAGACCAGAGCCTCCACTGTTACGCTCCCAGAGCTTCCTTTACCCCCACCCCCGGACACCAACCCGCGCCCACACACCTGCCCGTCGACCCGCAGGTGGCATTCTCTCGGTCAAGGGCACGAGGTGAGAAGGGCAGGGTGCGCCGGGACCCTGTGCAGGTAGCCCCAGCTCACCTGGGAGAACCGGGCGCCCCAGGCTCCTCGCCTCGGCCCCCTGGCCCCCTCGCCCTCTCGCCTCCTCGCACTCACCCAGATCATGAGGCTGTCGCACAGGGGCAGCTTAGGCTGCGGCGGCGGCTGCGTCTCCTCCATGGCCGGCGCCGCCGTCGACGACGCCGCGGACACCTTCACACTCCCTCCTACCGGCTCTCCTCCAGGAGCCGGCGTCCACGACCTGCTAGCCCCCAGGAAAGCTCGGTACCAGGCCCGACCCGCGCAGCTCACGCGCGAACCCTCGCGCTGTCGACGCGTCCGGCGTCACCCCCTCCTCACCCGCCCCCGCCTCGCTCCAGCGTTCGCCCCCTCCCCTTCCTGGGCCCCGGCCGCGCTGCCAGGCACCTGAGCCCCGCCTTCTCCCACCCCTCCCCTCCTCCCACCCGTCCTGCCCACTCCCGCACACCTCGCCCCGCCGCCCTGAGTGACCTGGCCGCGCACCAGTCACAGAGACGGTAGGTACCCGGGGGGGCGGGCGGGGCGGGGCGGGGGCGGGAAGAACCGGGATAGGTTGCGCAGGGGGGATTGCTGATTGGACGTGCCCTCGTGGGCTCTGGCCAATCAACGTGAGACAAGCCTGAGCCTTGGGTAGAGAGTGAGAGTGGGTGGGAAGAGGTTTATGACCTGGCAGGTGCAGTGAGGGCGGGGGTGGGAGGTTGCGCGCGGGAAGCGAGCGCGCGTGCGCGGCGGGGATTGGTAAGGCTGAAGCTCAGCCCCAGTGGCCGAAGAGGCAGAGGGGCAGCAGGGCACCGGCTGGGCTCAGGCGTCTTCCCTCCTTCTTCGCGGTAGCACGCCGCCTCGCTACACCTGTGGAGGGCCCACACTCTGCTTCCACATTGTCTTCAGAAATAGATCCTACCGGCTGGGCGAGGTGGCTCACGCCTGTAATCCTAGCACTTTGGGAGGCTGAGGCGGGTGGATCACCTGAGGTCAGGAGTTCGAGACCCGCCAGGCCAAGATGGCGAAACCCATTCTCTACTAAAAATACAAAGATTAGCCGGGGGTGGTGGCACATGACTGTAATCCCAGCTACTCAGGAGGCTGAGGCAGAAGAATCGCTTGAACCCGGGAGGCACAGGTTGCAGTGAGCCGAGATCATGCCACTGCACCCCAGCCTGGACAAAAAACCGAGACTCTGTCTCTAAAAAATATATAAAACAAAATAAAGAAAGAAAGAAATAGATCATACCCATGAATTAAAACTCTTCGAGGAAGGAAGAGCTGATTTCCTCCTAGGCACTCATTGGAAAGGGATGTTTTCATTTGCACACGTGGCAAATATGCCACATTAATAAGGAAAATAGAATCCGTCAGTGCTCCTTAAATAAGCTCTCACGGGACCATAGATCATGAGCAATTTTATTTTACATGGGGCAAAAGGGAAGACCGTTTTCAAGTAGCAAAATAAACGAAATGTTTTGAAAAACATGGAAGATATTAATGTATCCATTTTCCTTTGTCAGTTGAAAATTTGCTTTTTCCGAGAATGTTGTGGGGTGGAGGGGGGTCGGGGGAGGTGACCTGAAATTGGAAGCTCTCCAAGGTATTGATAGATGGCTTAGGTGATTGAAAAGGGCTAGACTATTCTTAGTCTTGCTGTCACTTCACTCATTCATAAACTCATCAATTCATGCTCTGAGTAAGAAAACAGCTGGCTTTTTTTTATATTGCTGCGTTTTTATATTTAGACACTGAAAATTTAAAACTGATGGACGACTGCAATTAAAAGCCCCCAAGTGTAAATCAGTCTCATTCTAAAAATACAGTATGTACGTTTGCTATTGACTCCCTTAACATTATTCCAGAACTTTCTTAACGCCTCTGGAGTCACTTTATATGCTGGAACTAGGTACATTGGTAATGTGATTTAATTAAAACTACAAGATTTAGGAATTGAAGACCTGGTCTGAATCTTGACTTTATTCCCCACTGGCTGCTCTCCTATAGCCCCCAACCTCCACATTCCTAAGATCATTGTAATTAAAATGTAAACATACATGGTAAATGTAAATTATAAACTTTGTAAATATGAGTTACTATTATCATCTATACATATGGGAAACTTCTCAACATATTTATCACTGAGAGCCACAAGTGACCAAATTTCTCAAATAAAATAATTCGTGAGAGTAACTTGGTGGGGGGGGCAATTAAGTTATGCTTCTGGACTTTATAGAGAGTAAATTATCAGGGAAGGAAAAATTTAACAATTTTTATCAAGAAACTTTAAAATATCCATATCATTTAAACCCATGATTCCAATTTATTCTGCGTCAGTCATAAATTCTGTTGAAATCATCAGAAGTGCATTTGGAGGCTTTGAACAATGATATGTATGGCAATGCTATGTATTGATCAATTGTATAATCGATTGATACAATGCCCAATAAGCAAGGAAGGCTAAATATTTTACAGCAGATTCAGTGCTCTGGAGAATATTTGATAACTCAGGAAAGTTGTCACAATGTATACTATTAAATAAAATTTAGATGAAAGTATCAGCCATATGACCTCAATATTATAAATATTAGGTATGTATTTTAATATATACACAGGAAGAAGACAAAGGAATAATCATAAAACTGTTGTTATATTTATATACAAATGAAAAATGACTATTTTTCTAATCTTCCATATTTTCTAGGCTTTCTACAATTAGCTTATATTACTTTATAATCAGAAAAAAAGACTTTAGAAGAAATGCCAAATACAACATAAGTTATCATTTCCAACTATTAAATTGGCATCAGTTCTTTAGAAGTTGGCATCCATGTTTGGGGAGTTGAGTGAAACTAACTCTTAAACCCTAGCTGTGGGATTATAAATGGGTACAAAGTTTTTTGACAATATATATCAAGAGCCTTTAAAATGTTCAAAGTCTTTAAGCCAGTAAGTTCACTTTCAGAATCTATTCTAAGAAAATAATCATATGCCAACAAAGTTGTTGATTGCAGTACTATTTATCAAGCAAAAAGGAAAAGAAACAGCTATTAAATGTCTGAAAGAGAAGTGATTAAACACAGTAAGTTATATTTAAACAATGAAATGTATCATAGGCATTAAAATATTTTAAAATAAGTTTATTCAGGAAAATGCTTATCACATAATGTTAAGAAAAAAAGCCATTATGCAATCTGTGCATACAGCATAGATCCCAACATATACATAAATATATGGGCCAGGTGCAATGGCTCAAGCCTGTAATGCCGGCACTTTGGGAGGCTGAGGTGGTGGGAGGATCACTTGAGTCCAGGAGTTTGAGATCAGCCTGGGCAACATAGAGAGAACCCGTCATTACCTTGAATAAATAAATAAATAAATGTATGTATGTAAATATATATTTATGTGTGGATCCCTATTTGGGTGTGCCTGGGTGTGTGTATATATACTGTATACATACACCCCCAGAGAGAGAAAAAAAGAAAGAGACTACAGAAAATATACCAAGATGTTGATAGTGATGATGATAATGTCTAGGTATTGGAATAATGGGTGAGTTTTACCTTCTTTGTAATTTCCAGTGAATTTGAAATTTTCTACCGTGATTTTATTGTCATGAAAAAGGAGTAAAGCCTGAAAATGTTTAAAATTATGAATATGGTAGAATCTCAACTGTGAAGAATATATATAGGAATACATGCACACATACACATGTGTGCCCACGCATGCGTGCATGCTTATGCATCCATACAGAGGGACATTGAGAAGAGAGTTGGCTAAAATTAAGCCCAAAGTTTAGTGTTATAGAGACCTGATATCACTTCGTATTGCCTGGGTGATCTTGAGCAAATGACAATTTCATTAAAGCTCAGTTTCAGTCTCTCTAAGCTGGGATAATACTAGTATATTTCTGTGTATTTCTGTATTGATTAGGAATTTTTTTGGTGGTAAGTGGGAGAAACCAAACCTGGTAGCTTATTTTTTTTTTTAAATGTTTTTGGAAAAATACAAGAGGGTTCACAGGTTCAGAGGAAGAGCTGAAGAACCCAGCATGGGAAAGTGCAGGTCCCAAAATAGCTCATTGGATCTAGGTAGCAAAAACTATGGGAGTCTTTTCAGGATACCACCACCTGGATGAGTAGGATAAAATGGCTGCTCAGTCTTTCTGAGTCATTCTGTTCAAGATTCCAATTCCAGGGGGAGCATCTGACTGGCCTGTTTTGGGATTTTGTCTAACCCTTTCCCAGAAGAGGGTAGAGCACCTAGACTGGCTGCCCCACATAGATTGCAGGCCTAAGGCGAGATCACAGAGCTGTCGCCCATTGAAAGGAGGAATGATGCCTGCAGACAAAAACAAAACCAATTCTTTCCACATGACTTCTTATGGTTGTTGTGAGGGTCAAATGTATGTAAAATGCTTAATATAAATCCTAGCTTATAGTTGTTGCTCAATACATTTTAGCTATTCTTTACACCACACACGTGTGTGTGCATGTGTGCACTGAAAAGAAACATGAAAAAAAATTAAAATATTAGTAAATGTTATTCATGGTAATTAATTATTATCTTTTTGTATTTTCCAATTTCATCAAAATGGATGAATATTTGTTTTTTACTTAAAACAAACTTTTTTGTGTGTGTTGGGGAGAAAGGATGAGAAAGAGATTTTATGTTCTGAGTTGGTCTGTAAGTAAATAGATAAATGATAAGAGGAGAAAATCCCTAGCTAGGCACTTTAAATAGAACTGCAGTAGGCCCTACTTGTAAAGAAGATATCTGTGTCTTACACATACAAATGATGAAATGAAGAAACTGAGAATTCTAAGGCTTTCCTGCTGATTTCTAGGTAACCCTGAATGTCTCAGAATGGATATCAGCTAGAAGACTCTGACCTGGACAGATGCAGATCTAGACATACAGTTCCTGCAGTCATGCTAGTAGAGAGATCATGTCAGCAGCAAAGAGTGCAATTGGACGTCAGCAGCAAAGCATTCATTCCTGAAGGAAATTATTGAACCCACACACAGAGAATTCTGACAGCATTGTTTAGGTAAAGCTTCCCCTTCCACAGACCCCCAAACACATGTCCTGCAAATGTTGAAGGTAGGAAGGAAGGATGAAGGCATAAAAGAAGGGAGGGAAGAAAGAGGGAGAAAGGAAAGAACTGCAACATAGGCTCAATCTCAGCAACCGAGACAGAGGTAGCCAGAATGATATGAGATCCACCATAGGGATTAGTTTGCTTTTCTGGATGATGCCCACAAGAGTGGTCTGCAATCAAATAGGCAAAGAATTATAGCAAATTGCAAACTCAGGCTACCTCAAGTCAATATCAAAGTTCAGAAGAAGCTGAATGCAGCAGCTGTGACAATTTTCAGAATCTGGGAGGTACTTTGGAATAATAGTTTCCAGGCCCCGAGGGAGGAGATTTATATGCCCGAGGCAGAGTCACAGAAAGAGAGACAGGAATGAAAACTGACGTTTTACAACACCTCCTTGTTCTTAGACCTGTAAACACAGTGGGCACAAATACCTAAGGTGTATTTGAGCTCCATCAAATACCATACTAGGGTTTAGGGAAGCAAGACCAATCCCAGACATTATGGGTAAGATTTAGCTTTCTGTTAATGGAACAACCTTGACCATAATTGACTTGGATCTGAATGTTTAGGTAATGGGACTGGGAAGATAGGGACAAATATCCTATGGATATTTTCAGCCAGCATAACTATTAAGGTAGAGACTGGAGAAAGGTGATCAAGGATGTGGATTCCTTCCCACTGTGTGTAAAAATGAATATTCATTTATTTTTCACACTGGCTTGAAACTCACTCTTGCTATGAAATTAATATTAATTTAGGAACTGTATGAGATACTGGAAATTTTACTTCTAGGGCTGTTGAAGACTTGAGTTACATGGATTTTATATCACTTAATGAAACTGCCTTTTAATGCATTTTACTTCCAAGAGATGTTATTGCCAACCTGTTGGGCTGCCCAAAGAGAGATTACTCTAAGGATTCAATGGAGAAATTGAAGCCAAGTGCAAGTTCAAATTAAGGGAGACGACATCTCTGTCACTAGAGAATGCGCATCCATAGAGCAAGAGATTTTAAAATTGTACCATAAACAGAAAAAAAAAATCTTAACTTCGAGGACTTTTGTTATTGCAGCCTGTTGTAAATTGGATTTTCCAGGAAGTAGACCCTGAGATGGAGATTAGCATGTTGGAGGGTTATTAAGAAATGCTGTTGGGAATAACAGCTGTGAGAGAGGAGGGAAGGAAGAAGTAGTGGGCAGAGGGAGAAAGCAGGTTGTGGTGCAGGCTCAATGAAAGTCTTGACTTATCCCTGGGGAGTGCTGAAGCTGGAATGGTCCTTCCAAGTTGTTCCAAGTTTGAATGAGGGGAGTTGGTCTGTACGCTTCCATGTTGACAAATCATTCATTGCATGTGGGCTGCCCTAGAGAGGTGACGTGGCAGCCTAGGCAATTCACAAAGAAGGCTGATGGCTGATGGCTGTCTGCTGAAAGCACTCCAAGATGCTGGAAATATCCAGGCAGCACACCACAGTATACTCTGTAAGGCAGTAGCACCCACAGTAGCTTTGGGTGGGGATGAGGGTGCCATCACTCAGAATGGGAAAGCATGGTGTTTAAGTGTGGACAAGTAGGACTGAAAGTGTGGCAATAGGTATCATAACCACAAAGTTAAAATAGTCACAGAGGAAGAATGTTGGCATCTTTGGTTCTTGGATTAGAAGCCTCCAAAATGAGGAAGGATTTTAGCCATAGTTATAATTTCACTTAGGGGCTTAGTGTCAAATAACTAAATGAATGACACCTTGGAGGATTTAAGACAGGTTCCTGGGGAAACAAAAGTTACAAAAAAGATAAATCACAATACAGAGTAATCTTATCAATTATGTTTTAAACTTACAGGGAAGAGTGTTTAGCTTGCCATTTATTAAGTAAAAATAAATGTAACCATTTGATTTATTAAGCATATATAAACTCACCCCAAAGCTCTAAATCAAACATAATCGCACATAATTTATCTTGTCCTTAATAACTCCGATGAGAAAAAATTTAAATAGCAAGGTAAATGTAGCATTTATTTTCAAATACCTAAAAACAAGTAAAAATAGGCATTTAGTAAAAATGTACCGATAATGTAACCAATCTAAAGTATCATTTAAACGTATAAATCATGGAGTTTATATCTCAGTTTATCTGAGTGAATCACAAGACCTGTCATCATTTTACACTCTGTTGGAAGAGATGATCCATGGTTCTCATTCAGTTGGTGACCTATTTTTTATGTACAAAAATCCTTCTAATCCATGTAAGCAGGTTTTTAAAACAAAGACCAAACAGTGACACATAGTGAGTGTCTAATCATTTAATCCACAGATGTTTGTCTCTAAAAAGCAAGAATTACAATATAACAAAGGGTACCTCCTATTGGTGTTTGTTTGTTTGTTTTTGAGACGAGGTCTCACTGTGTCACCCTTGAGTGGAGTGGCATGATCCTGGCTCACTGCAGCTTCAAACTCCTGGGCTGAAGTGATCCCCCCCACCTCTCTCTCCTGAGTAGCTGGGACAACGGGCACGTGCCACCATGTTCAGCTAATTTTTTCATTTCTTGTAGCGATGCGGTCTTCTTATGTTGTCCAGGCTGATCTGAAACTCCTGGGCTCAAGCAATCCTCCTGCTTCAGCCTCCCAAGTGGTGGGATTACAGGTATGAGCCACCATGCCTGGCTGCTCCTATTGTTTTCAGGTGTGTTGAAAATTAATATTTTAAAAATTAAAATTATTTAATTACATTATATGTATGGAAAATAGATACAATCACATTCACAAGACTGGTTTCACAGGTTTAATAAGAACATAATGTTTAAGGATGATAGAGATCACTATGTTAGAAATAGTGATTATTTTTTATTACCGCTTGAGAAAAATACATTTGAAACTGTCGTTACAAAATGTGGCATTCTGAAGCCTCTACATGTATATCAGTTGAAAATACATTGAAGTGATATTTGCCTAAGGAGCTAGAATATCTTGCTTTCCCTTCATGTGTTAGATAAGTATAGCCTATATATAATATAATACATCTTAAAACGTCAAAATGTTAGAGGGAAGAAGTTTATCCGATCATTTATGGACACTAGAAAAGGGGGCTTCTTAATCATAAGCATTAACAAATTGGGCTATAAGAACAAAGAACAAAAATGTTCCGGAATGCCAGGAAAGATGTGCAAAGGGTTTACTAAACGCTCTTGCAGAAAATTCCTTGAAGCTCATGGCTAGTAAAATGTTTGAAACGATTTAACCCAGTAAATGAGTACTTCCTAATGTGATTTGGGAATATTCCCCAAAGATCTTTAAAACAAAACGACCAAGAAATAATGAAAAACAAAACTATTGGGTAGGACCTAGCCTTATACAGAAAAGAGGGAGCTGCACATTTCATTAAAGGATTTGCCACTATAAAAAGATTTCCTTCCCAGCGCTTTGGGAGGCAGAGGCGGGTGGATCACCTGAGGTCAGGAGTTCAAGACCAGCCCGACCAACATGGAGAAACCCCATCTCTACTAAAAATACAAAATTAGCCAGGCATGGTGGCACATGCCTGTAATCCCAGCTACTCGGGAGGCCAAGGCAGGAGAATCGCTTGAACCTGGGAGACAGAACTTGTGGTGAGCCGAGATCATGCCATTGCACTCCAGCCTGGGCAACAAGAGCAAAACTCCGTCTGAAAGAAGAAAAAAAAAAAGTTTCCTGGCCAAGCGCGGTGGCTCACGCCTGTAATCCCAGCACTTTGGAAGGCCAAGGCAGGAGGATCATGAGGTCAAGAGATCGAGACCATCCTGGCCTGGTGAAACCCCGTCTCTACATCTCTACTAAAAATACAAAAATTAGCCAGGCGTGGTGCCGCTGGCCTGTAGTCCCAGCTACTCGGGAGGCTGAGGCATGAGAATCGCTTGAACCCGGGAGGCGGAGGTTGCAGTGAGCCAAGATCATGCCACTGCACTCCAGCCTGGCAACAGAGCGAGACTCCATCTCAAAAAAAAAAAAAAAAAGTTTTCTATGAACACAATTGGTGACTGAGAACATATCCAATCATAAAGCTATAAAAAAAAAAACAATAATAGCTAAAACATGCAGCACTTATTAGGTGCTGTGCACTATTCAATGTACTTCACTTACACTAATTCATTTATCCTTAACAACCTGATAAAGTAAGTAATATTTTTCAACTTTATCTTACTGATGAGGGAACTGATGCATCAAGAGGCACCCAAGCTCATACAACTAATAAATTGCATACCTCATAAAACCTCTTTCCAGATGTGAAGAAGAGATTCATCCTTGGGGAGATCAGAGCTGATTTTTAAAGACAATCATTGCAAATAAAACATAACATATACAATCCTTCTTCAATCATTGCAGTTTCTGTATTTTCCCTTGTTACTGAAATAGTTCTTCAGGGAGTCAGCATTGTTTTTGTTCAACACAGTGAAACAAGAAAATCCATTGTGTCTAGATGAGTGAAATTAATGATTACCTATTGAAGAATCTACTGACTGAAGGTTCATGACTACAGTAAATGAGCTTGAATATGCTAAGCTTTTGGCATTTTGTATCTGAAGATGAGCTTGAATTATTTTTACCCATTTTTTAATATAAATCTCAAATTTTTCTGAAGAATAATTAAGTTGGCCATTCGGATTAAATAACTGGACTACCTGTGAGGCCGTATTTTTTAAATGTACAAAGTCCATTTTTAGGTTATAATCACCACATTGGTAGAGAGATAAAGAGAGAGAGGGATGCATATAAATAATTCAAGAGTAACAGAAATAATTACCGTTAGCCCTTAAATACTTCAGTATATATCTCTGAAGAATAAGAACATTCTCTTATCTAATTACATAGAATTATATAGTTGGGAAAATTAACAGTGACATAATAGTATTGTATAATGTGCACTCCTTTAAATTTACCTAATTGTCCACAATTATTTTTTTCTCTTTTTTTCTGGGACTCAAAGTCAAGGAATCAGGATTATGCATTGTATTTGACATGTTGCTTCAGTCTCCTCTGATCTAGGTCAGTTCTCCACTCCGTGTGTGTGTGTGTGTGTGTGTGTGTGTGTGTGTGTGTGCGCGTGTGTGTGTGTGAGAGAGAGAGAGATCTTTCATGACAGCAACATTTTTGAAGAGTCTAGTAGATTTGTTGGATTGTTTCTTGGTGATCAGATTTGGTTCAACTATTTTTGGAAGAGATTATATTGTGAGCTTAGTGTATCACATTAGCAATAACATGGTACTAGATTGTCTAATTACTAAGGACATTAAATTTTACCATTTGATTAGAATGATGTCCACTAGATCTCTCCATTGTAAAGATATTTTTCCATTGTTATTACTAAATAATCTGAGAATGTGTGTGTATATTTTTACCCCCAATTTTTCACTCAATGCCTTTGGCATCCATTAATAATTATTATCAGAATCAATTATTACTATGGTGTGTAAAAGGGTGCTGGTTTTCTATTTCCACTATTCCTTCTATATCTATTAGTTGGCATTATTCTACAAAAATAGCTTTTCCTCTTTCTTCATATCCACCTTTAATTTTTTTTAAGTGCAAATATGGACTATAAATATATGTTTATTCAGCATGTTATAATCCATTCCTGACATGAGTCATTTTAATCATCAGTCCCTCAGAAGTTCAGCCTGTGGGAATGCCTTCACATTGGCTTCTGCATCTTTTTTGCATAATCCATTGTTTTTTTGTGTACTTCTAGGCACAGGATGTTACAGGATCATTTTGTACTTTCATTGACCCTATCTTGGACTCAGCCATTTCTCCAAGGATCCCTGGTTCCATGTTGTAGGGAAGGATGTTTAGTAAGCCTGGATGTCTATGAGCAAAGCAGGCTCCATTTCATAATTTCATTCCTTGAAAATGAGATTTTGGTCACCTGTTAAAATAGGGTTACTCTTGTAAAAACTATAATATTGAACCTCATAGTCATTTAGGCTTTAGGGTGAACATATTTATCAGCCTATTTATTTCATAAGGGGTAATGGTGGCAATGCTGAAGTTAGAGGGCCCATGGAGGAAGAAAGAAAGCTAACATCAATTTCTTCTATTCCAGGCACCATCACATACATGATTGACATTAATCCTCATAAAAATCTTAGTTTTGCAAGTGAGGGAGTAACTTGTTCAAAGTTACTGTTTGTGTTATAGATATCCCAAAATTAAAACCCTTATTTGTTTGATCCTAAAAACTTCATCTGTGACTTCTACTACCAAAGGCCATTCTCCAAGCCAAGCAAGTAGGTCTGAGGGCTGAGAAGACACAGTTCACCCACTTCAAGTTTCAAGAAGGGCAAACTTTGGTCATGCTGTCTTCTGTGTTTCACTTGAAGTTGTTCAGCATGATCTGCATGCACAGCCACCCTCTCATTGTCCTTCGGCTGAGAATAGGGTTCAAATGTTTTTCCCTATTGCTCAGGAAGTCTGTGGGAAACAATTTCCTATTTCATTTGCTTTCAGTGTTTATTCAAAAAGAACAGATAGAATCTCAAACTGAATGCTGTTTCAGTTGGATTATTCATTACAAGTACTATCTGTTGCCAGAAGTTAGTGCTGGTGGTGGGAAAGCTTGTTGTAGGCTTGTAAGAGATAACTGAAACAAGCTGCCTGAGAAACAATGTTGGGTACAAAGCACAGAAGAACATGTTTTTGTCCCCTCTTCATTATGATCTTGGTCAAGTTCCTGAACTCTGTTGGCTCTCAGTTTTCTCACTGTAAATGGAGACAATAATAGTTTGCCTGCCTGAAGAAATGAGGTAAGCTGTCTAGTACAAAATCAACAACCACATATTGAATATCTTCTACAAAAGAGAGTTTCCTTTGACATTAGAAATGTGGAGAAATATAAGGCAGAGTTTCTACTCCTATTATGCTTAACATCCAGTTGAAGTTGCAGGACTTGCATCTTAAAAGGACAAATAAATAACATGGAGACATATTTGTAACACAGTATGTGAGTGTCAAAGACAAGGGAAAGGATTAATCACCAATAACATTATAAGCTTCTCAACTTAAAATAATAATAAAGAACGCTTTTCTCTTTTTTTAAAAAATATAAGTTTAGGAATAGATGTGCAGGATATGCAGGTTTTTTACATAGGTAAACGGGTACCATGGTGGTTTACTGCACAGATCATCCCATCACGCAAGTATTAAACCCAGAATCCATTAGCTATTTTTCCTGATGCTCTTCCCACCCCACAGGTGCCCAGTGTGTGTTGTTCCCCTCCATATGTCTATGAGTTCTCATCATTCAGCTCCCACATATAAGTGAGAACATGCAGTGTTTGGTTTTCTGTTCCTGTGTTACTTTGCTGAGGATAATGGCTTCTAACTCCATCCATGTCCCTGCAAAGGACATGATCCCATTCCTTTTTATGGCTGCATAGTATTCCATGGCATATATGTATCACATTTTCTTTATGCAATCTATCATTGATGGACATTTAGGTTGATTCCATGACTTTGCTACTGCAAATAGTGCTGCAATGAACATATGCATGCATGTATCTTTATAACTGAATGATTTATATGCCTTTGGGTACATACCCAGTAATGGGATTGCTGGGTCAAATGGTATTTCTGCATTTAGGTTTTTGAATAATCGCCACACTGTCTTCCACAGTGATTGAACTAATTTACACTCCTACCAACAGTGTAAAAACATTCCTTTTTCTTCATAACCACTGCAGCATCTGTTGTTTTTTGACTTTTTAATAGTAGCCATTCTAACTGGTGTGAGATGGTATCTCATTGTGGTTTTGATTTGCATTTCTCTAATGATCAGTGATGTTGAGCTTTTTTTCATATGTTTGTTGGCCGTATGTATGTCTTCCTTTGAGAAGGATCTGTTCATGTTCACTTTTTAATGTCCGCTTTTTAATGGGGTTGTTTATTTTTTTCTTGTAAATTTGTTTAAGTTACTTGTGGATTCTGGATATTAGATCTTTGTTAGGTAGATAGATAGATAGATAGATAGATAGATAGCAAAATTTTTCTCCCATTCTGTAGGCTGTCTGTTCACTCTGATAATAGTTTCTTTTGTTGTGCAGAAGCTCTTTAGTTTAATTAGATCCCATTTGTCAATTTTTGCTTTTATTGAATTGCTTTTGATATTTTTGTTGTGAAATTTTTGCTTGCGTCCTGAATGGTATTGTCTAGAGTGTCGTCTAGGATTTTTATAGTTTTGGGTTTTACATTTAAGTCTTTAATCCATTTTGAGTTAATTTTTGTATATGGTGTAAGGAGGGGGTCCAGTTTCAATTTTCTGCATACTGCTAGCCACTTCTCCTAGCACCATTTATTAAATAGGGGATCCTTTCCCCATTGTTTGTTTTTGTTAGATTTGTCAAAGATCAGATGGTTGCAGGTGTGTGGTCTCATTTCTGATTTCTCTATTCTGATTCATTAGTCTATGTGTCTGTTCTTGTACTAGTACCATGCTGTTTTGGTTACTGTAGCCTTGTAGTACAGTTTGAAGTCAGGTAGCATGATTCTCATTAAATTACCATTGACCTTCTTTACAGAATTAGAAAAAACTATCTTAAAATTCATATAGAACAAAAAAAAAGGGCCCAAATAGCCAAGTCAGTCCTAAGCAAAAATCACTTTTCTCTTTTCTCCTACCTATGTTTTAAACAAGAAAATAAGGAATAAGGAAGGAAAGAATAAAGGTACAACAAAACAAATGAAAAATGAAAAAGAAAAGGAAAAAATACAAAAAAAGCAGTAAAAGTAGATATGAAGATAAATATAAAAGTCAGTATTAATGTCTTTTCAGTTTATAAACCTCACTTTTTCTTATGTGATTTAAATCCAATTGCATAATACAAAAATTATAAATCTATGTTTATAAATACAAAGCATATAAAGATATCATTTGTGACAATAACAACATAAAGAGAGGGATGGAGCTGTGTAAATGCAAACATTTTGTATACAATTGAAACTAACTTGAATTGAAACTAGATTGCTATAAATGAAAACGTTAATTGTAATCCTCAGGGCAACCACTAAGAATACAACTTTAAAATGTGTAGAAAAAGAAAAGAGAAAGTAATCAAAAAGGTATACTAGAAAATACGTATTTAATACAAAAGAAGGCAGTAACAAAGGAATTAAAGAGCAAAAAAAAAACATATAGAAAGCAAATAGCAAAATGGCAAAAATCCTACCTTATCAGTAATTACATTAAAAATAAATGGATGAAAGCTCTAATGAAAAGGCAAATGTTGGCAGTAAAGATTGAAAAACATGATCTAATTGTATGCTGTCTATAAGAGACTTGCTTTAGATTCAAAGTCAAAATAAGTTGAAAGCTAAGAAATGGAAGAAGCTCCTTCATGCAAACACTAACTAAAAGACAGCTGGAGTAAATATATGACTATCAGACAAAATAGAGTTTAAGAAAGAAATTATGCCTGGTGCAGTAGCTCATGCCTGTAATCCCAACACTTTGGTAAGCCAAGGAGGGAAAATCACTTGAGCCTAGGAGTTCAAGACCAGCCTGGGCAACATAGGGAACCCCCATCTCAAAAGAGAGAGAGAGAGAGAGAGAGAGACAGAGAGAGAGGGAGAGAGAGAGAGAGACAGAGAGAGAGGGAGAGAGAGAGAGGGAGAGAGAGAGAGAGAAAGAAAGAAGGAAAGAGAGAGAAAGAAAGAAAGAAAGAAAGAAAGAAAGAAAGAAAGAAAGAAAGAAAGAAAGAAAGAAAATAAAGACATTAGCTGGGCTTAGTTGTATTTACCTGTGGTCCCAGCTATTTGAGAGACTGAGGTGGCAGGCGGGCTTGGGCCCAGGAGGTTGAGACTATAGTAAGATGTGATTGTACCACTGTACTACTCCAACCTGAGCAATAGAACAAGACCCTATCTCAAAAAAGAAAAAAGAAAAAATTGTTACAATAGACAAATCAGGATATTACATAATAATAAAGGGTCAATCCATCAAGAACATATATCAATTATAAACCTATAAACAGAGCCCCAAATATATGAAGCAAAGATGGGCAATTAAAGACAGAAGTAGGCAGTTCAACAATAAGAGTAGGACAGTTGCATATTCCACTTTCAATAATGAATAAGTCAACTAGGCAGATCATCAACAAGGACATAGAGGACTTGAATAACACTACAAGCCAACTATACCTAAGAGACATGTACAGGACACTCCATTCAACAACTGCAGAATACACATTCTTCTCAAGCGCATACGGATAATTCTCCAAGATGAACCATATGTTAAACTTCTAAACAAATCTCAATAAATTTTAAAATATTGAAATCATAACAAGTGTCTTTGGAATGAAATTAGAAATCTATAACAGAAGGGAAACTGGAAAATTCACAAATATGCGGAAATTAAACAACATACTCTTAAATAACCAATGGGCCAAAGAAGAAATCACAAGGGGATTTAGAAAATAGAGATGTATGAACATGAAAACACAACATACCAAAATCTATGAGATACAATGAAAGCAGTGCTCAGAGGGAAATTTATACTTTTAAATGCCTACGTTAAAAAAAAATCTTATATAAATAACCTAACCTTCCTAAGTGACTAGCAAAAAAAAAAAAAAAAAAAAAAAAAGGCAGACTAAGCCCACAGCAAACAGAAGGGCTGAAATAATAAAGATTTGAGCAGAGGTAAATGAAACAAAACATAGAAAAACAATAAAGAGAATTAATGAAACTAAACTTTGTTCTTTGAAAAGATCAACAAAATTGCCAAACTTTTACCTCAACTGATGAAGACAAAAAGAAGATTCAAATAAAAAATGAAAGTGGTAATATTACTATTAGCCTTATGACAATAAAAAGAATTATATAGAGTGCTATAAACATTTCTATGTGAAAAAAAATCATATAACCTAAACAAAATGAACAACTTCCTAGAAACACACAAACTACACACACAAACTATCAAAATTGACTCAAGATGAAATCTGAATAGACTTAAAACAAGTAAGGATATTGAATCAGTAATCAAAAATTCTAACAGAAAAAAGCTCATGACTGGGTGGCTTCACTGGCAAAGTCTACCAAATATTTTATGAAGCAGAGTAATTCTTTTCAAACTTCCAAAAAGTAGAAGGGGAGGAAATACTTCCCAACTCATTCTATGAGGCCAGCATTACCCTGATACCAAAGCCAGACAAAGATATGACAAGGAGAGAAAACTGCATGCCAATATCCCTTATGAATATAGATGCAAAAATTTTCAACACAATACTAGCAAACAAAATTCAACACTAGATTAAAAGGATTATACCTTATGACTAATTTTTTCCAGGGATGCAAGGGTGGTTCAACATATGAAAAGAAGTCAAATCAACATATTACAACATTTATGAAAGAAAGAGTAAAACCCCACACATTCATCTTAACTGATGACAAAAAGCATTTGACAAAATTCAACAGTCTTTCATGATGGGAACACTCAGTAAAGTAGAAATAGAAGGCAGCATTCTCAACATGATAAAGGCCATCTGGAAAATTCCATAGCTAACATCAAACTCTATGTAAAAGACCAAAAGCTTTCCCTGTAATATCAGGCACAAGACAAGAATTTTCATTCTTGCCACTTCCATTCAACATTATACTGAACGTTCTAGCCAGGTCAACAAGGTAAGAAAAAGAAATAAAAGGCATCTATATTAGAAAGGCAGAGGTAAAACTATTTCTAGTCACAGATGACATGATTTTATATCAAACAAAAAACTACTAAAGCTATGCATTACTCTGTTTTGCATTGCTATAAAGGAATTCCTGAGACTGGGTAATTTATAAAGAGTTTTCTTTGGCTCGCAGTTCTGCAGATTGTACAATCATGACACCAGGATCTGCTTGGCTTCTGGTGAAGCCTCAGGAAGCTTATACTCACGGCAGAAGGAAGGGGGAGCAGGCATGTGACACTGTGAGAGAGGGAACAAGAGAGAAGCCACCAAGAGGCCCCAGGCTCTTCTAAACAACCAGCTTTTATATGAACTAACAGAGTGAGAACTCATTACTGTGAGGAGAGCACCAAGCCATTCTTGAGGGATCTGTTCCCATGACCCAAACACCTCTCTCTAGGCCAACCTTCAACAATAGAGTTCATACTTCAACATGAGATTTGGAGGGGCCACACATCCAGACTATAGCAAGCTAATAGAGGAATTTAGCCAAGTTGCAGAATATAATATCAAAACTCCATGTATTTCTACAATGGATATCTGTATTGTATATAAAACCCCATTGTATTTATATATACGAGTAATGAACAATCTGAAAAAGAAACCATAAAACAATTTCATTTAAAATAACATCAGGCCCAGTGTGGTGGCTCACACCTGTAATCTCAGCACTTTGGGAGGCTGAGGCAGGCGGGTCACTTGAGGTCAGGAGTTCAAAACCAGCCTGGTCAACATGGCAAAACCCTGTCTCTACTAAAAATACAAAATTGGCTGAGTGTGATGGTGCATGCCTGTAGTCCCAGCTACTCAGGAGGCCGAGGCAGGAGAATCACTTGAACCTGGGAGGCAGAGGTTGCAGTGAGCTGTGATCATGCCACTGCACTCCAGCCTGGGTGACAGAGTGAGACTCTGTCTCAAAAACAAACAAATGAAACAAAAACAAACAGAAAAATAAAAATAAAGTAACATCAAAACGGTAAAATATTTAAGAATATATTTAACCAGGGAATTGTAACACTTGTGCACTGAACACTATAAAATTTTGCTGAAAGAGATTAAGGAGAACCTTAATAAGTAGAAAGAGATTTCATGTTCATGGATTGGAAGATATAATATTAAGATGACAATACTCCCCAAATTGATCTACAGATTCAGTGCAAGCTCTATCAAAATTTCAACTTCTTTTTTGAACAAATAGAGAAGCTGATTCTAAAATTCATATGGAATTGCAAGAGATGCAGGACATCCAAAATCCTGAAAAAGAAAGCAAAAAGAACTTAAACCCATACTTCAAAACTTACTACAAAGTTACAAAAATCAAAACAGTGTACTATTGGAATAAAGGTAGATATATAGGTCACTGGAGTATAATTGAGAGTCCAGAAAGAAATCAATATATCTATGGATAATTTATTTCTAATAAAGATGTCAAGACCATTCAATGGGGGAAAGAATTGTCTTTTCAAAAAATGATGCTTGGACAAACGAATGTCTACACGGCAAAGAATGGATTTGGATCTTTACCTCATAACACATACATAAATTAATTCAAAACAGATTTAAAAATTCAAATGTAAAAGCTAAAACTATACAACTCTTGAAAGGAAACATAGGTGTAACTCTTCTTGACCTTAGATTAAGCAATAGTTTCTTAGCTAAGGTATCAAGAGCACAAGCAACAAAAGAAAAAATAGATAACATAAACTTCATTAAAATTAAAAACAAAAAAATTAATTGAAATCGTCATAATTATACATACTTAGTGGGTACAGAGTGACATTTCAATACATGCATACAATGTGTATTGATCAATCAGGGTAATTAGCATATCCATCATCTCAAACATCCATCATTTCTTTGTGTTGGGAACATTCAGCATCCTCCTTTTAGCTATCTGAAATGTTATAATATATTACTGTTGACTGTAGTCATCCCACAGGTGTATAAAACACTAGAACTTATTCCTCCTATCTAGCTGTAAGTTTGTATCCTTTAACTAACTTCTCTAACTCCCTCCTTTACCTACCCTTTTCTGGTAACCACAATTCTACTCTCTGCTTCTATGAGCTCAGCATTTCTAGTTTCCGCATTATGAGTGAGAACATGTGGTATTTATCATTCTGTGTCTGACTTATTTCACTTAACATAATATCTCCTAGGATGATCCATGTTGCTGCAAATGACAGAATTTTATTCTTTTTTATGGTTGAATAATATTTCATTGTGATATATATATATATCACATATATATATATGACATTTTTTTTATCCATTCATCTACTGATGGGCATGTAGGTTGATTCAATATCTTGCCTATTGTGAATAGTGCCACAATAAACACAGGGATGCAGATCACAATTCAGCATATGGTTTTCCTTTCCTTTGGATACATAACCAATAGTGGAATTGCTAGATCATATGGTAGTTCTATTTTCATTTTTTTTGAAGAAATTCCATACTGTTTTACATAATGGCTATACTAATTTACATTCCCACTAACAGAATATAAGAGTTCCCTTTTCTCTGCATCTTTGCCGGCATTTTTTTGTGTGTGCTTTTAATAAGAGCTAGTCTAACTAGATGAGATGATATCTCATTGTGGTTTTGATTTAAATTTTCTTAATGGTTTGTGATGTTGAGCACTTTTGCATATACATTGCCATTTGTATGTCTTTTTAAAAAATAAATGTCTATTTTGATCATTTGCCCATTTTTAAATCAGATTTTTTTTTTTTTGCTGTTGAATTGTTTGAGTTCCTTCTGTATTCTGGTTATTAATCCCTTGCCTCTTTATTCTCTTGATTGTTTCCTTTGTTACAGTGAAGCTTTTGAGTTTGATATAATCCCATTTGTCATTTTTGCTTTTGTTGCCTGTGCTCTTGAAGTCTCATCATTAAATCTTTGCTCAGAAGTGTTTCTCCTATGTTTTTTTCTGGTGGTTTTATAGTTTTGTGTCTTACATTTAAGTCTTTAATCCATTTCAAGTTGATTTTTGTATATGGTGAGAAGTAGAGGGTCTAATTTTATTCTTCTGGATATATATAGATATCCAGTTTTACCAGCACCATTTTTTGAAGAGTCTATCTTTTCCCCAGTGGATATTCTTGTCACCTTTGTCAATCAGTGGGCCATAAGTACATTAATTCATTTTTCTGTTTTCTGTTCTTTGCCATGGTCTATCTGTCTGTTTTTATGCTAGTACCATGCTATTTTGGTTAGTATAGCTTTGTATTATAATTTGAAAGCAGGAACTATAATGGCTTCAGCTTTGTTCCTTTTATTCAGAATTAGTTTGGCTATTTGGGGTCTTTTGTGATTTCATACAAATTTTAGGGTTTTTTTTTTCATTTCTATGAAGAATGCCATTGGCATTTTGATATGGATTAAATTGAATCTGTACATTGCTTTGGGTTATGTGGGCATTTTGACAATATTAATTATTCCAATCCATAAACATGGAATTTTTTTTCATTTGTTTTTTTTCTCTTCAATTATTTTCATCAGTGTTTTGTGGTTTTCATTGTAAAAATTTTTAACCTCTTTGGCTAAATTTATTCCTAGGTGTCTTTTTTGTAACTATTGTAAATAGGATTGTTTTCTTGATTTCCTCTTCAGCTAGTTTGTTATTGGTGTGTGGAAACATTACTGATTTTCCTATGGTGATTTTTTTAATCGTGCAATGTTAAGAGTTTTTAAAATAGTTCTAAGACTTTTTGGTGGAGTTTTCAGTTTTTTCTCTATATGAGATCATGTCATCTGCAAACAAGGACATTTTGACATTCTCTTTTCCAATTTGGATGCATTTTCTTTCTTTCTCTTGCCTTATTGCTCAGGCTAAGACTTCCCATGCTAGTTGAACAAGAGTGTTGAAAATGGGGATCCTTGTCTTGTTTGATTTCTTTGAGGAAAAGTTTTTCATTTTTTCCCATTTAGTATGATATTAGCTGTGAGTTTGTCACATAGGCTTTATTGTGTTGAGGTATGTTCCTTGTATAGCTAATTTGTTTAGAGTTTTTATCATGAAGGCATACTGAATTTTGTCAAATACTTTTTCTGTGTCTATTGAGATGATTCTGTGTCTATTTAGACGTTTTATGTCTTTCATTCTGTTGATGTGATATATCGCATTTATTGCTTTGCATATGTTGGACCATCCTTGCATCCCTGAAATAAATCCCCCTTGATCATAGTGTATAATCATTTTGCTGTGCTGTTAGATTTAGTTTGCTAGTATTTTATTGAGGATTTTTGCATCTATGTTCATTACAGACATTGGCCTGTAGTCTTCATTTTTGTTTTGTTCTTTTCTGGTTTGTGTATCAGCATAAGACTGGCATTATATAATAAATTTGGAAGAGTTCCCTCCTCTTTAACTTTTTTGAAATAGTTTGAGAAGAATTGTTGCTAGTTCTCTTTTAAAATATTGATATAATTGAGCAGTGAAGTCGTCTGGTCCTGAGCTTTTCTTTGTTGGGAGATGCTTATTACTTGCCATTTGTCTGTTCGATTTTCTGCTTCTTCTTGGTTCAGTCTCGGTAGATTTTATGTGTACTAGAATTTACACACTTCCTCTAGGTTTTCCTGTTTGTTGGCAAATTGGAATGATTATTTGTATTTCCATGGCATTTGTTTTAAGGTCTCCGTTTTAATTTCTGATTTTATTTATTTGGATCTTCTTTTTCTCTTAGTCTCTTTTCAAAAAATCAACTGTTTGTTTTGTTTGTCAATCTTTTGTATTTTTGTCTCTATTTCATTAAGTCTGCTTTAATCTTTATTATTTGTTTTCTTCTGTTAATATGAGGCTTGGTTTGTTCTTGTTTATCTAATTTTTTGAGGTGCTACGTTAGTGAAGTTTTTTTTTTTTTTTTAAACTTCCTGCTTTTTTGATGTAGTCATTTATTGCTTTGAACTTCCCTGGTAGAACTGTTTTGCTATCTCCCATAGGTTTTGGTATATTGTGTTTCTATTTTCATTTGTTTCAAAAGGTTTTTTAAATTCTCTTCCTAATTTCTTCATTGCACCATTGATCATTCAGAAGCATGTTATTTAACTTCTAGGTACTTACACAGTTTCAAAAGTTCATCTTGTTATTGACTTCTAGCTTTATTCGATTGTGATCTAAAGAAAATCTTAATATGATCTCAATTTTCTTAAGTTTATTGAGGCTTGTTTTGTGGACTAAGTTTATTGAGGCTTGTTTTGTGGTCTATCCTGGAGAGTGTTGCATATACTGATGAGAAGAATGTGTATTCTGCAGCTGTTGGTTAAAACGTTTGGCAGATGTCTGTTGGGTCTATTTGGTCTATAATGCAGTTTAAGTCCTATGTTTTTTGTTGATTTTCAGTATAGATTATCTGTCCAATGCTAGGAGTGGAGTGTTGAAGTCTCCACCTATTGATATATTGCAGTGTATCTCACCCTTTAACTATAATATTTACTTTATATATCTGAGTGCTGTTGTGTTGGATGCATATATATTTAGAATTTATATCCTCTTATGGAATTAATCCCTTTATCCTTATGTAATGACCCTCTTTGTCTCTTTTTTATGTATTTAGACTTAAATTTAATCTATTTTGTTTGATATAAGTAATTATAGCTACTTCTGCTCAGTTTTGTTTTTTGTTTATGTGGAATCTTTTCCCATTCTTTTACTTCAGTCTATGTGTATCTTTACAGGTGAAGTGAGCTTCTTGTAGACAAAATATAGTTTGATCTTGTTTTGTTTTTATCCTTTCAGCTAATCCATGTCTTTTAATTGGAGAATCCAAAATAATTACATTCACAGTTTTTATTGATAGGTATGGATTTACTTCTGTCATTTTCTTAATTAATTACTGGTTGTTTTTTACATTTTTTTGTCCCTGTCTTTCTCTCTTATTGTTTCTCATGGTTTGGTTGTTTTGTAATAATGTTTGATTCCTTTCTCTTTCTTCTTTGTGTGTCTGCTCTACTAGTGAGCTTTATACTTTCATGAGTTTTCATGTTGGTTGGTATCGTCTTTTCACTTCCAGATTTAGGACTCCCTCAAGCATTTTTTGTATGGCCTGTCTAGTGGTGATAAATTTCCTCTTTTTTTGCTTATCTGTGAAAAACTTTATTTCTCTTTCATGTCTGAAGGGTATAATTGCTGGGTGTAGTATTATTGGCTGGAAATTTTTTTTTTCGGTACTTTGAATATATCATCCCATTCTCCCTGGCCTATAAGGTTTCTGCTGAAAATTTTTCTGTTGGTCTGACAAGGCTTTCCTTATATGTGAGTTGACACTTTTCTCTTGCTCTTTTTAGAATTCTCTTTGTTTTGATTTTTGACAGTTTGACTACAATTTACCTTGAAGAGGGGCCTTTTGTGTTGGATCTATTTGGGAATCTCTGAGCTTCCTGGGTCATATTGTCCCTATCTCTCTCAAGATATGAGAAGTTTTCAGCTGTTATTTATTTAAATATATTTTCAATGTCTTCTCCTATTTATTCACCTTCTAGAACTTACATAATCTGAATATTTGTTCATTTAATGTCTCAGAAGTCTTGTATGCCTCTTCATTCTCTTTAATTCTTTTTTTCTTTTGTTGTCTTACTGGGTTATTCAAAAGACCTGTCTTCAAGTTCAGAAATTCTTTCTTCTTGATCCAGTCAGTAGTTGAAGCTGTTGCTTGTAATCTTTATTTTATTCATTGAAATCTTCGGTTCCAGTATTTCTGTTTGGTTCCATTTTATAGTACCTATCTCTGTTGAATTTCTTATTCTGATGATAATTGTTTTCCCGAATTCATTGAATGGTCTATTTGTATTCTCTTATATCTCACTGAGTTTTTTTAAGATAATTATTTTGAGTTCATTTTTAGGCATTTCATAGATTTTCTTTTTTGGAGTCTGCTACTGGAAAATTATTATGTTCCTTTGGAGGTGTCAGGTTTCCTTGCTTTTGCATACATCTTGTGTCCTTATGTTGATATCTGCACATCTGGTGTAGCAGTTGTCTTGTCTCATTTTATTGAGCAACTTTCATAAAGAAATAATTTTTCCTGTAGATTTGTCCTTTAGTGTTGGTTGGGTAGTGTTTTGGCTTTGGGTCCAGGTGGGTGCAATAGTGTAGTCTCTGTGTGATTCTGTTTGGTGTATTCAATGTTAGCAGTGTCTGCAAGTGCCTCAGCGGCCTAGGCTGCAAGAGTTTGTGGAGGCTATGGTGCAGCTTTGCAAAGTGTAGTGGGCCCCCAGTGGGCCAGATCTGTGGCCCCTGAGAGGGCTATAGGCCTTTGGTAGCTCTGTTTCTGAGTGGGTGAGGTTTCCAGAGGTGTCAGACTCTGAGTCGGCCAGTCCTTAGGTCTTGGGTGTTGCACAGATGTTCAGTGGCTTGGCCACTGGAGTGGGTGAGGTTGCCACCAGTGGCAGGCCTTGGGTGGGCCAGTCCTCTGGCCTCTGGGTGAGGTGTGTAGTGACTCAGCTGCTGGAATGAACAGGGTCACTGGCAGTGGACCCTGGAATGGGCTGGTGCTTGGGCCCCTGATGAGGCGTGTGTGAGCACATGGTGGCTATGTCACTGGAGTGGGTGATTTATCAAAAAAATAGACAACTTACAGAATGGGAGAAAATATTTGCCTATTATAGATCTGATGAGACTTATATCCAGAATTTATACAGAACTCTTACAATTCGATAACAAAAGACAACCTAATTCAAAAATGGGCAAGGGATCTGAATAGTCATTTCTCTAAGGAAAATATACAGATGGCCAGTAAGCACATAAAAAGATAGTCAGCATCATCAGTCATTAGGGAAATACAAAGGAAAACCACAATGAGATACTTCACACTCGCTAGGATGGGAAAAAGTAAACAAAACAAAACAATACAAAACAAAACAAAACAGAATGTGATGAATATTGGTGAGGTGTGGAGAAATTGGAACGTTCATATATGGCTGGTGGGAATGTAAAATGGTGCAGCCAACGTGAAAAAAAATAGTTTGGTGGTTCCTCGAAAAGTTAAACCTAGTGTTATCATAAGACCCAACAATGCTACTCCTAGGTGTATTCATTTGTTCTCATGCTGCTATGAAGAAATACCCAAGACTGGGTAATTTATAAATAAAAAGAGGTTTAATGGACTCACAGTTCCCATGGCTGGGAAGACCTCACAATCATGGCGGAAGGTGAAGGAGGAGCAAAGGCACGTCTTACATGGTGGCAGGAAAGACAGCATTTGCAGAACTGCCCATTATAAAACCATCAGACCTCATGAGACTTATTCACTGTCACAAGAACAGAACAGGAAAAACCAGACACCGGGATTCAATTACCTGCCACCAGGTCCCTCCCACAACACATGGGGATTATAGGAGCTACAATTCAAGATGAGGTTTGGGTGGGGACACAGGCAAACCATATCATTAGGTATATAGTTAAGATAATTGAAAAGAAGAGTTCAGACAAATCTTGTACACAAATATGGAGGCAGCCCTATTCTCAATAGCTAAAATGTAGAAACAACCCACTGTCCTCCAATTGATAAACAGATTAACAAGATGTGGCATATACATACAATGGGATGTTATTCATCTATGAAAAGGAATAAAGTACTGATTCATGCTATAACAAGGAAGAACCTCAAAAATATTATGCTAACTGAAAGAAGCCAGACACAAATGCCTACATATTGTATGGTTGTATTTATATAAAGTGTCCAGAAGAGGCATAGAGACAGAAAGCAAATTAGTGGTTGTCGCGTGCTGGAGGAGTTGGGGTAAATGGAAAGGCCAGTGACTACTCAATGGGCACAGGGTTTCTTTTTGGATGATAAAGATATTCTAGAATTAGGTAGTGGTAATGGTTGCAAAACATTGTGAGTGTACTAAACACCACTGAATTGTACACTTTAAAATGTACTAAAAAATTGTACACTTTAAAATGACTAAAAGGGTGGATTTTATGTTATCTGAATTTTACCTTAATTTTAAAAATACACGAAGAGAGCAGAAACATTTTAATTCTTATTTTATGTGCAGCATTATGCTAGTCATTTTCCTTTTCTTATTGATTCAAGTGGATATTTGTCCATAAACACGTCATGACTTAATTGAAAGAAAATTTCCAAACTGGACTTTAAACTTTTGAATTTGCTTGGATTCTACCTTTTCTGTGAAGGCTTTTTTGAGCTCTCCTAAGACAGAACAAATGGCTCCATTTTATGTAATACTTCTTTACCTTTTTCAGGCTTCCATTATTGTACATATTATGCTTTGGCTTTATTATTTACATTTGTAATTTGTTTTTGCCTTGTAACATGTTTGTTGTTCTCTTTTACTAGTTCATGAGCTCTTCAAGATTGGGCCTTGCCCTTTGTATTTTCATTTCTGGAGCCTGGAATATCACTCAGCACAAAGTATATACTCAATAAAGGTTTTCCTGGCCAGGTGGGTTTACATATTTGGTTTCTATAAGCACTACATTAATGACTCCTAAAATAGCTATGTCTGTTTGACTTGTCTGTACAACACTCAGCATTCATTTCCCAGAAGGAAACTAGGTCACATCTGGGACACATGAAAAGTTTTAAGAAGAGTTGTGTTTGAAATACAAAACCCTGAAGTGTACACCAAAGATAACCTGATCATGCCAAAAAATTATAACTGATAAAAACTTTATTTCATTATTACATTTTTGGTCTTTGCTCTTTTACTTCTTTATTAAGTTTATAGTAACAGAATGATTTACACATGTTGAAAAACAAAGCAGGATGAAAAAGGCAAAAAGTAAAGCAAAACATTTTACTTTATGAGTCTCTTACTTTGTGAATTCTCTCCTATGCTGGTTATTTTGTTTGGTTCTGAGGACAATTTGTGCACAAAAAATCCGAGACATCTCCATTCTCCTGTAAAAAACAAAACAAATAAACAAACAAACAAAAAGCTTGTGCTCAAAAGAGAAATTTAAAAATTTTTTAAATATCTGATGCTTTTATGAGGGTTTTCTGTTTTCTCGATAAAGAGGATCTGAGTGAAAGGGTCTCTCCTGACAACGATAACAAGTAGAATACTTTTTGTAAACAAGAAAGGCATTTTGAATATCTGACTTTGTTGGTTTCCAGGACCAACAACAGAATTTGCTGGATACCCATGAACCTTTCACTGTGCCTATGCTAGACACTGTGAATAATATACTTTGGGGGCACTGGTTACTTTATTGTTAAAGTCATTCTTCAACTTGATCTTTTCTTGTGAAAACAAGGTAAAATTTCTTTTCTGAGGGAATAGCATTTGAAAATTGTAAATCATGCAAAAAAATGGTTAGGCATGTAAGAAAAATGGCCATTCCATTAATTATGTTCATGTCTGCTCACTTCCACTCTATACCCAAGTTCACAAAATGACAAGTGAAAAATCATGTACTTGCCTTTTACTGTACTATTTTCCTTTAAATCTTACTTAAACCTAGAATAGTATTTTATGTCTTCCATACATACTAGCATTGTTGTTTTCCAGGCTTGCTGAGTTGAACAGACAATCCTCATTGTCTCTCTTTCTTCTGTTCACATTCCAAATTTGGGAAATGGGATCATCTGACACAAAGGATCTGAATCTTGTGTCTCAGATTTTTGTGAAATCTGCTTTACCTTGTCTTATTCCCTTTTCTTCAAATTTATCAGCATTTATTGAATATCCACTATAAAGATGCCTGCCTCTGTGCAGGGCCTGTAGTAGGGGTTTAATAATGAGACTCTATTTTCTCCAACTTCTTCCATTTTATAAATATTCATTTTATCAATCAGGGCTCTAGTCAGAAAGAGAGTGCACACCCATAGCTGACAGCATGGAAGGTGATATGGTATGGCTCTGTGTCCCCACCTAAGTCTCATCTTGAATTATACTCCCATAATTCTCACATGTTGTGGGAGGGAACCGGTGGGCATTTTCCCCATACTGTTCTCATGGGAGTGAATAAGTCTCATGAGATCTGATGGTTTTATCAGGGTTTTCCACTTTTGTGTCTTCCTCATTCTCTCTTAGCCTGCTGCCATCCATGTAAGATGAGAATTGCTCCTCCTTGCCTTTTACCATCATTGTGAGGCTTCCCCACACACGTGGAACTGTAAATCCAATTAAACCTCTTTCTTTTGTATATTGTCCAGTCTCAGATATATCTTTATCAGCAACATGGAAACAGATTAATACAGTAAATTGGTACCAGTAGAGTGGGGCATTGCTGAAAAGATACCCAAAAATGTGGAAGCAACTTTGAAACTGGGTAACAAGCAGAGGTTGGAACAGTTTGGAAGACTCAGAAAAAGAGAGGAAGATGTGGGAAAATTTGGAACTTCCTAGAGACTTGTTGAATGGCTTTGACAAAAATGCTGATAGTGATATGAACAATAAGGTCCAGGCTGAGGTGGTCTCAGATGAAAATGAGGAACTTGTTGGGAACTGGAGCAACAGTGACTCGTTTTGTTTCAGCAAAGAGACTGGCAGCATTATGCCCCTCCTCCAGAGATCTATGGAACTTTGAACTTGAGAGAGATGACTTATGGTGTTTGGTGGAAGAAATTTCTAAGTAGCAAAGCATTCAAGAAGTGATTTGTGTGCTGTTTAAGGCATTCAGTTTTAAAAGGGAAACAGCGTAAAAGTTTGAAAAATTTGCAGCCTGACAATGTGATAGAAAAGAAAATCCCATTTTCTGAGGAGAAATTCAAGATGGCTGCAGAAATTTGCATAAGTAATGAGGATACAAATGTTAATCCCCAAGACAATGGGGAAAATGTCTCTAGGGCATGTCAGAGGTCCTTATGGCATCTCCTCCCATCACAGGCCCAGAGGCCTAGGAGGAAAAAGTGGTGTTGTGGGCTGGGCCCAGTGTCCCTGAACTATGTACATTACCTAGGGACTTGGTGCCCTAAGTTCCAGCCACTCCAGCCATGGCTGAAAGGGGCCATTGTAGAGCTTGGGCCATGGCTTCAGATGGTGCAAGCCCAAGCTTTGGCAGCTTCCACATGGTGTTATGCCTGTGGGTGCATAGAAGTCAAGAATTGAGGTTTGGGAACCTCTGCCTAGATGTCAGAAGATGTATACTAGGGCAGTGTGGAAGGGACCTCTGCTAGAGCAGTGTGGAAGGGAAATGGGACTAGAGTCCCTTCTGGGGCACCACCTAGTAGAGCTGTGAGAAGAGGGCCACCGACCTTCAGACCCCAGAATGGTAGATCCACCAACAGCTTGCACCATGCACCTGAAAAGCCACAGACACTCAATGCCAACCCATGAAAGCAGCCAGGAGCAGGGCTACACCCTGTAAGGCCACAGGGGTGGAGCTGCCCAAGGCCATGGGAACCCACCTCTTGCATCAGCATGACCTGGATGTGAGACATGGAGTCAAAGGAGATCATTTTGGAGCTTTAAGATTTGACTGCCCTGCTGGATTGCAGACTTGCATGGGGCCTGTAGCCCCTTTGTTTTGATCAATTTCTCCCATTTGGAATGGTTGTATTTACCCAATGTCTGTACCCCCACTGTATCTAGGAAATAACTAGCTTGCTTTTGATTTTACAGGCTCATAGGTGGAAAGGACTTGCCTTGTCCCAGATGAGACTTTGGACCATGGACTTATGAGTTGATGCTGAAATTAGTTAAGACTTTGGGGGACTATTGGGAAGGTGTGATTGGTTTTGAAATGTGAGGACATGAGATTTGGCAGCAGCCAGGTGTGGAATGATATGGTTTGGCTCTGTGTCCCCACCCAAATCTCATCTTGAATTGTATTCCCATAATTCCCACGTGTTGGGGGAGGGACGCAGTGGGAGATAATTAAATCATTGGGGCAGTCTACCCCATACTGTTTTCATGGCAATGAATAAATCTCACGAGATCTGATGGTTTTATCAAGGGTTTCCGCTTTTGGAACTTCCTCATTCTCTCTTTGCCTGCTGCTATTCTTGTAAGGTGGGACTTGACTTGCTCCTCTTTGCCTTCCGCCATGATTATGAGGCTCCCCAGGCCACATGGAACTGTAAGTTCAATTAAAGCTCTTTCTTTTGTAAATTTCTCAGTCTCTGGTATGTCTTTATCAGCAGCATGAAAATGGACTAATACATAAGGCAACTGCCCATCAGGAGTTGTAGTCATAAAAAGAGCAGCTACAGTTAGACAGTTGGTATTGAGGCAGTGGGGAGGGAGTACCTCTTGTTGGCTGAACCAAATAGAAAGCCAGAGGGCAATGGGAGCCTGGGTGGCACGGTTTTTAGGGTCAACCTCCCAGGACAGGAAGTAGGACAGAAAAGCAAGGCAAATGGATCTAGGTGACCAAACAAAAAATAAAGAGCATATTTACTTCTTTGTTTATTTCAAAACAATTCATGAAGCAGCATTATTATCCACATTTTGCAAATGAAGATATCGAAGTAGTCAAGTTTAAATAACTTGCTGAAAGTCACCTAGCTCCTAAATGGCAGACCTAAGATTTAAATTCATGTCTTCTAGGTCCACTTACATTCTTTTATACCAGAATGTCTGTCTTACATTTTACGTATAGGACCTGCCTTATATTTAAGACAGCCCGAATCTTGTAAATGATCATGCCTTCCACTTTCAATTAGACTATCAGGAAACTTAGAGTCAAATTCTAAGTCCCCTTTCCTAAGTGTGCCGGATCTTATAGCTTGTATTTCTTAGTGGCCTTGTCTTAATTTTTGATTTTACTTTCCCATTGCCCTGATTTCTTTATCACTGTATATTACCTATATTTTCTTCCGTATCATTTTTGACGAAGTGAATGATAAACAAATGAATAAATAGTTCTGTAACCTTGAGCCTATGCTTAATCAGCCTTTTCTGTAATAGAGAACCATTACTGTCACTATATAGGGGTTGTGAACGCCCCAGTTCCACCCCTAAACACATATATCCATGATCTCTGCTTTAGAGTTTGTTTACAATCACAGCCTTTTTGTAACCCAGCAGCCACTACCAATCAATTAGTATTGGCAGAATAATTAAAACCAAGTTGATATGCTTGGTGTAATATGACCAGTAAATTAACTGATAATATTGTAGGATCTTTAATATGGTAATGCCCTATGGAGAGCAGCTACTGTGTTTAATAGAGGACGCTCAGAAAGCTTTTAACCCAAGCTCCTTGTATGTGATGAGCATCATTATAGTCTGAATGCTTCCCAAACTTCAAGTACTTAAGTAAATGGCAAATTGAGCAATATGTGAATGCACTCTGTCCTCTAATAATTATTTTTTCTCCCCCAGACTTAAATTTGTGGCATTATTCCAAGGATATCTCAATGGTTGTTTTTTTTTAAGTGCTATACTATTTGGTTCTTTCATCCTAGATAAAGACCTATTTGGCCTTATTAATATGATTAGCTCCAATAAAGCTGTAGGGTCACAATTCCATTATCTAATATCCTGAAGCAGCACTACAACACCATTCAGGAGAGAGTGGAATTAATTTAAGCAATTCAAGACTTGGATTCTATTCAAGACCATTTAGTGAAGGTTTCCAAAGAACAATTTAAAGAAGCTTTGCCCATAAGATTATAATGACATGAGTCACTATAATTATCAAAATGTTACTGATGTATAAGTTTCTTATAGTTTTATAAATATTTATAGAGTATGTGTTTTCACATATATTTTCTCATAACTCAAGATAAAGCTTTAACAAGTTTCCTTTTAACATACATATCTCCCTATGTGTGTATAAATATATAATCAAGAGTTTGATTCTCTGGGGGAAGTATCAAAACTGGCTGATGTGCATCACTAAGATATTCTTTAAGCAAACCGGTCACCTTCTATTCTGTTGTGTGAAATTCAGGTGCATTGGTCTGTGAGCCTTGCTTAAGCTGACAGCCTGGCGCTTTCTGTTTCTCCCCAAGTTGAGTATATGAGACTCTGACATTGACACAGATATGGCTATTTCAGCTTCAGAAACATTCTATTCTTTGACATATTTTAGAATTAAAATTAAGAAAATGTTCAAGATTCTGACCCCTTTCAATCTAGTATCTTCCTTGATTTTGTTCTTTTCCATGTTCTTTCCACTGTTCCAATTGTTTCAAAGATGAACAACAAACATTTGATGATGTTTTTACATTTTAAAGTTTGCTCCTTTATCACCTCATTATATTTCCATTATCATTCTGTGTAGTGCTATCAAGACTCACATTTTCCCAATGAAAATATTAATGTTCTGACATTCAGAACCAGACATGCTCCAGGAGGACTGGCAGACCCAATGGTGCCATGCTCATTGGTGTTCACCATTTATTATAGATTCAAAAATATCTGTGGACAACCCATTCCTGATATTGTGAGAAATACAAAGATATACAGAACACTTCAGTAAATGTCCTCTATGCTCCAGGAGTAATTTGAAGGCACCATACTTCTTACTTCCAAGGCCCTCCCAGGTGCTATTTTCTCTGCTTAGAAGACTTGTGGGGCACAGTGGCTCATGCCTGTAACCTCACTGCTTTGGGAGGCTGAGGCAGGATTATTGCTTGAGCCCAGGAGTTCAAGACCAGCCTGGGCAACATAGTGAGACCCTGTCTGTACAAAAAAATTTAAAGATTAGCCAGGTGTGGTGGCCTGTGCCTGTGGTCCCAGCTACTTGGGAGGCGGAAGCAGGAGGATTGCATGAACCTGAGAGATCAAGGCTGCAGTGAGCTGTAACTGCACTATTGCACTCCAGCCTGGGTGACAGAGTGCGACACTGTCTCTAAAAATAAAAATAAAAAAAGACTCACTCTAACTTTTCTGAACTCTTCTTCACTTCTCTAAACTCCATGAAGTGAGTATCAGCTCTGCATTAACTACTGTATTCCCTGTCACTAGCAAAGTACATTGGTAAATGCTCATTTAGTATTTTTTGAATGATTGAACTCAGCCTATTATCTTGTTGCCTCTTGCTGCCCCTGTAGTAATTATATTTCATTGCTGCCTTTGTAATTATAGCACACATTTCTCTTGCACTTAGAGTCCATACTGTTGTTTCTGCTTGACTGTGAAACAAACTCTTCAAAAACAGAAGACACAGAAGATCTCAAGAGTGTTTCCCCATGACAATTTATATTAAAACTCTGTCTGGGCTCACTGTCAGTTCGAAATAAGAAGAATCAATAAGAGACAACACTGGGAACTAAACATAAAACCTGTTGGAATTCACTGGTTAAATAAAATTAGGTTGGGCATGGTGGCCCATGCTTATAATCCCAGTACTTTGGGAGGCCAAGGCAGGGGGATTGCTTGAGGCCAGCAGTTTGAAGCTGCTGTGAGCCATGATCATGCCATTGCACTCCAGCCAGGGCAACAGAGTGAGACCCTGTCTCAAAGAAAAAAAATTAACCAGTTTCTGGCTTTTCTAACTAGAAATAATAGAATTATATATTGTATCCTGTTTACAAGATTTTCAACTACATTGTTTAATTAGTTACATTCAGTATATAATATCTATGACAAAGTTAGAATAAAGTTATTACTTCTAAAATGAGCAAAATATAATCAAAAGCCTTAATGGGAAGAAATATCGTAACTGTATTATATATTCACGTTGTTATGTTGGTGTAAGATATGTACATTTTAAACCTAAGAAACAGTGACATAATCATCTTCATAATCTTCTATTCAAACATTTGCACATTTCTGGCATGAGCACAGTGCCGGGCATAGAGTGGGTGTTTGACAAATGTTTTTGAAATAAGTGAATACATATACTATTACCGATATTTGACAAGAACTTTATGGTGTGCAAAGCCATTGTTTCATTTGAACCTCATAACAACCCAGTGAGTTGGGTAGAGAAGTGATTACCACCAACTCTACCTTAAAATTGAAAAAAAGAGCGACCCAAAGGGATTAATTAATTTGTCCAAGTTCACACACAGCTAGTATGTGGTATGGCTGCATTTCAGATCCAAGTCTTGGGTATCTAAGTCTCAAGTCTATTCTGACTTCACTTCCAAACTTAAATTTATGTATGGTGAAAAAACTAAGAATTCCTTAACATTTTAAATGGCATTCAGTGTATTTCTAAAATATCAAAATAAAATTGCTCTAATTTTATTAAAATTAGAGAATCATATATCTACATAGAATAGACACTATTAAAACAAATTTAGCACCTGAAAGTAATTGAATAATTTGTCTTAGGACTAAAATGAGAGGAAAGCACAGAATATGTGAAGCAAAAGCAATCATCTTGTTAGTGAACTGTCAGCATCTCTTAGTACCAATGAGTGAATAATTATCACAAAAGGAAAGAAAAAATAAATCATTATCAAGCCTGCCTGTAATAGTGTTCCCCTGGGGATAATTATTTGTCTTTATTGCATTCTATTAGTACTACTTTACATATTATATAAAACCCTTCTATTTTTATTTTTATATTTGATCCATGCTTTTAAAAATCCATGCTTTTAATAAACAAATTGTTTCCTTAATGTGTTTTGAACTTAGTAGAACAACAGACCATTGTTTATTCATTTGGTTCTACAATCAATAAACATTTAATAACTTTACAGTAATTAGAGCTGTTCAGAAAAAACCAGAGCAACCTCAGGGGTTCCTTGTTACCAGAATCCTCATGCTGAGGCTGTTACTGGTGTTAAAGAGAAAAGTCCTTTATCAAGTGGCAGAAAATACTTCTTCTTTTTTTTTTTTTTTTTTTGCTAATTTTTAAAAATGGTAAAACTGTTCTAATTTCAAAAAATCTTCAATTAGCTTACAATAAAAGTACTGGCATAGTAAAATAATTCTAGCATACTATAAAGGCAACTAATCAATGAAGGGGAAGGCAAGAACTATTTTATCATGATTTCATAGCTGAGGAAAATACAATTGTGTGTATATTAAATGTAGTCATGAGCTCCTTGGCAGCTGAGGAATAGAGGGAAACACTGTTCTTAATATTTAGTAGATTCTGGAGTTCTGGGAGGCATCAGATATAGTTCCTAGAAAAGACTGAGTGAATGAACAAATAATGTAAATGACAGCAAATTTTATAATAAAAGTATACAAGTATTTTTCATATAAGTCATTTTATAGTTGTGGCCTGGTGAAATCTAAAGACCAGAAAGATAAGACTCTGGTGTGGACCAGAGTGAGGTGGCCAACTGTAAAGCTTCCTGCAGATGGGTGCCTGCAGGGAAAAGCTTATGGGTAGTGGGGTGGGGATTGAGGAGCTGAGGAAATTGAGGAGGTTTCTACTTTACATGATTCTACAACTCTATGTGAAGTAGAATGCAACTCCCTCCTCTTTTAAAAACCCTTCAGTGGCATTCCATTACACTATGACAACATCTGAACTCCTTATCATGGCCTTCAAGGTCTTATGTGATCCAGCCTTGGCCCCCTTGTGGTCACGTATCCCCTGGATCATTCCACTCTCACCACGATGGACTTCATCCAACTCTTCAAACATTTTGAGCACCTGCTATTTAGTGTTCTTTTAAATGATGGTTTTTCTACCTGTACTGCTGTCTCTCTGCCCTTTCACTTGGCTAATTCCTAGTCATTCAATAGATTTCACCTTAAGTATTTAACTGCAGAGAAGACCATCTTGACTTCTACCTAACCCCATTTGTATTAAATCATATCTATAACCCTTTTATAAAGAATCTGGTATTTTCCTTCATAGCATTTATAACAACCCATTTGTGCTTTCATTTATTCAAAGTCTTTTTATGTATATATACATGGGTTAGTATATATACATACATGTATTTTCTATCTTTTTCCACTGAGAGAAACTAGAAGCACTTCCGGCACCCAGATCTTGGTTTCTGATACCATTCTCCAATAAAAGGAACCAGTGTTCTTTGGAGAAATCACTGATTCTAGGGCAGGGGTGGGAAAATCCAAGATAAGCCTGGAGCATTTTGTAGTGACAGAATGCAAGGAAGGGCTCAACAAAATGGGGACATGTGAAAAGGGCACAGTAGTCAACCTGAAAAAGCTCCCATTGGCCAAAGCTAGGCAGTGGGAGCTCTAACTTGTTGCCCCAGTTAGGGAAACAAAATAAATGACAGTATTGGAATATAACCTAAAAAATAAAATGAATATTCATGAATGTTTACTGAGTGATAAATGATTGAATAAATAAATAAATGGAGGAGAAAGGATAAATATTTCCTGCCAAATTCCAAATGATAAACGTAGTTGCTGCCTCCTCCACGATGTAGAGCTTAACTCTGCTTCCCTTGTGAGGGCTGGATTTAGTACTCACTTCTAACTAACAGAATATGAAAAGGGAAAAATAGAAACTTAACAGCAGAGAAATCTGCCATGTATCACCTTAACTAAATTAATAAGGTTAACATCATCAATGATAGCTCATGTTTATAGCTTGTATCCTTGATGTGATGTGGTGAGAAGGGCACTTTGCCAATATGTCATTTGTCCAAAATATTCAGAACTCTAGTCTACTTATATGAACACATCAGACAAACCCAAATGCGGGGACTTTCTCCAAAATGCCTAACCAATCCTTTTTTTTTTTTTTTTTAGATGGTATTTCGCTCTTGTCACCCAGGCTGGAGTGCAATGGTGTGATCTCGGCTCACTGCAACCTCCGCCTCCTGGGTTCAAGTAATTCTCCTCCTCAGCCTCCCTAGTAGCTGGGATTACAGGTGCCCGCCACCATGCCCAGCTAATTTTTGTATTTTTAGTAGAGACAGGGTTTCAACATGTTGGCCAGGCTGGTCTCAAACTCCTGACCTCAGGTGATCCACCCACCTCAGCCTCCCAAAGTGCTGATATTACAGGCGTAAGCCACCAGGCCTGGCCCTAATCAATAATTTACAAAGGTGTCAAGGTCACAAAAAACAAAGAAAGTCTGAGAAACTAAAGAGATATGATGATTCAATGAAACATGGTGCCCTGGATTGGATCCTGGAAAAGGAAAACATTAATCAAAAAATTGGCGAAATTTGGTTAGAGTTTGTAATTTAGTTAGTAGCATCGTACCAATGAAAGTTTCTTAGTATTGATAAATACTGTATGGTTGTGTGAGTTGTTAACATTAGGGGAAGCAATGTGAAGGGTATATGGAACTCTCTATTGTTTGCAAGTCTTCTGTAAAACTAAAATTATTACAAAATGAAAATTTAAAAATGTCTTCTTCTACTAAACTTTATCTGTTGCTCACTACTGTATATTCATTTTTGGAACAGTGATGTATGGTGGGTAAAACTGTGGTTTCTCGAGGCTGGATGCATGTTTGATTTCTGGCCCTGCTATTTATGAACTATGGGAGTGGCAAGTTTCTTAAGGACTTCTTGTCTCAGTTTCCTCATCTATAGAAGGGGCATAAGGTGGTTGCGAGAATTGGAGGGCTTAATATATATAAAACACATACAACAATGCAAGGTTAGTTATTACGGGTATAATTTCCATTTAATATGTCATTGTTGAATGAGTGAATAAATGATTCAGGGCTTTTTGCTAAGTGTGAATCAGGATTGAATTCAAGTCAGAGAGAATATTTGAAGAAGAGGCAGGACATAGAGTAGTTTGTTTACAGTGGAATGGAGGCTCTGTAAGGCATAGCTGGTGGGTTGGCACAAGGATGGCAGAAGGATAAGGAAAAACTGTGGGGCATGTAAGCCAGGAGTGATACTGTTATGGAAGTGTGTATGAGGGCTTTGTGTTTGGAGCAGTGGTGAAGGTTGACAAACAAGGGCAATTGGTCTCTCCTGGGCATATTGCCTTCAAATTGGTTCTTCACTTTCTCCTGCTCTGCTCTGTATTTCAGGGGACTGACCCTTGAATTCTGCATATTTGGCCAGTGGGAGGCACTGGTGGAACACTAGAGGGAGGGAAGAGGGGAGAAGTTGGAATGTTTCTCCCCTCCCTCTCTGTCTTGGGCAGCAACTCCCCAGCAGCGCCATCTCCAGAACAGTCCTGCCAGGATGCCAGCTTCGCCCAGGGGCCCGTAACACTGCCTCTTCCTCTGTCCCTCTGGCCTAGGGTCTTAGTGGTTCCCTTCAGTTATGATTCTCTGGGTTGCCTCACTACCCCATGCTTGGCTCTCAGTTCCTCCACTTCTGTGTAATTAATTCCCAGTTTTTAAATCCCTGTTATGAATACTCAGCTGGCAGCTATTTCCTGCTTTGACTCTGACAGAAACAAAAGGCACGATGGAATTCCCTGTCTTCCAGCCTGACTTAAACTCAGGGGAAAAGATTTTTCAGTGCTACCATAGATAGAAACGCTGGCTACTTTCCTAATTGCTGGTTATAGGGTCCGTGTGCTGTGACCTGGCCTGGGCTTCAGATCATTGCAAAGCTTAGAAGGAGGAGGTGCTGATGAGAGCCCATTTAGGCGTATATCATGCACCACTGCCTTATGGAGAGTCCTGGACAGAACTGGACCTGATGGAAGGGAAAGATCTGATGGGAGGAGAAGGTCCTGGAATCTCAGTGATGCAACAGCCAGACCCAGTGTCACATCCATTGGGGGTTATGTGGGTTGAAGAGCTCCTTCTGCCTAAGTGTGCCAAGTATTGGAGTCAGGGGTATCCACATTACTCCAGCCCCTTTAAGTACACCTGGCATACTCGCTGGACTTCATACAAAAAGACACTACTATCATCAGCATTTTGTCTGGAAGATGATAGTGAGGCAGCCATATGAACTACCTCTCACTTGAGTTCTTGCTTTCTGTCTTCCTCACCTGGGCTCCATACCTTACATCCATTGCTCACCTGGCCCATTGGAAGAACAATCTGGCTTGGCCAGCTGTCTTGCCTTTGACCTCAGTATCCCTTGCAGGTATAATTCCAGCATTTATTTTTCAGCTTCTTATGCTTCCACCATAGTGAGGTAGGACTCTACTTCCACACACCCACTTAGCACATACCCAGGGACCTCCTCTTATTTTATTTTATCCTTAAAATATAGGAGACCAAATGAAAGATGGGATTGGCGAGTCTAAGATGAGACTGGAAGCAATAGTCAGGCAGAGGGATGGAGGCAAAAAGGCTAGCCAAGAAGCTGTTAGATGTGGTAAGAACCTAGACTCCAAGAGTGGAAGAGGTGAAGGTGTATGGGAAGATGCCACCCTAGATTTAGATGCAGGGTGGAAGGATTTGGCTGAATATATTTGCAGAATATATGATTTGATGACTAGTATCTTGCAGAGTTATCTAATGGGTATGTATAAATTAAATATGTTCATATTTAAGGACTACTCATGGATATATACACACATATTTATTAATCCACTGTAATCAAAATTTTTTGATACCAAGAGATGTCTTTTAAAGGTAAAGAAGGGTAATATTTAATTACAATCACAAATTATAGCTGCAGAGGAGCCAATTCATTCCTTTCAACCCCAATCAGATGGTTACATAAACATCTTTGCCTGTCTGAGGGACAGTAGCAGTGACAAGAAGAAGATTAAGGGTGGAGGCTTTAGTTCCTCCACAATTTCTGCTGACTTTACCTCTCAATTCTCTGATCTAAACAGTTCACATTTCCTATGCAAAGGGCTTCGTAAAAGCAGTTTTATTACAAGTTGGCTAGCTTCTCCTTTCCACCATATTAAGTCCCCTAAGCAATTCCTTTATAGAAATTCTAGATTCTCTACTGAAAGTAGTATTTTGTAGTCATAAAATATTGATCCCTTCCCTTACAATTTGTAGTTTATTTTAAAATACTAACATTAGGTAATGGTTCTAACAACCAGTAGTCATTTGCAGTACTCTCAAGTAAGTCTCAATCACCTCTGCCTTCTACACGGCTCCTGTAAAAGCAGCCTTGGCAGTATTCACGTCACCAGAGGTGGCTGTTTGATGAAGAGTAATGAAAAATGCATCATCACAGGCTGATACTGAACAGTTATCTGATCAACCTACACAGCAGCCTGTTCTTAGCTAAGACTCGGGAAGAAGATGTACCTGGCATGCAGCATGGTGAAGAGCATGGATTTTGCATTTGTGCAGACCTAGTACGAGTCTTGGCTTCACTATTTACTGGCTCTGAGACCACTGGTAATTTATTTATTTAACATCTTGGTTAAATAAATAACAAAGTATTCATCTACAAAAATGAGGATAACAGTATATTCCTTACAGTGTTTCTTTAGGAGATTAAATAAGTAGTAGGATCTGATCTGGTATGTCTGGCATTCCATGACTTGCTATGGTTGGTGATGGTGTTTTTAGGTGCATTTCCTGAAGGATGTTCCCGCTCATTCCTGTTCCACAGGGCCTCCTCCCACAGGTAGCATAAGGTTAAAGCCATCATCAGATTTAGTGTTTTTTTTAACATCACCTGCATGTTAGAATCACTTGGGGAGTTTTTTCAAACATACCAATGCCAGGTCACATCCCGGAACAATTCAGTCAGAATCTCTAGAGGTAAAGCACAGGCTCACCAGGTGATTCCAATATGCAGCTAGGGGTGAGAATCCTTAGGTTAGAGGCACTATGGATCTAAACTCGGATGGCAACTATGATGATTCCTTGTGTTCTTCAAATTTGAGAAAACTGCCTTTTATTCTTCCTTTCTGGTGAGGAACATGGATTCCTCTAAAGAAAATTATAGTTTGATATCACTGTAAATCTAGATGCAGGTGGAAGGATTTGGCTGAACATATTTGCAGAATATCTAATTTGATGAGCCGTATGTTGCAGAATTATCTAGTGGGTAAGTATAAATTATATTGATATTTAGGGACCACCCATGAATGTTTATACATATGTAAACACACACATATATTTGTCCATTGTAGTCATAGTTTTTTGATACAAAATTGTCTGCCTTTGGTCAGTGGAAGATCCTTCAACTTGGCCCTAATGTTATTTTAGTGTGATGCAATGGTCTTTGATGGCTTCTTTGCTCTCACTTACAACGAGATATCCCAGGCTTATCTTGTACATTTCTCATCCTCAATATGGTGCTGGCAGTTTCTACAAGGGAACTCGATTTTTTTGATATTTAGACACTAACATCTTTACCCTTTGATTGCTAATTGATATTGGCCTGTCAATGCTTCTATGTATTCTTGGTGAAAAGAGCTAGCAATTTTACAAAAAAAAAAACAACAAAAAATTGATACTGGTATTTCCTTTTCAAGTTAAAGATTATAGTGTTTTAACTTTTTATATTTGTATGCCTTTTATTTCAGGCTAAAAATCTTGATTTCTAAAGACATAAACATTTGCTTTATGAAAAATATATCCTAGTATATTTTTTAAATATGAATACTAATATTATTACTAAGAATAAGATTATTAAATGTATTTAACTGCATCCTTGGTATATATCCTATGAGGTATGGGAAGATAAAAGTACAGTTTTGAAAACTGAAGGAATTATTTTCTTTGTAGTTATGCCACAACTTAGTATAAATTTAAGTATACTGTACCTTAATAATGAAAAGTAGCCAGATAGGATCTGTTACCTATGGAGAAGGGAATTTTGACATCACAGAGTTGAGGGCTGTGAAAGTAGAAAAATGAAACCATTTAATGAATATACCACATCAAGTTCAGACTGATTGATACACATGTTAAACTCATTTTAAAAAGGAAAAAAGCAAAAAACCGAGGGCAGAAAATTGATGGGGAATTGAAAGAGAGCTTGGGACAGTTAAATCCATATGTGTCTTCTGTCTGGAGATAAAAATACAATGTTCACTTGGTCATTCATTATAAGTGCCAAACTCCATTATTACTGAGGCTTCTTCTGCTTCAAATCATACATTTATTTGGGAGTTGTAAAACATTATAATTCCCAAAGTCACGCTCCTTTCCATCTGGTTCATATCTAGTGCCCCGAAAGCTACTAAAAGGAACTTCCCCACTGTCTTGCTGTTTGCACTACACTTATGAGAATGCCAATGACCGCACTTAGGGGACTGGTCCTCAATACTCCCAAAGCCACCACCCCAGAGGCCAGAGCAGAGGCTGGCACACTACAGCCTGCAGGCCACATTGCAGGACCACCTGTTTTTGTAAATAAGGCTTTATTAGAACACAGCTCTGCCCATTCATTCACATATTGTCTGTGACTGCCTTCTTGTTACAATGGCAGAGTTAAGCAGTAGCGAATGAGATCAAATAATATGAAAGGCCAAAAGATATTTACTATCTAGCCCTTTCCTAAAAAACATCTGCTGACTGTATAGCAGTGCAGCTTGTGTCTGGAGTATAAAGAGTTAAAAACATAGCCCCTCTAGCAGTAAATCTTCACTCTTTCTGAGCATTTTTTAAGTGTCGAAAGGGGACTATATACTAATAGCATCGCCAAGCATTCTTTTTATTTTGATTTTTATTTCATGAGACTTCAGCTTTTCCCGCCTCTCCTCTCCTAGTCGTAGGACACCACTGCCATGTAGTTTAAATGGGGCATCACATCGTCTATCTCCTACCACTGATATTTTTAAAATCTCAGCTCCACCTCAGCCCCAATTATCTTCTGACACTTATAGGAGGTGGTTTAATGCCACTTACCAGTGTGTGACCTTGAGCAAGTAATTTCATGTCTTGGGACCTCAGTTTCTTCTTCAATAGAACAGGATATTATTTACTCTTGGGGCTATGCAGATGTAATGAAATAATGAAAGTTCTTGGAACATAATTTGCATCCTAGAAAGGTGGTTATTATTATTGTTGCTGTTGATTAGTGTAAGGTAATGGTTAAGAACTTCAGCCGGACATCTTGGGTGATCTTGGGCGATCTTGGGCAAGTTATTTAATTGCTCTGTGCTTCGTTTTCCTTATCTGCAAAATATAAATAACAGTGCTGATCATTTCCGTTTGTTATGAAGATTAAGTGGGATCAGGCATAGACCAGAGCCTGCCCATGGTGAGCACTTATCCACTGTTAGCTACTATTATTATTAGTTATTCTTATTGGTA
The DNA here is from genome assembly GCF_000001405.40 of Homo sapiens. Taxonomy (NCBI): domain Eukaryota; kingdom Metazoa; phylum Chordata; class Mammalia; order Primates; family Hominidae; genus Homo; species Homo sapiens. Next base: position 59,772,629 of record NC_000001.11, on the reverse strand, counting down.
TATTAACTGTTTATTCTTAAAACTAGAGTTGTGATTATAGTATGAGAAACAATATTTTTTAAACACTGAGTTAAGTTTTTGTACAAATGTAAAAGGGTTTTGGGGAGAGTAAAATAATCAGAAAAAAACGAAAAGAGTAACACATTGTTATCTCATTCTACACTTACAGTTGTAAAGGTTTATTTTTTAACCACTTCCTTACCAGCTCAATCACCTTGTAACAAAATCGACATTGTATTTATTTCCTGTAGATTCCATAACCTCCCAGAGTCTCTTTGTAAGTCTCTCTACAAAAAGAGCAGGTGAAATCAAGGCCAAATACGTGTTCCTGATATAAATAGCAGGAAGTCGATGAAATGTTTATTGTAAAAAGAGTAGGATTGAAACATATGCTTGAATACATATAAGCACAATATGTTCTCCAGCTCTATGTAGCACCTGTGTAGAACAGCTAAGCCATATGTTTCAGAAATTATACTTTAAAAATTACTATGTAGATGTAAAAAAGGAAAATGCACAATTTATACAAAAAATAAACATGTTTACTGTTAAAATAACTTCATGGTTCCTTCAAATCCTTTTTAATTGTAACAAGTTTTTATCTTGTAGTGTATGCAGAAACTTCTTACAAAACCATTAAAGTAAATAAACAGCTTAGAAGTATATTGTCAAAATGATATTAAAATATCTATACAAGGTTGAAATTTAAATCAGCACAACTTTAATAGAACTCATGACATTTAGTATTAAGAACTCATGTCGCAAAATAGCTAATGTTAGCTACACTATCCTTTAGTATTTGCTTGATCTTAAGGAAATAACTTTTTACTCTTTTTAGCAAAAGACCTAATAATATATTAATGTTGTCTGTGTTGTATGTATGGTTTAGGGTGAGGGTGTGCACAAGGAGGGGAAGTAAGTTGGAGAGGCGTGATATTCTTGGCCTGATATACATTACTAGGGAGTTTCCTACATGGAATACAGGATAGAGAAGGAAGACTTCAAAGTTAGAATGGATGGAAATACTAAATTTAAAAATATAACAAAGAAATGCATGATTGTATTATTAGTTAATAATTAATTATTAGTTAATAATTAGTTAATGTGACACTTGCTATCCCGTTAGTTTGACCCATGGTCTGGAGCTACAATTTAATTTAACTGAAGGGACAACTTTCAGTTGAAATTTCTTATATTTCCAAGTAGAGGTCTTTTTGAGCCTATTTCTAATGACTAGTTTAAACATTGATAATTAGCAACATTCATTCGTAAGGCAATAATTTCTATAGCAGTGAATATCATTTTAATTCTGTAATTAGATAACCAAAATTTTAATAATAGGAGCTATCAATTTGCTGAATAAACCTTCCAACAGATAATATGAAAGAAAAACATCTATACAACTCAGGTGAAAACATGATGATTTGGTTAATTAACCTTCGAAATACTGTGGTTGTTCCATTATGTGCAATAAAATGCTTTGTAAAAAACTTGTCTAAAGGAGTAAGTCTGGGAAATGCTTCACAGGTAATTTTTCTCTAGGAAGCTCACAATGCACATGAGTATATTACAAGATTAGTATAAGATATTCTGTAGTAACAAGACATATTTAACTCAGTGTTTCCCAAACTTAGTTGGCCATGGCTCTTTTTTAAAAATGAAATCTAGTGTTATTTTGGTAAATAGTGTTGGCTGATTATACAAAAGCCATTCCCTCCCTCCCTTTTTAACAGAACCATGATTTCATTGGAACAGCAATATGCCCAGTCCCGGAGAAGGCATCATGAGTTCTCTATGCCAGTTTTAGCAATCCATAGTGGCTGGAGTGTGATGCAGAATCTGGCCAATGAAACCTAAGGAGAAGTCTGCTGGGAGGTTCTTCCTTGATCAGGAAAAACAACAACAAGAACAACAACAACAACAACAAAAAACAAAGAACAAAAAAAGGATAGCATAGAGAGAAGATTCTCGTGTTATGGATGCTGTGAAAATAAGATGCCTTTAGAGATGTCAGCATCTTGTAATCGGAAGTAACAAACCTGAGGTCAATTGCTAGCTGATGAAGACTGGAGGAATAGGAAGATAAAAAGGGCTTGGCTCTTTGATGGAACTGTTGAATCCTCAAGTTGACTTGATGGCTGCCTGTCCCTGTAAATAACAACTATCTTATCATATCAATTTAGCTGTCAGATGGGTTATTATTACTTGCACCTAAACACCATTCCCACTAATAAACCTTCTCTTGGGAAACCCTAGCATAGAATAAGAGAGTGCTCTCCTGACTTGTGAGATTGGGAGCACAACACATGCTAGTCAGGAAAGGGAGCGTAATGGAGTTGTTCAGAGTTGGGACTAGAGGGATCCACTTAACTGCAAATTTTGCCCCAAGCAAGACTGAGACAGCTGTTCTGACCCTAGCAAATTTAGCCTCCATATAGGTCAGTGTGGCCCTCATGGCATGAGGTACATCAGTTAGGATAGGATAGATTATGCTGAGGCAAGAAACAAACTTAAAACCTCAGTGTTTTCAACAAACAAAAGTGTATGTCTCACCAAGACACATGTTCACTGTGCACTGGTTAGGGGCTCTGCTCACAGCCATCCTCTCTCTGGAACCCACGCTGAGGGAGAATCCCCACGTGGAACATTTGCTGGTTGTCGTGTAGGAGAAAAGAAAGCTCTGAGGATTCTCACACTGACAATCAAAGACTTTGTCCGGAAATAACACACATAATTTCTCACAGCTCATTAAACAGATTGGTCACAAGATCCTTCAACCACAAGGAGACCAAAGAATGAAATACTATTTCATGCCATGGATCAGGAAGCCTTCAGAGAACATCTTCAATAGCTGTCACTCACATCAAGAGTGGTTGGCACAGGAGTTTCTAAACACAAAATATGGTTTAAGACTCTTGGATTTTTCTCTGGGAGGTCTGCCTGGGTTAAAACAAGGCCCAAGTTGGTGGCGGGAGAATTATAGGGAACTGGATTTGGCCCCTGGGGGAGATAGCTGATAAAAGCTAGATAACGTATCACAATTCCATTTAGATAGCCTTTCACTTAACATTTGGCCCTAGCAGGGAAACTGGAGGGCAAAGCAGATATGTACGGTCAGTTCTTTGCTGGGTGTAGGTAGATAAGCCTTCCATATGGTTTAACTTGAGATAGGGCTTTCTGGGCCGGACGGGATGGGAGAAATAACTTATAAGTCAGACTAGCATGAAGGAAAACTTAACCTATGCTTAAAGGACAGCCAAGTTTCTACCCAGAGATACAGTTTCAAAAGTCAAATTTGAAGGAAGTGGTGAGCCAGAAATGAGATCAGTACATGAGGCCTGAGTCTGGGAGGGTTTCAAACAGAATGAAATGTAATGTGAGGAATACACTTTGACAAATGGCTTAGAAATAATGCAGCAAACCAAGGGAGAAGAATCAATATTTACTTTTCTTTGTGCCTAGCGTAAGGATAGTGTGGCAGTATCAAGGGGTTCAAACCAGCCTGGGCAAACATGTTTGTACTTTCGGGGAGAAAGCTGCCATTTGGTGTGGCCCCAGGTGCTCAGGGCTTCATGGCAGAAAGACGAATTCCAGTCCTACTGGCTGGGAAGGGTTGAGGCTGGTCTGAACTGCATGTTCCATACTGCCTGCCTCAGGCTAGGTTTCCTCTAGATGGAATAACGCTGAAGCTGCTGACAAAAGACTTTGAGTACCTTCAGCTTAGCAGAGCTGAGAAAGGCGGGGCTGGACATGTTTCAGCCTTCATTATTTCCACATGAGCCATTCCACACACACCTATCAGTGGTGGTATTCAGTGGGCCACTGACACAAGATTTCCATGGTTCTCAGTTCTTTATATATGTTCCCTCCATCTTCAACCCAATGCTGGCCCCTGTGTGCGCCATGCAACAGGGACCATTCCAGCACTCTTGACATAGTAAGAGCTCAGTAACGGTTGGTGTTGTTGATGGAACACAGGCGTTTACCTGTAGAAACTGGATATAAAGTGGTCCAACTTGACTGGAAGCCATACTTCTAGAAGTTCTATATAATAAATATGTATCAGTTGAGGAGAAAAATTGATATTTGTTACACTTCTACTTTATGTCAGGTACTATGCCAGGCACTTTGCATATTTTCCCATTTAATCCTCACATTAACCATGAGGCAGATTTGATTTTCTCCCACTTGATAGATAAGAAACAAAGACTAACAGGTTAACTGGCATGGATTAATTAATAAACTGTGTAAAGTAGTAAGTAATGAAGCTGTGATTTGAACGCAGGACTCAATGATTCCATGGCTCAAGGCTTTGTCACTTTACCTTTGCTTGCCAATAGAAATAATTCAGTACTTTGATCAACCAATGAGTTTCAAAAGGGGCCTCCTAGATATTTATATATCATGTTAATGAAGGGAAGCAGGGAAGAGAGAGTAATTAGGAAACTAATGAATCATCTGCTGTTGCACAAATAAGCTAATTTAATTTATTTAGGAAGAAGCAGCGGAGTGGTTCTGCATCTGTGTTCCAGCTACGCAATCTTTTGGACCAGTCACTTAAACTCTAGGAGATGTAGTTTGGGTATTTGTAAACTGGGATCCCACTTTGTCAGGCCTACCCCACCAATTTATTATAAGGGGCAGATGAGATAATGTATGTGCAATCAATAGGGAAACTGTAAAGAAGTATTCAAATGGAAGGCATCCCTATTGATTTTGCCTAAATAACAGACACTAATAAATAAATCATTTTCTATTTCAAATGTGTTTACAATTATGCAGTAGGGAGGCAGGCTCACTCTAGATTTTAATAAGGAAGCACTTCTAATCATGGCTTAAGGCAGGACTTAAATAAAAATTAGGTCTTTAGAAAACACTTATGCTAATATGTAGTTTTAAATGATTTTCTGTGCATAATGAAACACGACCACAAAATTAATGGGCAAGTTAATGCTAAACTGAGAAGTCGGGATTTATTAGCAGAAGTCTTTGCTTTTAAAGTTACTTTAGTTTTACAAATTTTATAGGATTGTCAAATATTCAGAAGTACTGGGAGAAACATCTTTTTTAAAAACATAATTGTTCTTTTAAGTTTTCCCTCTAGAAATCATAAAAGGATAAAAAAAGCTTTTCATATTCAAGACTCCCTTCTATTACTGTCAATAGCAGTTAAGTGTATTTATGGAGACATGAGACAGCACAAAGATTCTTCTGTAATTCGTCAGAAGTCCCATCTTAAGTATAATTACATTACACAGCTCCACTCAGTCATTAGTTTCTTGTTTAGCAACGATGTCCTTCATTTTAAATTCTTGATGGTAATTATTTGTAACTATGCCCTTGAATTCTGAAAGCATGTGTCCTGCAGTCCTGGTGAACAATGGGTGTTTCTGGATTACAACACCTCTGGCTTCCCATAGGATATCATACAGGAAATAGTCTGTAACAACATGGAAAATTTGCAAAAGGTTCTCAGCTTGAGCTACAACCCAAAATGAAGTTGTGTGGTTATGCATGTGTGTATTATGTGCAATAAAAAACTAAAAAAGCAAGTTGTTAGGTATAAGGCATGATTTTTAAAAATCCTTAGTGACCAAAACACATTTTAAAGCATTTGACAGTTGCTTAAATTAAGGCATATTAACACGTACAGAAGATTGACCTGAAAGTGAGTTTTTTTAGTTCTACCAGTGTTTTTTTTTTTTTTTTTTTTTTTTCAGAAAAACATCTTGTGTTTGTGTATTTATTCACTTATGGAATACCCATTACGTGCCAAGAACTGTTTGGGTACAGAGAACAGGCTATAAGATACTCTGAGCCCTCCAAGAGCTCACAGGCCGGTGGCCGGGGGGAGGAAGAAAAAAGCAGGTAAGTAAATCTAAAGAACGTGATTATCCTCAGGCCTGGGAGAAATAGCAGATCATGTTGATATTAAAACCTAAGCATTCTAGCTTGCTAACTCACATGCTGATTTGGTGCATTCTTAAAGCTGGGCGTTTCCAGGGTTGCCTTACGATATTTTTACTGCTCCTCTTGGAACTTATACTCCCCAGTGCAACTGGCAACAACACAGATTATGCTCTGAATATAAAGATCAAATGCCCAGTCTGGATCTTCACAAGAGAGGGCGTCCCTTCTGGATGCCTCACTAGGACTCCAGCTCACTGTGGCATCGGGTCCTGTAGTTTACTGTAGCTCTGCAACATGCCACTCCATTCTGTCATTCTTGTCTTTTCTTCCTCACCTCCCCCAGCTTTTGTTCTCTTTGGCTCTTTTGAAAGCCACATTTATGTTCTTCGCATATGGGAAGTATTTTTGGTCAAAATTTAAAACCTGTAATGCGTTCCTTGGCAAAATGATTTGCTAAGCAAGTCTGGCTTTAACTTGAAAGAAAAGCTTTCAGTAGGCAACAAAACAAAAATCTCACAAACCACTCTGGCCACACTGCAATTCTTATTCATCAAAGCTAAATATACTTTACATGCATGTATTAAATAAAACCACCTTTCTCAGTGCAAGGAGGTGTGTATTGGAGTGATTAAAATTTTTATTACTGAGCCACACGTGGTTTCTAATAGAATTATATATAGACATTTATATTTTTTCCTAACACGGTGGCTTTATAGTAGGAACCAGAATGATTTTCTTAGGGATTAACCTCCTAGCTAGGAGGCAGAGAGAACCATGGAGAAACAATATTTGTAGAGTGCCTATTGTCTGAAAGGCATTGTGCTAAGGGCTTTATCCACAGTTCTTTCACTGAATCCTTACCACCAACCCTAGGAGGTAGGTAGCAGAATGATCCCACCACAGAGGGAAAGACTGAGGCTTAGACAGGTTAGCTATGTTGCCCAAGGTCTTTCAGCCCTTCTCCTTTCTATCAAGCTGCTCCTCACTGTTGAGATGCCAAAGGTGTCCTAGTGTTGCCATGTGTTTTTGCCTAATTTCTGTGTGTTTTCCTTTCTCTATAAAGCAGTGAAAACTCAGGTCAGGTTTGGTTTGGATACGAGTTTGCTTGAAAGAATGGCCAGCACCCGGAGCTTGGCAATCAACAACATGAGCACTGCAACTAAAGAGCAGGTGGTGGGCAGGATTCCTCTCCAGCTGTTACAGTGGGGTGATACCTAAAGTTTTGCATCCAGGCAGATCTGGATTTGAATCCTATCTCTGCTACCATCTGGTGACTCTGGGCAAAGTGTCTATCTTTTCTGAAACTCAATTTTCTCAACTATGTCTTTTCTGAAACTCAACTTTCTCAACTATAAGGTGGAGATAATGCTGCCTACCTCACAGTGCTGTAGGAGGATTGGAGAGGACATACAACAAGGACTTGGCAGATAGTTGGTAATTATTCATGCTTTTATGTCTGCCTTTTGTATCCACAGACAACCACCGCATTCACCAGGGTTTTGTGTGAGCAGGTCCAGGCCTGCCCGTTTCTCAGTGAGTGATAATCAGCTTTTGCAGCTGAAGCCTGTTTGACCATAGACCTGACATCTTGCTTAGATCCTGCAATACCCGACTCCTCTTCTGTAGTGATCCCCAATCCTCCTTTATCCCTAGTGCAACCTCTGGCTAGGATCTATGAATGCACTGGGCTTCCTTCTGCTTTTAGGCCAGCTAGATCAGACACGCACACCCACCTTCACTCGGGGCTATGCCTAAGGTCCCTATATCCTTTGGATACTGTAGAATGCTATTGCAGAGCTGACCTTCATAACTGGGGTGCTCACCCTTCTCCATGCTTACTACAGTTACTATTTTGAGCATCTTCTAGGAGCAGAGCCCTGTAATAACACAGGCATGGACCATGCAATTGAGCCGAGTGCTTTATATGCATTATCTCCTTTAGTCCTCATTATAATCCTGTAAAGTAGGTACTATTAACATATTCAGGCCAGGTGCGGTGGCTCACGCCTGTAATCCCAGCACTTTGGGAGGCCGAGGCGGGCGGATCACGAGGTCAGGAGATCGAGACCATCCTGGCTAACATGGTGAAACCCCCGTCTCTACTAAAAATACAAAAAATTAGCTGGGCGTGGTGGCGGGTGCCTGTAGTCCCAGCTACTCGGGAGGCTGAGGCAGGAGAATGGCGTGAACCTGGAAGGTGGAGCTTGCAGTGAGCAGAGATCAAGCCACTGCACTCCAACCTGGGCGAGAGCAAGACTTCGTCTCAAAAAAACAAAAACAAAAACAAAAACAAAAAAACCAACAACAACAACAACAAAAAAAACATATTCATATTCAATACCTATTCATTTCAAAATGAGGAAACTGAGACTTAGGAAGATTAAGGACCTTTCTCCAAGTCACCCATCTAGTAAGAGGTAAGACCAGGCCTAGGATCCCAGGCCAGGGCTCATAGCTGTTACACCATATTGTTTTTCATCCCACCTTCTCCTTCCTCCTTTTCTGACTGATGGGCTCCATGCAGCAGGTACTTTTTTTTTTGTAATTGTAGCATTTCTCATAATGTACTGTCATCAATCTATTTGTCTATGTCTCTCATTAAACAGGGAGGTTCCTGAAGGCAGGGGCCATGTCTTATTTATTCCTGTAGACCAGTGCTTACCACAACATGTGGCACAAAGTACTCCAGAGGATGTTTATTTACTGAATTATATTGGCTTTTTCTTCTCTACCTGCTGTCTTTTGCTGAAGTCTTAGCATGTCCTCTACCCACACTCATTTGAGCTATGACAGCTCTCAAATCAACGTTAGCAGTTACTCTTGGGTCTGAAATTATGTGTGGGTGTTGACATATTTATGTATGTATATGTATGTGTATGTCTGTGTGCGTTTGTGTGTCTGCTGTGGTATCAACTAAAACAGCTAGTTTTCCCAGTGCTTGTCTACATCAAAAGCTTTTAGCCATCAGGTTTCTTCAGTTTCCTTTAATCTGGAAACTTCCCACAGCCTTTCTTTGTCAGTATGACATAGATATTTTTGAAAAATATAGTCCATTAAAAAATAAAATGCTTCCCATGTTGCGTTTGTCTGATGTTTCCTTCTGATTAGATTCAGGCTCTGCATTAAAATGCTCTTTCTTTTCTCATATCTGGAGGCACACAATGTCCATTTGCCCATCTGAAGTTGATTTGGATCACCTAATCAAGATGTTGTCCTATTTCTTCCCTGTATACTTAACGTTCTTTTTCCTCTTGTAACTAATAAGCAAATTCTGAAGAGATATTTTAAGATTATGCATATATCCTGTTATTCTTCAAAATTCCCTCCTGGATCCATCGATGATTCCTGCCTATACCTGTCTTTAATATGATGATTGTGAAATTACAATTCTGCAAATAAATGTGGTATCTGACCCTAGACTAGATCCTGCACAGGAGGGGAAAATGCCATAAAAGACATCGACTATGCATTAGATGTCCTACCTAAAGTAATGTAAGTTTTTCATTTAATAGCTGACATTTAATTGATTAAAAAGTACAGGCCTGGCCGGGCGCAGTGGCTCATGCCTGTAATCTCAGCACTTTGGGAGGCCGAGGCGGAAAGATCACGAGGTCAGGAGATCGAGACCATCCTGGCTAACATGGTGAAACCCTGTCTCTACTAAAAATACAAAAAATTAGCCAGGCGCGGTGGCGGGCGCCTGTAGTCCCAGCTACTCAGGAGGCTGAGGCAGGAGAATGGTGTGAACCTGGGAGGCGGGGTTTGCAGTGAGCCGAGATCGCTCCACTGAACTCCAGCCTGGGCGATAGAGCGAGACTCCGTCTCAAAAAAAAAAAAAAAAAAGTACAGGCCTTCCCTGGATTGAATAGCCCCCAAGGTCTAGTCTCATGTGAGATCCTATGACCCTATGTGAAACTTCTGTTACTATAATGGAGACTGTATGGAAACTGAAACTAAATAATAGCGGTATTTTGAAATGAAGACTCTAATTCTGGTTGCACATGTTTGTTTTCTTTATTGAAAGACAATACAGAAATGATGAAACAATACCTCAAGGGTCTTGAACATGGATCAAATGACAAGTCTTTAATGCAATGGCACAGAAGCTTCTGGCATCAGCACCTGCAAGCCCTGTTCAGTCATCATTCATGATCGCCAAATACTCCTTCTGGTGTTCAACCAGCTTCAGGAATACTTGGTATTTCTTATCATAGTATCTGTGGGAGAAATATAAATATGTTGAATGATCTCAAGACAAAACTGCCACAGGGCTTCCCTGTACATTTAGAAGAATGGAAATATATGTGTGGTGGTGATGCTGACACCTAGATTCTGAATGCTTACAGCATCCTGGGCAATGAATTAGCATGTTTCAGACCTATTATATGTGACCTGGATGAAGTTTTATTATCTCCAATTTAGAAATAAGAACATTTAAACCCCATCTCTTAAAAATACAAAAATTAGCCAGACATGGTGGTGGACGCCTGTAATCCCAGCTACTCAGGAGGCTGAGGCAGGAGAATTGCTTGAACCCGGGGGGCGGAGGTTGCAGTGAACCGTCCCCCGTTCACTGTGAAGTGGTTGAGTTGCACCACTTCGCTCCAGCCTGGGTGAAAGAGCCAGACTCCATCAAAAAAAAAAAAAAAAAAATTCCTAAATGAGAGGCATATACAAAGTAGTATAGATAAAAACTGGCAGAGCTGGAATTCAAACTCATGTCTGTCTGACTTCAAAGCTTCTACTGTATATACAAAAAGGCCGGACTTAATGGAGACTCTTTCACATTGCCAGCTTCAATAAGTATTTCCTATATAACTAGCCCCAGGTTTGATGACTGGCCTAAAATCACAGCCTGACCAAGGACAAAGACTGAACATTTTAATTGCCCTTTTGCAGATTCCACATCTAGGTTTCCCTTGTGACCTGCTTTATCCAGGAGCAAAACCCCATGGAAATGTAGCTAATGCCTTTTCTAGAGCTGTGCTCGCCTTCCAGACATCTCACAGTGGCCGTTGCTCTCCCTGTCCTATCTGGCTGACTCTTTGGGTTAGACCTGTTAGAACTGGTATTGGCCATGAATCAGACAGCAGAACAGCTGAAGCTGCTCTGGCATCATAATCCTGAAAGGAATAATAGGAACCGAGACAAATTATACTTGCAGCCTTGCAACTTTGTCCTTACTCCTCTTGGTTGGGAAGCTGACATGGGGTGAGGGGGTGAAGAAGCCAGTTTAGCATGTCTTGCTCAATTCTGGGGTGCTCTGAAAAGGAGTCCTCATGATGAAATTTTGGTGCAAAGTTGTGCATTGGCAGAGAGAGGTTGTAAGAGTAACCTTGGATACACACAGGGACTTCTACTTGTCACACATAGCTATGTTAGTAGGAGTCCCCTACCCAATATTTATTAGACTGTAAGCATTCTGGTAACGTAGGAGTTGTGACGGGGCCAAGCACAGGGTTAAAAGGCGAACTCCAAAGCCTGGGTTGGAATCTTAATGTGGCCTAACATTAGCTGTGTGACTTTGGATATGTTACTTAAACTATTTCTGCCTAAATTTCTCCATCTGTAAATGGGGATAATTATGGGATCTACTTCAGCAGAGCTGTTGTAGATTAAATGTGGAAATAAATGAAAAGCATTTAGAACAGTACCTGACTCATAATAAGTGATATAAATGCTAGTTACTAAATTTTAGATAATTAATATTTTAATATCATCAATATAGCTATATGTAGGTACTACTAAGACCTACTCTATGAGCATCCAAATTTATTAGTTGTAGAATTATTTTAGGAACAATTTGCTCCTACTAATGATGCTCTGTGACAATATAACGGTAAGGAATTCTTTCACTACATGAGATAGATTTCTTGACTTTAGAATCTCAAAATATCTAGAAGGGAGCTAAGGTGAGCACCCCTTCACACACACTTGATTTACAATGTTAATACTGACAACTTTGCCACAACTTTGTGCACTGGCCTTATTCTTTACATAGGTGGAATCATGCAGTATTTGTCTTTTTGTGGTTATCTTATTTCACTTAGAATAATATCCTCAAGGTTCACTGATGTGTGGCATGTCAGAAATTGCTTCTTTCTAAGGCTGAATAATACTCCATTGTATGCACATATCATTCTTCATTTATATGTTCATCTACTAATGAACACTTAGGTTGCTCTCATGATTTTCGCTATCATGAATAATGTTGCTGTGAACATGAATGTAGAAATATCTCTTCCATACCCTACTTTCAGTTCTTTTGGGTATATACTCAGAAATACAATTCCTGAATCACATGTTAATTCTATTCTTAATTTCTTGAAGAATGGCCATAGTGTTTTCTGCAGCAGCGATACTATGTTACATTCTCACCAACTATGCACAGAGCTTCCAATTTCTCCACATCCTTGCCAACATTTGTTGTTTTCTGTTTTAAAATAGTAGCATCCTAATGTGTGAGGTGGTACCTCACGGTAGTTTTGATTTTCCTAATAGTGCTGTTGAATACCCTATCACGTGCTTACTGGTCATTTATAAATCTTCTTTGGGGAAATATTCATTCAAGTCCTTTGCCCACTTTTGAATTGGGTTGTTTTTGCTTTTTTGTTGTTGTTGAGTTTTAGGAGTTCTTTATACATTTATATATTCTGGATATCAATCCCTTACTGGATGTATGATAAGCAAATGTTTTCTCCCATTCTGTGAGTTGCCTTTTTACTCTGTTGATAGTGTCTTTCAATGCACCAAATTTCTCAAAGCACATTTAAGTGACTCTTCCAGAGCCACATATAAATTTGGACTGAACATAATAATGCAATTTGGGGTCATCCTAAACATTTATTATTAAACTATAGTCACTAAATTACACTCTCCGTGACTGTGAATTTTAAAATCAGCTGAATCCCCTCTCTTCAAAATGTGCCTCAACTCAGTCCCTGCTTCTGTGTGGCAGAGGCCTAAGTAAATGTCGTCCCACATCGTTAACAGTGTGATCTATTAGGCAATGAGATGAGGTTGGCTCAGAAGGAAACTGGCTTCTCCTGTCTCCTTGCAAATCTCTGGGTTGCCTGCAGATGGTGCTAAAGCACCGTGTGTGCCGCCTCCTTCGCAGAGAACAGCTGCCAGCTGCCAGCTCCCAGCAAGCAGCGGAGGACTCTCTGAACACGTGGGGTTTACGGAAAAAACTTAAAAACTTCCCTGAAAAGTCTTGGGAGGGTCAGGGAAGAGATGGAGAAAGACAATCTTTCTAATTTCACAAAAAGAGGGATGCTCCAGCTGCCTCCAGGGAACAGAAACAGGGACAGCAGCCCATAGCTCCTACTGCCAGTGGGAACTCAGATCTCTCCACCTTCCTGCATGGAGCTCCCCTACGCAATGCCTGTACCTTCCACCCTGGCCTTTAGAGAAGGGTTTATATTCGGAGGGTTAGCAGCCTGACTCTATGTGGAGTTAAAGGAAATGAAAAGAAAGTGGATTGCTTTTCCATGAACATTTCCAATTCTGTTAAATACTGATCCTGCTTCAGTGGGATCTGCACATTTGCCTGTTCATCATGTTAAGTGGAATTTGCTTTTAGGTCTTAACCTCGAATACTTCCCTAAAATTATAAAAGCACTTCCACAACAGCCCCTTCATCTTCAAAATCACTACCAGCAAATTAATAGAGGTCTTTTACATCTCTAGCCTGGATTCTTGAAAAAGCCTTTTATCTGGACCCTCTATTTCTACCCTGAGCCCCCTGTACTGGATCCTTTAAGAGGGATTTTTCTGATCTGCATCTGACCAGATCTCACCACTGCTTAGAATTCAGCATCTCTGTTCTGCCTATAGGATGAGGTTGGAGGTCTTCAGCATGGCCTCCAAGGTATTTATGAGCTGACCTCCCCCTACCCAATTCTATCCTTCCCTAGTCCCACTTCCTGCCATTCCCCATCTCATACTTTGTGTTTCTGGATTATGAGTTGTTTATAGTAACCTGAATGTACTATGCTGCTCCCACTTTTATAACTGTACATGTTATTCCTTCTACTATGAATGTTCTTTCTTGCCTTGGCCTGTCTACCAATTTCTTACAAGAGCTTAAAGTTAGCTTGGACATAACCTCCTCCCAAAAGCATTCTCTCATCTCTACAGGCTCCCATCTCTTTCTTCCTTGGGCAACTTTGTCACCTGGCAATACTTCAATTGTGGAACTTATCCCGTTGTTCTAAAATAATCTTATGTGCCTAAATTAAATTGTGTTTTATTCCCCTGTAACACCTGCCTGGAGCCCAGCATAATGCCTTGAATATAGCAGGAATTCAGTAAACTAATATTTTGTTGAATTGGGATTAAAATACTGACCAATGTCATTTTTTAGCCTTTGATGCCAAGTGATACAAAGAGTAAAAGAATGAGCAGATTCTACTGGGTCCTTTGATGGAGATATAAGAGATCCCTACTTTAGAACAGAGAAGAGCAGATTTGCTGCCAATTACCTGGGAAAAAGAACATTGGTCTGAGAGTTCAGAAGCTTACATTCACCCCCAGCTCTGGCCCTACATAGTTCTGCAGCCTTAGGTAAGTGAAGGTGACATTACCTCCCTGGAACTTAGTTTTCTTAACCACAAATTAAAGGACTGGATTAGTTGACCACCTGAGTTTATTCCAGATCTATAGTTGCATGTGTGTGTGTATGTGCTCACTTCCTTAGCACTGTACATATAAAAAATACACACTTACTTTTTATCCTGTAGTCTCGGGAACACAACTTTCCCAACTTTGCTCATTTTTGCCATTGCTTCCTATTAAATGGAAAACAACATAGACAGCTGAGTTGGAAAGCGAAATCCAAAGCGAGGCTTGTCACAGGCAAAACATTCTAATTTGAATTTGCTTCCCTTTAAGATATTTGGTTAGTCCTCTTTTTTTTCAACTTACTTTTCTTTGGTAATAAGAATAAAACACAAAAATAGGAATAAAACACAGTGAACATTTAAAGTTTCAATTATGACCACACCTCCTGGGCTTAATAAATACTTGTGTATTGAGGCCTCTGGGGCATAAACAACCCAAAAGGCAAAGCAGTTCTGTGACTGCCTCCAGGGGTAAGTGGGAAGAATTATTTCCCCTCCTCACTATCTGGACACAGGGCAGAAGCAGGGAACATAACCAGCCGCTGAGTACATTGTCTACTTCCCTAAAGATAGCAATCACGGAATGGAACTCACTTCGCACCTGTACTTGAGGATAAAATATTTAAGACCTCTCCAATTCAACTTCAGCTCTTTTTCCAGCAATCTCTGAAGTTGTGAGTACATACTGAGACCTCCGGGCTGAGTCTAAGTGACTTGAGTTCTGGAATGTGACTTCAGGACATTCTTTTCTTTACAATGGGGCACTCAGGCAGATGACATGTTACAGCATCTGGGTAGACATGGTATGGTAGGTGCAGCATCAAGATTAACCATGGATTGTTTTGGCTCCCATATGAGCAGAAGGGTTAGGTTTTTTTAAGCAGTCTCCTAAGGCTGTTAAGGCCATGAGAAAGTAAACTTTGGAGTCCAACAGACCTGGCCAGGGAAGATTGCAAGCAACAGCACGACAAAGCTCTACAGCATAGGCTCAGTCTTAGGAACGGCTATTGAATTCCTATTGCTAAGGATGCAGTCATTCTGGGATCACATGTGTACAACTTCTTATTCTACACATTTATTAATCACTTACTATGTACCACACACTCTGCTAGGGATACAGATTTGCATACGACATACTCTTTATCCTGGAGAAACTCACATACTAGTAAGGGAGGAAAAAATGTAAAAAAAAAAAAAAAATCTGAATACCATACAGAATATGAGAGCCCCTGGGTATCTTCAAAACATTTCCAAGTGTTTCCCCTGACCATCTTTGCCACCTTACTGTGACTGATTGACTGATTTGCATGCCACTAATTTCCTTCTGCCACTTTGTATATTTACTGGTTTATGTGTTCGTTGTCTGCCTTCTCCACTCCTTGCCCTAACCGGAATGTAAGCTACACAGGGCAAGGACTTGTCTGTTTACTACTAAGTCTCGACACCTGGACTATTCATAAAACATATTGCCTCCCTTTCACGTGCCAAGCATAACACTCAATCTACATGGAATACAGAGAGGAAGATTGCATGGGCCTTTCATCAAAGAGCTCACTATAGAGTGGAAAAGACATTTACTGTGATCAAAATAGAGTGTGATAAATACTACGCTAGAAGCGGATAAACTTCTTTCAGTAGTTATTCAAGGGTTAGGTAACCTGATGGTTCTTTCATCTGCTAGCTTACACGAATTTCCACTCCTGCTAGGTTGCTCTATGGACTCTTCCACAAGGATAGCATGTGCATTCTGAACTAGACATCTAGCTTCCCAGCTCTCAATGGATGTGAATGTGCTGATTGGGAGATCAGAGATGCTAAGAGTAGCCAGCACAATGACAACAGAAAGAAATGGCAGCCTTAAGTAGGGAGGAGATTTTTTTTAATGAAGAAAAATTATTGACAAAGAAACCATGGAGAAAGAGGAAGACTAAAAGGGCTGTCTGGAGTCATTTTGTGGAGGGCCAAATGGTCAAACACATCTTAGTGAACATGCTGCCATTCCACTTAGCAGAGGTATGTTAAGAGCTCTGCTTACCCCAGAACAGTTTCCTTCAAAGACGAAGTCCTGATTCCCTTAGAGCAAGCCGGGGTATTGTTGAGATGGTCTCAGCAATCCCCATCATCAACCGTGCCACTCATTCTTATTTTGTCCTTTTCGTCTCTTCCTTGAGTTGTGCTCTGCTGTGCTTTAGGGAGGACCTTGCCTTCTATTGCCAGCTCTGAATCTTCAAACTGCCCTCAGGGAATGCTCCTCCTGGCTGTGCTTTGGCCCCACACTTGAGACAACATTCCAGGATCGCCCTCATGGGTGGGATCCAGGAAACTTCTATTATAGAAGGTACTCCATAAATGTTATTTTCCTTCCCACTGCAACAGATGTGCACATAAACGGCAGACATCAGGGAATTCTTCCCTCCTTTCTCCACATTACCTTTGCTTGTTTTAAAAATAAATTGAGAAGCAAACATCAGCAAGAGAGATTTCAATGGTTTAAAAAGAGGTTATGCTGTTTCTCAGAAAGTACAGATTTAAATGTTAAACTTAGCTCAGGTATCAGCTCTACTGAGATTTTTTTCTGACTCATCCCCGCTGCCTGCCTCCCACCTATATTGAGTTATGTGCTCCAACAGCAACTTCTGCTTCCGTCTATCATAGCGTTTATGACATGGCACCATATTTTTTTGTTAACAGATCAGCCTCCCCAACTAGACTGTGAGCGCCTTAAAGCAGGAATTGTTATAATTATTTTCACTGCCAAACTCGGCATCTGGCATATCGTATGCACTCAGGGAATGTCTACGGAATGAATGAACTTAAGGATAATACACGTGACGGAATGTTAAAATGGAAGTTTTGGCTGAGATCTAAAGATGACAGATATAAGATACCAAAGTGAACTGGAAACAGACCACCCTGAAGAATGTGCAAGAAGGGTGCCTGAGGACCCATTAATCAACTCTTAAACCTTTCATTGATGTGGAAGGTCAGACAGAGATGGATTTTTAGGAAAGAGCTGTTGGTTTACTGCACATCAGGCCTCCTTCCAGGGTGAAGTATGAAGAGATCCTCTCCCTTCAGGAGTCAGGAAGACACAGACCAGCAGAGAATCTGCTGCATGTCCCTGAGGTTGTGGCACATGGTGGCTTGTATGTGACTCCTGTCTGGAAGAGACAGGCTGGCTGACAGCTGCAGTGTAAAAGTGAAGTAGAGGTTACCCTGGGATCAACCAGCACTGCCAGAGTCTGTCCAGATCCAAAAGACAAAGGTTTCCCATAGACCCCAAGTGGCCCATGTATGAGAGAGCTGCCAGGGGTTCTCAGATCCTGTCCAACATGGCCACCTAACGAGGTGGAGCAGTCACCATAAAGAAGCATGAGGTTGGGCCGGGAGCAGTGGTTCATGCTTTTAATCCTGGCACTTTGGGAGGCCAAGGTGGGTGGATCACTTGAGGGCAGGAATTCAAGACCAGCCTGGCCAACATAGTGAAACCCCGTCTCTACTAAAAATACAAAATTAGCCAAGTATGGTGGCATGTGCCTGTGGTCCCACGGGGAGGGTGAGGCACAAGAATTGCTTGAACCTGGGAGGCAGAGGTTGCAGTGAATCGAGATTGCACCACTGCACTCCAGCACTCCAGCCTGGGAGACAGAGCAAGACTCTATCTCAAAACAAAACCAAACAAAAAAGAGACCAAAACAAACAAACAACAAAAAAAAAAGGAAAGGATTCCTGAGGAATTAAGAGAAGAGTAGTGAGCAATCTATGAGAATAGACAGGTGTTAACCAAGACAACAATATTTCAGGCGAGAGGTTTTCAGAGGCAGGGGGTCTCCCCAAAAATCTATGATGTGCCTTATGAGAATCAGAGCTAGCTGTAAACACCTATAAGGCTAAGAGAGCATGAAGCCCATTATGACAGTACTGATCAGATAAGAAATTTCCTACACCACTAACTTTTCTTCCCTTATACTTTCTAACCATTTCAGAGGAACAAGAAAAAAGCTAATATGTTGGAGAGAAAGTGAATGAGGAAGAAAGAAGAATCTGATTAGGGCTATGTCTCGTTTCTGGCAGACTCCAGCTGGAAGAACTGGAAAACATCTTACCTTTACCTTTACATATTCTTTGATATTTGAATTTCTGAATTTTGGCTACATCTCACAACTTAAAGGACCATAAAGGTTATATTATCTAAGTGACTTTATATTTATCTAAAAAAGTAATGGAACCACCAGGATTTTTAACCAGAGCAGGGAAAAACTAGCTCTACTGCACAAATGCAAAGGGATAATGAGAATAGAAAATAAAGTTATAATTTTGTATTCTATCTCAATAATCATGTTTGTGCTACATAATTTTTTGTTTGCTCCATATAACTTGTTAAAAACAAGTTAAAAACAAGATATGCATATAAAAACAAGTTATATATGCATAATAAAGATCGGATCAATATATATTAAAATGTTAACAGGTTGGATAGCATGGGTAACAATTTTTTTTTCTTGTCAAGTTGCTTATTGTGTTTTCTAAATTTTCTACAGTGGCATATATTAATTTTGTATTTGTAGGGAAAACATGTAATGCCATATATATATATATATATATATATATATATATATATATATATATATTTAAAGTTATGCTTATAAAGACAGTCAAAATGACTCGGGCTCACCTTCCCCTTTCCTGAAAGGCAGGGCTCATTATGGGTCCCTGACACAACGTGGAGAATACCCTGAGAATCAGTGCTGTCATCAGAAACAGCACTGCTGAGTTTTTCAATTTCTCCAAATAATTAACATAAAACTGAAATCTCATGATCCCACTTGGCTGCAGGAAATCTGAAATTACCACAACATAACAATATGAATTTAGTATGGAAATGCTGACACATGCTAAATATAGTCACCCCCACAATATATTTCTGTTCCAAAGGGTTTATTTGAAGTTGGCCTCCAAATTCATACTTTTTGTCAGCAGGCAGGAGCCGGACAATCTTAATTTGCAGCACGCTACCCTCTTTGTTTGAGAGTCTAGACAGCACAATTAATACAGTGACTTTTCTTTTTCCTTTTGCCCACACAATGAAAGCTTTTTAAAAACAAAATATTTTGTAAAATAGCATTTTAATCACTTCTTTTCTTTCTCTCTATAAGGCAGAGCTATAAATAAACCATGAAAGTTCACATTTGATCATCACTTCTGAAAGCAAGTGAAGGGTTTCTGGAGGAAAAAATAGGGGCCCTGTACCACGGCCATGAAAGACTGCATTCATGGGTTTGACCCTTCCCTGGTGTGTCGAGGCTGAGATACTAATCAGCACACACTGCTCACCACTTCTCTTGTGGCAGCACTGGCAACAGCCAGGCCTGCATGTGGCCAGGGGAAACACCCAATTCTCACTGTAATGACCTGGCCTGGGAGCTACCAAAGGGCTGTAGGCCATGTTGGAGTGAGTTACCAGGGAAATGAGGTTAAAGGAAGCCATGGGTTCTTCAGTACCCTTGGAAAAGATGTGGATTCCATGAGTGGTAGACTTACTGATGTTGGCAATTTTGGGAGCAGAAGATCTAGTACCTTCTCCCCTACCCTGAGGAAGGGGAATAATGGGCTTAAGCCTTTTGGGGAAGACTGTCAGTAGTCTAGCCCAAGGTACTACAGGGCACTGCAAGCTGGGCAATTCCAGAGTCACCATCTATAGGGGAGAATATAGCAGAACTTAGTGTGGTGGAAACAAGCTATATATGAACTCCCAGAAGGCAGAAATCACATCACTGTAGGCCTAATGTCTAGCACAGTCCTAGCACTTACAGGTGCTTGGTTAGTGTTTGCAGAGTTGCCAAAGGAAAAAGTGATGGCAGTGTTTCTTAAGTGGCATCCATAAACTCCAGGGAATTCTCATTAAGATTCCAGAAGAAAATACTGGAAGTGCCATTTATATGACTTTTTTTGGTCTTAAGAAATTAATTACACTTTACCAGCATTTAATATATGGATTGTTACTAGACAATTTATCAGTTTGGCCACACATCAGTCAGTCATGAGTCACATAAGATGTGTGAGGTTCTTGTGAGGAGAGTGGGAGCTCTCCAACTCCAGGGATGGCCCTATGGCACTCCCTTATATGTCCTCAGCTTCCAGAATTGCTACATGTTGTCGTTTGCATGTTCCAGGTTAGTGATTAATAGGTATTAACTAGTTTAAACTAACCCTCACAAAATGGACAAGCAGCTAAAAAAGATTCAGTCAATGGATTTGCACGTGATGGAGATAATTATCACCAGTTCACCATTCAGATTCAAGTAAACAAGAAAATGGTGATGTATTTACTCAGTACTAGCTCCTCATATTGTAAGGTAAAAACAATGAAGACCTAGTCAAATAAGACAAGGATTGGGAAAATAATCAAAATTATCAAGAAGATTGCCTTAGATTTCGATACATAGGCACATACAAAATCATTTAAAAATCATCAAAAATCATTTTAAAATTATTAAAAACACACCTGGCCATAGACATATAGTGTACTTTTACATGTTGCTAATATTAGCATGAAGCCATCATGACAGGTAAACACATTGGAAATACTTTGGTTCAGCTATATTTCACTTGTTTTATAGAGTAAATAATCTATGAACACAGTATAGCACATCATGCTTTTTCATAAATAGGTTTTCATGTACTGAGGATGCATACTCAAAATTTATTTTAACTGATGGGGGTATATGGTTAAAAAACACTGTGGTGTCTGTTGACTTAGGGGCCGACTACCACTGCCATTGCCATTTTACTGGTTTAAGCTTTGTACTCTGTGCTGTGCTGATTATTTTAAGTACATGATCTTTTTAACCCTCAAAAGGACATTAGGACACAGATCATCTATCACCACTTTGTGAATAAAGGAACTGAAAATAGAGAGAATATAAGTAATTTTCCCAAGGTCATAAAGCCATTATGTAGTAAAACCAGAATTCAAGCCCACTTCTGACTCCAGGCCATTGCAAACCCTACATTCGGACTCAGTGGTACCATTCTCCCTGTCATGAAAACAGCCTGATTCTTGAGTGCCCTAGGCTGGAGTTCAAATCCTACTTCTGCTGCTTATTAGCAGGTGTGATTACCTGGAGTGAGACGAGCACGTGTGTATCAGTGAGATGCATCAATACAGGACACTGTACCTTTTTTTTTTTTACAGATGCTGACACATAGCTCTAAAATACAGGAATCTGCCTTCCTGAGGAACTCTGACTCATTTGACTGGAACAACAAGTTCACATGCTAATGTGTGGGCTGAGGCACGTGACCCCTCCATAGAAAAACAGAAAATATATCAATGTGACTTTCCTTCAACACGCATTAAGAAATGGCTAGTTGTTCTCTTATTTATTTTGCTTTCTTTTCCTTTTGACACAGTCATCTTTTGACCTGCACCTGGTATTCTGTGTAACCCCCATGAATTGGAGACAAAAATATCAATTGAGAAGCAGGAAGGGATGAGAGAAAAAGAGAGTGGGAGAGGTCTTTATCATTACTCATGATATGAAAACTGGCACCTCATTTATAATTTTAAGTACACTATGTGCACACATTTACATATCTTTAGAGTGTTGACTATATGGGTGTATACTTCATCAAAATTCATCAAGCTGTACATTAATATCTTTGTATTTCACCTTATGTGTACTATATCTCAATTTAAAGTTTGCAAAAGAAAATGAGAAAACAGAACTGCATGTCAGTATATTTATATTTTATTTTATTTTCAATTATAAAAATGCCTACCAAGAGAAAAAAAAATTTTTAGACGCCCAGTCCTCTAATTTTGACTCTAAAACATACCTCAAATTGGTCTCTTGGTCATAAAGGAGGGGAGGAGTGGAAGCTTTATAATTCTGTAGGAAATGGAGGCATTAGCAGAAAGATACTGGGTTTTAGAGATAAATGGGCTTGGGGTTGGATCCAGGCTCTGCTACTTATCAGATGTGTGAATCAAAGCTCAGTTTTCCCATTTATTAAGTGGGAATAATAATATCTACTCAGTGTTGTTGAAAATTCCAGTATCCCATTCTCTGACCACTACTGCCTAACTGGTCTCTTGACTTCCACTTTGGTTCCCCTTATAGCAGTCAGGACCAGTCTAGGTGATTTTTCAGAAGCAGAGAAAATAAAGGGCAGTGATTAAAATACAGACTGACTATAACAGACTGCCAGAATTTGAAACTGGATTTTTACATTTACTAGCTGTATAATCACGGAATAATTACTTAATTTCTTCATGCCTGTTGCCTCATCAGAAAATGGGGATAAAAATATGCCTTTCATAGGACTGCTATGAGAAGCACGTGAGTTATTTGAGGTAAAACACAACAATGCCAGCATATAGTAAATGCTACATAAACTTTAGATATTTATTATCCCTTTAGCATGCAAGCTCCATGTGGCCAGGGGTGTGTATTGGATTCATGCACCACACCAAGAACTGTGCCTGGCCAGAATAGTTAATCTATAAGGATTTGTTAAATGAATCAATGAATGATTTTACCTCTCTGGGCTGTTTTTACCTACAACACTCCTGACACCAAATGTATGGGTTTTTTCCTCACACTCACCAATTCTCCAACTCTCCTGCCACCAATTGCATGACTTATAATTAAATTTGATTCAATTCTGACACTGACCCCAGTTAGTTAGTGTCAGACCCCACAGCTTCAGGGCTCAGTCCAGCAAGACTGCCCACACTTCAGATGCCAATCACAAGTCCTGGGTCTCCTGTATTTCTGACCAACTGACCGCAAATTGGAGGTTTCCACAAACTCCACCCCCCAAGGCTTGATAATTTGCTAGAATCGGCTTATGGAGTTCAAGACAACGGTTGACTTACTATTACCAGTTTATTATAAAGGATAAAATTCAGGAACAGCCAAATGGAAGAGATACATAGAGCAAGGTATGAGGGGAGGGAGGTGCAGTGGTGCAGTGAGCTTCCATGCCTCCTCCAGGCATGCCATCCTCTCAATACCTCCCTGTGTTCACCAATCCAGAAGCTGTCTAAACCCCATCATTTAGGGGTTTTTATGAAGGTTTCATTACTTAGGTATAATTGAGTAAATCATTGGCCATCGGTGATTGACTCAATCTCTAGCCCCTTTCTCATTCTGGAAGGTCAGGGGAGGGGCTGAAAGTTCAACCCTCTAATCATGCCTTGGTCTTTCTGGTGACCAGCCCCCATCCTGATGCTACGGAGGGGTTCTCAGCCATCAGTCATCTCATTACCATACACATGGAGCTTAATCTAAGCTCCATAAAAGTGAAGTCCTTGGCTTTCCTTTCTTTGAAGTATCCCTAGCTTTTAGCAGGGATTCCAAGAATTTTAGAAGCTGTGTGCCAGGAACTAGGGACAAAGACCAATATTTATTTTTTAACACGTCCTTGCAACAGTGTTCCATCGCTTTTTGAATAAAACTCAAATGTCATAGGGTGGACTAGAACTTCAGGATGGAGTTTATGCAGATGTCTCCAGTCTCATCTCATGCCCTGCTTACTGGGCTGGCCATGCTGGGAACACACTGGCCATCTTGCTGCTGGCTGAACATGCCAACCTTCCTCCTGCCTAAGGCCTTTCTGAATCTCTCAGGAATGGTCTTCTCCAGGATCTTTGACTGTCTGGCTTTTTCCATATGATTTAGGTTCTCTTCAAACATAATATTGAAAAGACTGCCCTTGGCCACTCTTAGCAGAAGCAGTGCACTCTCCTAAACATCTATGACATCATCTCATTTTCTTTTCCTCATAACCCTTGATAGCACATCATCATCTGAAATTATATTTTTAATTGTTTATTGTCTGCCTGCTTCTCTGTGGTCCTCACCTCTGCTCTCCTCCCTCCTGAATCTAAGCTCCATGAAAGTGGAGTCGTTGGCTTTCCTTTCTTTGAAGTATCCCTAGCTTTTAGCAGGACATTTGTTAAATGTAAGGTGAAAGTGCAAGTTTATTGAATGCCTATTTTACGCAAGGTACTGGTATACAGATCTTGCCTCCCTTGATCCTCACTAACAGTCTCTGAGGAAGGTCTTATTATTTAAATTTACAATGAGGAAATAAAGGCTCAGAGAGGTTAAGTACTTGCTTAAGCTAGTAAAGGGCTAAGCCAGGATTTGAAACTTGCTTTAGCTCATGAATAAGACCAGGCCCATTCCTTAAGAAGCTCACAGTCAACAGGCAGATCTCCAGCTTTAGTTCATGACAATTTATTTTCTTCTGATGACTTTGGGGCCCTGTAAAGCCCTAAAAGCCTGCTTTCTTCACTGTCAAAGACAAATTCAATTATGGTCATTATATTGTGCTTACAAAGGCAGGAAGGTGGATTCACTGATGTATAGAATGACTGTTCATATTAATTATTGAAACAAACAAAATTACTGCCAGCTGTATGACCCTGAGCAAGACCCTTCCCCTCCCTGGGACTCACTTTCTTTATCAGTAGAATGAGGGGGTTGGAGTAAATTATCTCTGAAGTCTTTGCCAGCTCTGCAATCTGTTGGTTTTGTGCACATGTGGTTTTCTGATTAACTCTCAGTTGACAAGTTACTCCTTATTCCTCACGGTACATTCTATTAGGGTTTTGCTCAGCACACTCCGACAGAGAATATACCCACAGTGTTTTCCTAGCAAGGGAAAGTTTCATTCCGATTCAGTCATGGGCAAATACGGCACAGGGGAGTGGTTTTATACTAGGTAAGGCCATCAACCTCTGTTGTGATACTCTGAGATGGGGTCCTAATATATGGCCTGGCTGCAAAAGAGTTGGATCCAAACATGAATAGGGAGCAAGTATTCATCCCATCTACATGAGTTTGACTTACTTCTTATGGATTTCTCAAAGTAAAAATAGGAAGCTTCTTGCTAAAAGCATCAGACAGATGATAGGTTCCAAAACTGCAAGCTGTCACTCATCTAATAATCTATTGTTGACTGGAAAAAAATATGATCTTGCTGATATGTGAGGCTGAGAAGGTATATAGTACTGCCGTGAGCTGTAATTAAATAATAGTAACTCAATAACAATAATTATAATGGCAACTGATATTTGTTGAGTACTTACTATGGCCTAGCACTATATTATTAAATACGTTACCTAGTTTGTATTCCCAGTTCAAAGACAAGAAAACATATGGCTTTGGAACCTATACTTTTAAACATTTGCTGTGAAACAAAGACTTCAGTGATATTTAGATCATAATCCAAACCCTAGTTCTGCCATGAACATCCTGAGTCTCAATTTCCTCATTTTAAAAATGGAAATTTTAGGCTGGATGCAGTGATTCACACCTGTAATCCCAGCACTTTGGGAGGCTGAGGTGGGAGGATCGCTTGAAACGAGTTTGAAACCAGCCTGGGCAAGATAGGGAAACCCTATCTCAACAAAAACATAAAATAAAAATTAGCCAGGTGTGATGGTACGTGTTTGTAGGCCCAGCTACTCAGAAGGCTGACTGAGATAGGAGGATCCCTTGAGTCTGGGAGGTTGAGGCTGAAGTGAACCTCGATTGTGCCACTGCTCTCCAGCCTGGGCGACACAGTAAGATGCTGTCTCAAAAAAAGGGAAGTTTTAATACCTATTTTATAGGCCTATTGGATGGACTAAATGCTTAAAAGTGCAGATATTGTTATTATTACTATGTACCTATCAACTGAAATAAACTTTATTTTCCCAGAAACTTTATTGAAAGGTAAGTGTTGCCATGTGTGTATGTTTCAGGTGGGTTGGGGAAGGTGATAACAGTCATTATTCTCAGGCCTCCTCATTATCATTTCCAGACAAGTATTCCTGCAGTTGCAGGCAAAAAAGCCTGTTCCTCTGAGGTTTATGCCACCTAATGATGGAGATACAATGACACATGTCTCCCCTGCATCTCACTGCTGTCACTGTCAGCCTCTTGTTTCTGTCCCTATGTTAAATGAGGCTAAGGCTCCTAGATCACAAGCCTCCCTATCTACCTGGAGGTTTATCATTGTCCTGGACAACTTCAGCATCTGCTCATAAGACCCATCCAATGTTCCACTGTTAGACGGTTTCAAAATGTTTCCACCTCCGGGACCTTCATCTCCATTTCACTTCAATACTCCCACAGCCCCCCTTGAGACTGCTATACTTATGAATATTACAATATACCAACAGCCACTTTCTGAATTCCATTGCCCTTCAGTCCAATTCTCTCATGTACTCTATCATTCTTAGCAAATGTCCTTCTCCACTTTAAAGCAACTTCCAGAATCTCCATCACTTCATTTTCTTTCAATTCATGTGCCCTGTCTGGCTCTAATTTCTTCCATAGCTAGCTTAGAGTCCATCATCTTTTGTGTCATTTACCGACAAGAATCTGCAATATTCTCTTAACTGCCCAATTCAATAGCTACCTTCAGTCCACAGAAACATTTAGCCAGGATATGCTTCACTTATGGCTACAAGGGACAAAATCTGCTTCGGAAGGAGCAGGCCAATGGGAGACTGCAACTCAAGAAAGTGAAATATCATGAAAGGCCGCAGGGTCTGAACACTTTTGAAATTTGCACTGCCTGCTTCAATAGTAATTCCTTCCCATGATGATCCTTTGGCCAGCAGATCAGCAACCAAATCGACAGCAAAGAATCAAAATGTGTGATAATATTAACATAATGAATAATGATTGAGCTGCAAGGGATGTTGGTTAGTCACTAGGCCAACTGCTCTGGGTTTAGGCAGGTGAATAATCGAAGCTAAGAGGCAAGGAATCTATCCATCCATCTATCCCTCCATGCTCTTTCAAGTTCCCTGCTTTTGGATCTCCAATTCTTCTAAGCGAGAGCCATTTTGGTAGTGGGGCCTAGATATTCTGGCCTAGACTTTGGAGCTGGCCTTAGACTGTTTACGATACAGAAACCCTCTAGCCAAGCCAGAATCCATTCCAAACCAACTTCCAGAGGAAAAAGACAAGCAAAGACATCGAATCTGAAGCCAGGAGTTGAGAGGCTAAGGATGGTACCAAAGTAAGAGAAGGGCTAGAAGCCAGGAGCATAGAGAGAGCAGAGGTCAGACAGATAGAGTGACAGGTGTGGAATGCAGGTCCAAAGCAAATCACTGTAGTGCCCTTTTAAACTCTCTTTATTATGTGTTTATAATCTCTTCCATGTTCCCAAAGCTCACTGATTTTCCTCTGTCTTATCATTCAGCACACAGTAGGATAAATGTCTGTTTTCTTACGTCTCCCCACTGGACTGTGAGATGTCAAAGGGTAGAAGCCATTAACTTTCTCTGTATTCCCCAAAATTGATATAAATAATGCAAAAATGTAATAAATACATGTTGAAAGAATTAAATGAATGAGTAAATGGATTAATGAATTAATGAATGAATCAGGGGTAGGATCCAGGATATCTGTATAAAGCAAGTTTAGGATCTCCCTCAGTTGTACTTTTTGGTATTTCCTGCCAGGTCAACACATTCTTCATTGTCCGATGTCAGACAGTTAGGATCACAGGCTCTAGACTGGCTAGATTAGAACTTTGACTCTTTCACTAGCTAACAGAATGGCTTGGGTGGGCCGGGCGCAGTGGCTCACGCCTGTAATCCCAGCACTTTGGAAGGCTGAGGCGGGTGGATCATCTAAGGTCAGGGGTTCGAGACCAGCCTGGCCAACATGGTGAAACCCTGTCTCTACTGAAAATACACAAATTAGCTGGGTGTGGTGGCAGGTGCCTGTAATCCCAGCTACTTGGGAGGCTGAGGCAGGAGAATCGCTTGAATCCAGAAGGCGGAGGTTGCAGTGAGCCGAGATCGTGCCACTGCACTCCAGCCTGGATGACAGAGGGAGACTCTGTCTCAAACAAAACAGAATGGCTTGGGCCTTAACTAACCTCTTTGTCCCTCAGTTTACTCATCTGTAAAATAGAAGTAATAGAAATAATTACTCATAAAGTTAAAAAAGAAAATGCATACAAACCACTGAAATTAGTGCCAG
The DNA here is from genome assembly GCF_000001405.40 of Homo sapiens. Classification (NCBI taxonomy): domain Eukaryota; kingdom Metazoa; phylum Chordata; class Mammalia; order Primates; family Hominidae; genus Homo; species Homo sapiens. The sequence continues at coordinate 59,744,101 of NC_000001.11, read as the reverse complement.
TCACAAACTAATAGTTTCAAAAATGTGAGTTATTTTTATTCTAAAAATTATTACATCAATCTCCACCCCAGCGCTACACAGGATCTTGTAATGTTCTCTTGAGTGATACTATTTAAAGACAGCACTTCCTAATCTGCTGCTGCATGTGACATGCTGCCTGGGCAGGGGAGTGATAAAGAACACAGAATGCAGGGACCATTCAACATTGAATATCAGCTGATGCCTGTGGTTAATGAAGGGAAGGAAGATGAACAATGGACAGAAAGGAGGCTGCAGGGGATAAAAGTTGTAGAAGCTTCTTGGTTTGGAAACACAAAGTTTATTTTTGGGTTGTACTTCCAGTCCTTTTACTTAAAACAAACAAAGAAAACAACTATGTCAGCTGTGTTTACAAATAAGAACTTGCTCCGGCTTTTACAAGACACAGGGAATCCAGTCTGCTTCCTTCTGGTTACCATATTATAGATAGGCACATGATGTGCTGGAAAAAAAAAAAAAAGATCTGGAAATTAGGAGGCTCCAGCCCTGTATTAATCTTAGCCTGGGCTCTGTTGTTTTGAATAAGTTGCTTCCTTTCTTTGGATCCCAGTTTCCTCTTTCTCAAAATGGGAAGTTTGAGCCAGATAATGTCATTTTTATTGTGCAACCAAATACTTATTGAGTACTTATTGTGTGCAAGGCATTGTGCTACACAATATGGATAGAGGAGGCAACCAGACAGCTCTGATCCCTGACCTCATGAAGTTTAAAGCCTGCTGGAGAAACATCGGTGATCATGGGAGACAGGAAGAGGAAGACAAAACTACTATGGAAACTTATGGAACTAGCTGAAGGTTGACAAGGAGTTGGCTGGGTAAAGAAAGTTGATGAGGAAGGTTCCAGACTGAAGGAAATGCATATCTGAAGGCCTTAAGTAAAGACAACATGATACATTTAAAGGACCTAAAGAAGTCCAAGATGACTGGATAAAATGAAGGGAAAGCATATAGGAGATGAAGCTATAGATGAAGGCAGGGGTCAGATTTTGGATGGTCCTGTAAATCATGTTAAAAGGTTTTGAGTTATGCCAAAGTCAAGGAGAAGCCACTGGAGAGTTTTAAGCAAGAGTGATCTTATTCATGTTTGTTAAAGATCACTCTGGTAGTTTTGTAGAGAATAAACTAAAGAATGGTAAAAGTGGAGGCAAGGAAACCATTCAAAAGTTCTTTGGAGCAGTCCAGGTGAGACAAAAGGATGGTGATGGTAGAATTAAAGCAAAGTGGAAGAATTCAAGAGACATGAAATGTAATTTAGAAAGACACCATGAGAGACTGATGTGGAGCAGAAAGACAGAGTGGGCTCAGAATGTCCTTGAGGTTCTGCCAGGAGTGAGTAAGGACACGTGGTGCCATTTATTGATAGTGCCACGTATGGGAACAGTGCCAATTTTTCAGGCAGAGGTGGAGATGGTGGGTTCAGATTTTAATATGCTTAGATTGAGATGGCTGTAAGCCCTTTAAGTGAAGATGTTATATAGATAGGTGTAAACCTGCTGGCATATAAATAGTAAATGAATCCTTAGAAGTAGATGAGATGGACAGATTCCTGTATAAGACTACCATATAATATTGGGGAGAGGAGAAAGGAAAACTAGAAAAGGAATTTGTGCAGAAACATTCAGAACAGCGGGAGGGAAATCAAGAAAATATGTTGTCAGTGGAAGCGTGTTTCAATGAAGGGAGTGCTCCACTTTGCAAAATGTTGCCAAGGCTAAAGCTGAGTAGGGGTTGAAAAGCCCTTTGGGCTCAGCAATGCCTTGGGTCAGCACTAATGACTGAGGCAGCATGATTTTGGTGGAATTTCTGTAGCGGAAGGAAGATCTGCCTTAGTTAAGGAGGCAGGGGTGGTGGTGAGAAAAATCATGGTAGTGAGGATAGATACCTTTTAAAGCATCCTTGACCATGAGAGGCAACAGCTAGGGGAGCTGATAGGCAGAAGAAGGGATTTTACTTTACTTTTTGAGACAGGGTTTTGCTCTGTCACCGAGGCTGGAGTGCAGTGGCATGATCATAGCTCACTGCAGCTCGAACTTCTGGGTTAAACTGATTCTCTGGCCTCAGCCTCCTGAGCAGCTGGGACTACATGTATGCACCACGGTGACTGGCTTTTTTTTTTTTTTTTTTTGAGATGGAGTCTCACTCTGTCACCCAGGCTGGAGTGCAGTGCTACGATCTTGGCTCACTGCAAGCTCTGCCTTCCGGGTTCAAGCCATTCTCCTGCCTCAGCCTCCCAAGTAGCTGGGACTACAGGTGCCTGCCATGATGCCTGGCTAATTTTTTTGTATTTTTTTAGTAGAGATGGGGTTTCACCATGTTAGCCAGGACGGTCTTGATCTCCTGACCTTGTGATCCACCTGCCTCGGCCTCCCAAAGTGTGTCAGCCACCGCGCCTCGCCCGCCTGGCAATTTTTAAAAAATTATTATTAGAGAAAGTGTCTCACTATGTTACCCAGGTTGGTCTTGAATTTCTGGCCTCAAGCAATCTTCCTGCTTTAGCTTGTTCTCGCACTGCTATAAAGAAATACCTGAGACTGGGTAATTTATGAAGAAAAGAGGTTTAATTGGCCCATGGTTCTGCAGGCTATACAGGAAGCATAGTGGCCTCTGCTTCTGAGAAGACCTCAGGAAACTTACAATCATGACAGAAGGCAAGCACGTCTTACATGGCTGGAGCGGGAGGAAGTGGAGGGAGGTACTACACACCTTTAAACAACCAGATCTCCTGAGAACTCACTATGTGGTACCAATGGGGGGATGGTGCTAAACCATTCATGAGCTCCACCCCCAAAATCCAATCACCTCCCACCAGGGCCCTCCTCACTGGGGATTACAATTCAACATGAGATTTAGCCAGGGACACAGATCCAAACCTCCCAAAGTGCTGGGATTACAGGTGTGAGCCACTGTGCCCAGCCAGGGATTTTATTTTTAAGATGAAAGGTTTACAGCAGCACTGTCCAACAGAAATAATATGATTTACACAAGTAATTTTAAATTTTCTAGTACCCACTTAAAAAAGTGTAAGTGAACTGGTGAATTTAATTTTAATATGTTTTTATTTAACCTATTATACCCCAAATATCATTTCAAGTAATCAATACAAAAATTATTTATGAGATATTTTACATTCTTTTATTCATGCAAAATGTTTGAAATCTGGTGTGTATCTTACATATTGCAATTTGGACTAGCCACATCTCGCGGGTTCAATAAATACGTTTAACTAATGGCTACTGTTGGATAGCACAGGTCTAGAGCATGTTTAAATGTTGATGAGAAGGAGATAGTATTGAAGAAGCTAAACATAGAGTGAATGGATAATGAATTAAGTGGGCTGTTAGAGGCAGTAGGAGATGAAAGAGTCTCTGATAATAAGTGGGCCATCTCTTTCATCGTAACAAATGTGAAGGAGAAAAAGACTGTATCTGGATATAAGCAGTGGTGTGTTGATAAATAATACTGATAAATAATCAATAGAAAGCCCTAATTTTATCAATTGCCAATTTCTGTGTTGTAAATACTTCCATCTTGGCCAGTTTCAAGCTCTGAATGTGATGGAATGGATGTGAAGCTGGGAAGAGATGTGCACAATATGCTCTTGCGAGCAGGGCTGAGCTAGCCCCAGCTCACTACCGGATCTAAGAAAGCTGGGAGATTTAATGGCAGTTGTCTTTCTAATGGCTTTTCTCTTAGAGGTAGTTGGTGGCTAAGAATAAACAGGAGGTCATCTCTCTGAACATGAGAGGAAAGACAGGGATGGAAATTGGCAAAGTTTGATAATAGTCATTGTAGAAAATGGGAAATTGAGCTGAAGTGATATATTTATTCAGGTTCCTATTAGGAAAGAGATTGACACTCACATTGGGTAACTGAAGTAAGCTTCAAGAAGAGTTGTTTAAAAAGGTTTAGGTAAAGAAACAAGTACCTAATGATTACCAACAGTAAGGAGCCATTACAACCTCTTAGCCTGAAGGAGGACAGGGAGGGAGGAGAGGTTCCCATCATGCACAAAATTGTAGGGAAAGGGCCACACACAGGAACTGTGGTCCATTGTAGAAGGATGGTAGATGGATGTAGCTAACCTGCGTCAACCCAGCAAGGAGAGCGCTGGGGGAATAAACAACTTCATTATTCTCCAGGTTCCTGCTGGGGCTGCCCATTGGCCAAACCCAACCAGAAACCAGGGCTAAGAGACTGGTAACAATTAGTATAGAGTGGTAGAAGCCTGCCTTATGGTTGTATGGCTTTGATTTATAGTGTCCACAAAGCTGAATTCATCCTGGATTAAGCTTTGCTAAAGAACAATGGGGAAAAAATAAAACAGCCACGTGGAGATTGACCATGTAGAAAAAGAGAAGATGGGTAAGAGGAAAGTGAAAAAAAAATTCTGAAAACAGCCCTTCCACGTACATTTTAGAGAGAAAGAAACTAAAACTCAAAGCATAATGTGGCCTGCCCAAGAGAGCAAGTTTAGTTAGTGGTAGGGTTATCAGACAGGTCTGTTTAGCTGGAAAGCATTTTCCACCTTACCTTCCCACCTGCAAGCAATGAATGGTTTGGTTGAAACCATTCTCCCCATACCCCTGCACCCCTCACTACCCAGTTTCTGCGCTTGGGAGAGTAAAACTCAAAAGAACAAAACTTATTTGAATGAACGTTTTTACATATGGCCAGATAGGTGAGGTGAGGCTGTGTTTGGTAGCCTGGGCAGGAAATGTTTGCTAGTTTATTTGCAGAAGCCAAACTTATCTCTACCAAGCAATTAAAAAATAATCTGTCAGGTTAGAGGCAAGGACAGAACAAGATACAGCTTTTAGTTGAAGCTGAAACATTATTGGAATTTTCTACCCCCAATATATAAACTCATGCATACTGAAAAGCAAATATTCACAAGGACTGCCTTCATTACTGGTGCTCATGGCAAATGTACAAGCTAAGAGGTGGATGAGGCATGTGCAAGGGTGTCTTTTGTGAAATAAAGGTGAAGTTAAGTTTTCAGGAATGCTCTGTTCCCCACTCCATGTCTGTTCTGGTCTCCCTTCAAGGCAGTACCTGACCAGGTGACCTTCTTACTTAGGTCCAGTGGTTTGGGCAGGAAAGGCAGAGAGAATGTGCCTGGATTCCCCTGTATCTGGTACTGAAATCAGAGCTACGAAGCTGGGAATGGACAAAGAAGCACTGGCCACAGCTAGGATGGCATTCCTGTGGTGTGACCTTGGGGCCTAATCTCTCTCAACCCATTTATGGAATTTCCTCATTTATAAAATTTGGCCAATACCTAATGGGTAATTGTGAGGATTATATAAGGCCAAGAATACAAAGCTCTGGACAGATGTGAGTGCCCAGCAAAAGTGGATTCTTGCCACATTCCTGTTGCTCTCTGGTCCTAGTACTTTGATTTAACCATTTATTTCATTTCCCAGAATAACCAGTTTCTTCTGACATGGGATTCCATTCACAGAAGATAGCAGCGGTTTTCCTACAACTTCCCAATCATGATTATTCTAGTTTTGTTTTGTTTTATTTGGTCACTTTTGGGCCCTGGTGACTCCAGGTGGCCATTCTGGGGAAACCACAGCATTTTGGATCATGGTTTTTTTCCCCATCTTTGAGTAAACACCAAAAGCTTTCTTTACCTTTTATTCCAATTCTTGTTTGCCATCTGGTGCCTGGTTTGGCTGCATCTGTGTTTACTTAATGACTTTAGGCAAAGGCCGAGTTTACATACGGGAAGAATGAGAGGGCTTTGCTGATTCCTTCCATATGTTCATTTATTCATATATTATGATTTTTGTAATCTCACCAGCATAGATCTCTTCAGACAATCCTTACCCTGTTCCCTGGAGAGCTGCTTCTTTGTGTTTGCAGCTGGGAGTTTCTGTGAGAACGTTTTCTTCAATGCCTATTACCTTTAGCACAGCTCAGTGAGGCTTTTAGATGGGCACAAAATTAATATTCTTGAAGGTTCTTCTTTTTGAATAGGGGAGCTTATTTGACTTGGTTGATTCTGAGGACTCAGGAGACCTGGGCTCTAGACTCTTCTTTTACTTTGTAAATGGTATGAATTCAGACAAGTTTTATAACCACTCTGGTCCTCAGTTTGCTCTCGCCCCCATGATTCAATTACTTCCCACTGGGTCCCTCCCACGACATGGAGGAATTCAAGGTGAGATGTGGGTGGGAACACAGTCAAACCATATCATTCTGCCCCTGGCCCCTCCCAAATCACATGTCCTCACATTTCAAAACTAATCATGCCTTCCCAAAAGTCCCTCAAAGTCTTAACTCGTTTTGGCATTAACTCAAAAGTCCACAGTCCAGCGTCACCTCTGAGACAAAGGTAAGTCCCTTCTGCCTATGAGCCTGCAAAATCGAAAGCAAGTTAGTTACTTCCCAGATACAATGGGGGTACAGGCATTGGGTAAATACAGCCATTCCAAATGGGAGAAATTGGCCAAAACAAAGGGGCTACAGGCCCCATGCTAGTCCAAAATCCAGTGAGGCAGTCAAATCTTAAAACTACAAAATGATCTCCTTTGACTCCATGTCTCACATCCAGGTCACACTGATACAAGAGGTGGGCTCCCATGGTCTTGGGCAGCTCTGCCGCTTTGGATCTGCAGGGTACAACCTCCCTCCCAGATGCTTTCATGGGCTGGTGTTGAGTGTTTACAGCTTTTTCAGGCACATGGTGTAAGCTGTCAGTGGATCTACCATTCTGGGGTCTGGAGGTCAGTGCCCTCTTCTCACAGCTCCACTAGACGGTGCCCCAGTAGGGACTCTGGGCTGGGACTCCAACCCCACATTTCCCTTCCACACTGCCCTAGCAGAGGTTCTCCAAGAGGACCCTGTCCCTGCAGCAAACTTCTGCCTGGACATCCAGGCATTTCCATACATCCTCTGAAATCTAGGTAGAGGTTCTTAAACCCCAGTTCTTGACTTCTGTGCACTTGCCAGCTCAACATCATGTGGAAGCTGCCAAGGCTTGAGGCTTGCGCCTTTAGAAGCCATGGCCTGAGCTCTATGTTGGCCCCTTTCAGCCATGGCTGGAGCAGCTGGGATTCAGGGCACCAAGTCTTGAGGCTGCACACAGCAGGGGTACCCTGGGCCCTGCCTACAAAACCACTTTTTCCTCCTAAGCCTCCAGGCCTGTGATGGGAGGAGCTGCCATGAAGACCTCTGACATGGCCTGGAGACATTTTCCCCATTGTCTTGGGGATTAACGTTCGGCTCCTTGTTACTTATACACATTTCTGCAGCTGGCTTGACTTCCTCCTCAGAAAACGAGGTTTTCTTTTCTATTGCATTGTCAGGCTGCAAATTTTGCAAACTTTCATGCTCCGTTTTCCTTTTGAAACTGAATGCCGTCAACAGCACCCAAGTCACCTCCTCAATGCTTTGCTGCTTAGAAATTTCTTCCGCCAGATACCCTAAATCATCTCTCTCAAGTTCAAAGTTCCATAAATATCTAGGGCTTGGGCAAAATGCCGCTAGTCTCTTTGCTGAAACGTAACAAGAGTCACCTTTGCTCCAGTTCCCAACAAGTTCCTCATTTCTATCTGAGACCACTTCAGCTTGGACTTTATTGTTCATATCACTATCAGGATTTTGGGCAAAGCCATTCAACAAGTCTCTAGGGAGTTCCAAATTTTCCCACATTTTCCTATCTTCTGAGCCCTCCAAACTGTTCCAACCTCTGCCTGTTACCAAGTTCCAAAGTCAATTCCACATTTTTGGGTATCGTTTCAGCAGTGCCCCACTCCCGGTGCCAATTTACTATATTAGTCTATTTTCACGCTGCTGATAAAGACATATCCCAAACTGGGCATTTTACAAAAGAAAGAGGTTTAATTGGACTCACAGTTCCATATGGCTGGGAGGCCTCACAATCATGGCAGAAGGCAAGGAGGAGCAAGTCACACCTTACATGGATGGCAGCAGGCAAAAAAAAGAGAGAGAGCTTGTGCAGGGAAATTCCCCCTTATAATACTGTCAGATCTTGTGAGAGTTATCAGCTATCATGAGAACAGCATGGGAAAGACCTGCCCCCATGATTCAGTTACCTCCCACTGGGTCTCTCCCACAACATGGGGGAATTCAAAATGAGATTTGGGTGGGGACACAGCCAAACCATATCAGGGTGTAAGGTCCCAGGGTGTGTGTTTTCCCTTTTCCCAGCTCCTGAGCACAGCATATTTGGGGGAAAAAAATCTAAGAAAGGAGTTCCATCTCCTGCATAATGCATAAATAAAAGAGATGATACTTAAAATGTCATTTTGATTTATTTTTCTATAGTACAGTTGAGACTCAGCTTACTGTGATGGCAGAAACTCTGGAGACAGAGACCTCGTTTTGAAACCTGCCTCTAATCTTACCTGTTTGTGGGTCTGAGCAGCATTCTTAATTTTGCTAAGCTCTGTCTTCCTTCATAAATAGATAAAACAGGAGTCATAGCTGCCTTGTAGAGATGGTGGGTTGAGAAGTAATCACTAATTCTTAGCTCAGTGTTTTGCAAACAGCAGGTGTCACAAATGTTGGTTACCTCTGTGCACAGTGGATTCAATGGTGAAAATGCCACAGGTCTGAGAATGCTCTCATAAGAGTGAACCAACAATACTCAGAGAAGACCACAATATCACCTGGTGTCAAAGCAAGGACTAGAACTTGGGCCTCCTGACTCCCAGGCTGTAAATCTTCCTCATGAGCTAAAGAGGTTGGAGAAAAATGGAAGGTTGGATGTGGTTCTGTGGAGACAAGATGTTAACTAAAGCAGGAAGGAGGCCTAAACCTCTTACCTCAGAGGGCTTGTCTATGGAAAAGGGATTCTCAAGGGGGCCAAGACATGTGTGCAGTCAGTGGGGTGGGGTTGGAGAGGGGGAGAGTGAAGGTTTTTGTGTGCGTATGTGTGTGTGAACGTTCTCGAATCACTGTGAGAAGTCTTCCCATCCCTCTCTCTACCCCTGCCCCACCATCACCTGGTCTTTGTGCCTTGGAGAGTGAAATTCAGAAGAACAAAAATTCTTTTAAGGTTTTTGGATATGACCAGATAGATGAGGCAAGGTTGTGTTTAATAACCTTGGAATCTTTGCTAGTTTATTTGCAGAAACCAAACTTATCTCTGCCAGGTAATTACAAAATAATCTGTCACATTAGAGGCAAGGACAGAGCATAAAAGGATCTTGTCCACAGCCCCTGGGCACCTTGGCCCCCAGGCCTTCTCTGCTCAGAAGCAGGAGGAAGAGCAGTACCACAGAGGTGAGCCCACAACCAGCTCCCGAGGCCTTCCTCTCTCTGTGGGAGGGCAGTCCCTGTCAGAGTCAGAGGGACCAGGGCCATCCCCTCCCCCAGGGGCTGCTTCAGGGCACTGAGAGGGGAGAGGAGGGTCTCGGCATTCCTCAATCACCTCATGTTAGGTTGAATGGTATGTATGTCTGTGTCTATATGCATGTATGCTTCATGTATGTCATAGCTTAGCTGAGATTCAAGGGATGCACAGGTATTAATGGCTGAAGGAGGGGGAAGCATGTGTCTAGCAGAGGAGAGGGCCATACGGAAGGACGAAAAATGACACTTGACTCACGCCTGTAATCCCAGAACTCTGGGAGGCCAAGGTGGGTGGATTGCTTGAGCCAGGAGTTCTAGATCAGTCTGGCCAATGTGGCAAAACCCCGTCTCTACAAAAAAACACAAAAAATTAGCTGGGTGTGGCGGTGCACGCCTGCGGTCCCAGCTACCTGGGAGGTGAGATGGGAGGATCACGTGAGCCCAGGAGGTCAAGGCTGCAGTGAGCTGTTATGGTACCACTGCACTCCAGTCTGGTCACCAGAGCAAGACCCTGTCTCAGAAAAGAACTTATTCATGTAACCATACAACACCTGTTCCCCAAAACCCTACTGAAATAAATAAAAAGAAAAAGAAAAGAAAACTGATACTTGAGGAATGAGAAAGGCTGTGTTGTTGGAGCAGATAAGAGTGAAGGGAAGTGTGGGTGAAACAGAACCAAGAGGCAGGCAGGGCCATACCACGCGGACCCCACAGTCTCCTTTCCAAGGGCCCTGGGAAGCCAGAGCTACTGTCACCCAAAGGCTCTGCTGAGGTCAGCAAGGGCCAGGGGACATCAAGGTGGCTCTCTTATCACCCAGATATGAGAGATGCTCAGGAGGCAGAAAACATGCTTCAGTGACAGACCAGATGAGGGTGTTAGGGAGAGAAAGTTGTTAGAAGTAACTCTTAGATTTCTGGGCTTAGGCATGTGGCCCACTTAGGGGGATGCAGAGTGAGGGTTTGTCCTTACGGCTGTGTGCACAGAGCTCCTGTTTTTAGATCTCACAGGGCTTAATTCAGGGACATGGAGTAACTGAGAAGGAGAACCTCAGCCTTGCCTTGTTCTGAGAACAGCAGCAACAAAGAAAGAAATCAAGAGAAATAATGTTGCAAAAATTCCTCACAGACAAGGCCAAAGCTTACATCAGCCAGTCATGTGGGTTTTAAGCTTGACTATTTAGTAAGAAATGAATTTGTCCTTGTAAGTGTTAGAAGATCTGGCATTTACACCTGAGATGTGAAGGTGCTTGCTTTAAAAAACAAAACAAAACAAAAAAACAAAACAAAACAAAACAAAACAACAGCATAAGTTCTGAATATCCAGTCAGGAAGTTTAAATGCAGCACTGGACAATCAATACAGAGCCTGAGGCTCAGCCCTTCCCACAGAGACATCACCCAGTTTCCCGAGGGTAGTGAGGAGGAGATGGGGCAGGGGACACAAAAATGTGCATCAGGCCAGAAGACATGAGCCCTTTGGAAAGGTCTCGTGTCTTCTGGCTTGATGCACATTTGCTAGGCTTTATGCACAGTCACCATGGCCATCTGGAAACACAGAAACTTTTATTTGGGGGTGCACAGGCCCGGGGACTCCATGAGGAGAGTGTGTAGGACGTGGACAGGGAATTCCAGGGGAGCTCAGTAGGTGTTTAAGGCTGGAAGGGAGATGGAGAGGCCTGTAAGTAGTAGTAGCGAGTAGGGAAACCTGGATTAAACTCAGGCAATCTGGCTCCAGGAGAGAAAGTCCTTTGAAGCAGAGCGAATGAACAGAAGCCAGCAGGACTGAGCAGTAACAATTACGGGGAACAGGGGGAAGGTGCATCCAGGTACTCGGGGGCCATGTGATGGGTTTTGGAATTCTGTCTAAATTCCATGGTGGAAGCTCGTCGCGGGGATTTCAGGGTGCAAGAATTGCATGTTCCTGTGACGTCTCTGGTTCCAGCAGGAAAGCAGCCGGCAGCATGAGACCAGTTAGGAGATACCGCAGTGGTCTAGGTGGGGGCGACAGTGGTCTGCATAAAGTAATCAACTAACCAACTAGCTAAGCTCCTGAATACCTTCCTTCCCTTCCCCTTTCTTGCCCCCCTTTCCTCTATCTGCTTTGGTATCTCTGACCCCCCTTTTCTCTCAGCAGAAGGTAGAGGACAGAGTGATAAGAACTCCACCCTGCTCAGTTTGCCACAACATAGACAGACTTTGCCATTCCTCATCTTCATCTCTGAGGTGCCCTCCCTGCACTTCCCCATTCAGGATCATCCTTTTCTGTGCCTGCATGCTGACAGGGAGCAGCTGCTTGTATCTAGAACAACTCCCAGCTGTTCTTCCAACTTTTCTTAAGTGTTTCTTAGTGTCAATGCCTCTAATTAGTTAAAATAGGAAGGGGGGTGGTAAACAGAGGAGCACAAGAGAGGCCTAATTTTAGCTGTAGCCAAAAGGACTTTCCCCTAAATACACTGTGATCTCAAAATACTTAGCTAAGCCCATATGTACATGGCGGGGAGAGAATTTAAAGAGCTACAGAAGTAAAATTCTCTGGTCAAATGGGACAGCTCTGCCTCTTTGTACAACTGGATTAAAGAGAAAAGGAATGAAAATAAACTGAACCCTCACTCTGTGCCAGGAACTGGACCAGATGCTTTGTGTGCGGCAACTCAGCAATTCATTTAATCCTCACAGCAACTGGATGATGACGGGACTGGTATTACCTCCATTTTACAGATGAGGAAACTGAGGCTCGGTGAGGCTGATGCTACTCTGTGCAAGATGACACAGCTAATGAGAGAGCAGGATTTAAATCTGGGTCTCTCTGGCTTAACTGTATCTAGCAAGAGGAAGATGGGGCCTCAAACCTAGGATAAACAGGGCATTGGGAAGAGAGCTTAAACAGGGATTCGGAGCAGGGGATCAGAGCCAGATTCCAGGGGATTCTGACTCTTAGAACACTCAGAGGCATCATCATAGAAACTAGCAGGACTTACTCAGTGCCTCAACTTTATCCAATCCAGAAATCCCTCCTGGCCCTCACAAGGTATGCTGGAGGAATGACCAGACTGTCACTAACAACTTACAGGTAGATAAATCATATGGAGAATGCCCCCCACCCCCATCTCCTCTTCTCACTTCAGCAAAAAAAGGAAAGACAACAACAAAAAACAACTAACCCCACTGCTTCCTGTAATCAAAGGAATACGAACTGGCTAATCACCCAACCCCCTACAACCTTCTTAAGGTTAGGGGAAAATCTGGGCTCCTTCAGAAAAAAGGCCACCTGATAGGACTCATGGCGTCAGCTTCCTTCATCTCGGTTCATGCTTAAAAGGCCTCTTCACCGGGAAGCTTCCCAGTGAGGTTTTCCACGCACATCTGGACACTTTCCACAATAGGCCTTTGAAGAGGCCTGAAGTATTCCGGGAAAGTCTGCCTCACTGGGCTGAGGTTTAAAGAGCAGAAGCCCACATTTATTTTTCTTTCCCGCCTTCTTTGACAAAACTCCCCTCAGTGGTTTGTGGGCATTTGCAAAGCAGCCCTGATTTTCAGCTTGCTACTTCTAGGGCTGAAATCTTAAAGAAAATGAACAACAATAGAGCAAATTCAAAAGAGCATGGGTATCATCAAAGACTGTTTATGTGTTCTGCTCCTCCACCAGACTCTGAGTCGTGCTTAGTCATCTTTGTAGCAGGGAGAAAATGGACCTTGGCCTCAAGCCGACTTGCTCCATCACTCAGCATTGGTGACATTTTGTCGAGTCACTTAAACTGTCTGAGGCTCAGTTTCCTGACCTGTGAGTTAACAGGGGCCTGCCTTGCGTGGGCTACTAAACGTTCATGAGGTGGGTTAAGTAAATCACTTTGCATGTTGTCCGACATGGACTTTGACAGGTCTGTGCTGTCTCCTTGGCTGGGTCCCTCTCCACTATACAGGCTAACAGCTACTCATTGTTTACAACTCAACTCAGGTGATGGTTTTCTTCTCTGGCAATGCTTTACCTCTACCTCCCTCTTGCTTGGGCTAGATGAGGTATGTGTCCTCAGTGCTTTAAAACTTCCCTATTCTCTGATCTGTGGTTTATTGTTATTTTAGTTGTATGTCCACCATGCCCTGCCCCCACACCACTGTAATAATGTAGGCACCTGATGTCTTTCCACACTAAGCACAGTGCCTGGTATAACAATATGCTCAATGACTGCCAAGAGATTAATTAGTCTATTAGCAACTATTTATTGGCCCGCTTACTTTGAGTCAGGTGCTATTCTGGCTACTGAAGCTGTAGCTATGAATAAAACAGACATGGCCCCTGCTTTCATAAGCTTACATTCCAGTAGGGAAAGTCAGCAAGTACATTAAAGACATGTAGAGACTTGTGGTTATAGCTCCAACATGTAAAAACTGTCTAAGTCATTTATCCCATCCTTACTCCAAAAAAAAAAAAAAAAGCTAAGAAACTGCAAATCAGTGATTTTTGTTGGATCCATAAGAGAACTGAGGTTACAGGACAAACTATCACCCTGAAATCTGAAGAGAAAGGACAACCCAGACAGTCACAGCTGAGATCTTACTTGGAGGAGCAGCTGCTGGAGTCATAAACTGGTAGGGACACTTCAGTGGTAATTTGAAGTGTTGGGGGCTGAGTGTGGACTAATAGGAAAGCGAGCAACTCCTGAGGGTAACAGTCTTAGTGGAAGGGGGCCCACACTTTCATCGGTTTTACCTCCAGGAATCCAAAGAGTCAAGAATGATCCCCTCTTGGCTCTGGCAGGGGGAGGGAAAGCGTAAACACTGTAAAATATTTTTTACAGTGTTTTTCCATAACACAGAGTTCTCCATAATAAAGACCTTTTAAGAGGAAGAGACTTTACAAAAGCCTATTGCACACAGGGGAAGGACATCTCTTCAACTCTAGTGCCTGCAAGCCTTCTGTCTCACCTAAAGGAGTAGGGGCCTAAGAACATCTATGAAGGTCATAGCTCAGGGACATAGTCCCACTAAAAGACAGATATAATCAAAAGATTATAGAATGCTTTTCCTTCCCCATACCTTAAAACCACATCGACATGACCCCAGTATAATATTAGTGAATTACAGCTCAAAGAGCAGCAAGACATAGACTCTATCTAAGGAGGAGATCTTAGGGACGCCAAAGACAATAGTGGGGATGAAAAAATAAGGACAATAGAAGAATGTGAGGCCTCTGGCATGTACAACTATAACAAACATTAAACACAGTTCAATTTCTAACACAAAATGTCACATATAGACCTATTTGTCTCAGTTCCTATTACCAGATACATCATATCCATGTTTCAACAAAATATTAAAAGGCATGCTAAAAGGCAAGAAAAACACAGTCCAAAGAGAGAAAGCAAGAATCAGAACCCAACTCAGATATAACACAAATGTTAGAATTATCAGATAATTTAATGCAACTATGATTAATAAGTGTTCTAATAGAAAAAGTAAACACTATGCACAAACGGACAATGTAACGAGAGACGAAAATGCTAAAAAAGTATCTAAAAGAAATCCTAATAATAATAATAATGATAATAATAATAAAAAGACCAACAGAAACAAAGAAGGCCTTTGATGGCCTTAACAAGGACAAGGAAAGAATCAGTGAATTTGAAGATACATCAGTTAAAAACTTCCCAAACTGATATGCAAAAAGAAAAAAGAATGGAGGGAAACACCCAGGACACCCAAGAAAAATTTCAAAACGTATAACATATGCATGGTTAGAATATGAAGATAACAAAGTGAGAATGGAGCAGAAGAAATATCTGAAGTAATAATGGCTAAGAATTTCCCAAAATAAAGAAGAAACACCAAACAATAGATCCAGAAGTTCAGAGAACACAAAGTAGAATAAATATGAAAATATCGAAAGCTGAGCAAATCATAATCAAAATTAAAACCAAAGACAAAGAGGGAATTTTGAAAGAAGCCAAAGGGGGCAAGAAATCCACCTAATCTATAGAGAAACAAACATAGGAATTACAATGGACTTCTCAGAAAACCGTGTAAATAAAACTAGAATGGAGTAAAATATTTAAAGTATTAAAAGAAAAACCTCACTAACCTAGAATTCTATGCCCAATGAAACTATCCTTCAAACATGAAAGAGAAAGAAAGATATTCTCAAATAAAAATTTATTGAAAGGAGATCTACATTATAAAAAATGTTGAAAAAAAGTTATTCAGAGAGAAGGAAAATGATATAGGTCAAAAACTTGGACCTACATAAAAGAAAAGCATCAGAGAAGAAATAAATGAAGGTAAATGATAATATTTCATCTTTTTACTCTTAATTGATCTATAATTATATGTTTAAAGTAACAATAGTAACAATATATTGAGTAATTATAGCAAATGGATAAATGAAATAAATTACAGCAATGTTATAATGGATAGGAAGGAGGAATTGAAAGTACTTCCTTATAAGGTACCTGCACTACATGTAAGTGGTATAGCGTTATCTGAAGCCAGACTTAGATTAAACATGTATACTACAAACATTAGGGACATTACTACCTTTTAAAAAAAGAAGTATAATTGATATGCTAAGAGAGGAGAGAAAATGAAATCACATAAAATGCCTGATGAATACCAGTGAAAGGCCAAGAGGAAAAAAAGGTAAACAAAGAATAAATGTTACAAATATAAAATAGTTACAAACATGGTAGATAATAACCCAACTATATCAATAATCACTTTAAATGTGAATTGTCTAAATACACTGATTAAAAGAAAGAAATTGCCAGAGATGATTAAAAGAATAAGGCCTACAAAGAAACCCACTTTTAACTTAGACAGGTTATAAGTAAAGGGATGCAGAAAGCTACACAATGCTAACACTAATCAAAATAAAGTTGTAGTAGTTACATTAATTTCAGGCAAAAGAGACATTGGAGACAAGGAGGGGAAAAATAGTAATTTAAATCTAAAGAAAGCAGAAGACAGGTATTGTGATACCTCTGGCCTTGTTCTTTTTGCTTAGAACTGCTTTGGCTATTCAGGCTCTTTTCTGGCTCCATATGAACTTTAGAATAGGCTTTTCTAATTCTGTGAAAAATCATTTTGGTAGTTTGATAGGAATAGCATTGAATCTGTATGGGAAGTATGGCCATTTTAACAATATTGATTGCTCTGATCCATGAGCATGAAATGTTTTGGCATTTATTTGTATCATCTCCAATTTCTTTCAGCAGTGTTTTATAGTTCTTGTAGAGATCTTTCACCTCCTTGGTTAGTATATTCCTAGGTAATTCATTTTAACTGTGAATATTTTCAAAGAACTTAAAACAGAGCTACCATTCAATGTAACAATCCCATTACTGGGTATACATCCAAAGGAAAAGAAATCATTTCACCAAAAAGACACATGCACTCGCATGTTCATTGCCATGCTATTCATAATAGTGAAGACATATAATCAACCTAGGTGTTCATCAATGGTGGACTGGATAAAGAAAATGTGGAACATGTACATCACAGATTACTATGCAGCCATAAAAAAGAAAAAAATCACGTCCTTTTCAACAACGTGGAGGTAGCTGGAGGCCATTATCCTATGCAAATTAATGTAGGAACAGAAAACCAAATACCACATATTCTCACTTGTCAGTGGGAACTAAACACTGAGCAGACATGGACATAAACATGGGAACAAGAGACACTGGGATGTCTAGAGGGGGACAGGAGGGAGGGGAGACATGGGTTGAAAAACTACCTATTGTGTACTATGCTCACTACCTGGGAGAAAGGATCTGTACCCAAACCTTAGCATCACACAATATACCTATGTAACAAACCTATACATGTACTCTTTGTATCTAAAATAAAAGTTGAAATTAAAATTTTAAAAAAGCAGAAGAAATAATAAAAATTAGAGCATAAATCAATGAATTTAAACACAGGAAAGCAATAGAGAAAAATCAATGAAACCAAAGCTGGTTCTTTAGAAAGAGCAATAAAACTGACAAACCTTTAGCCAGGGTAATCAAGATAAAAAGAGAGAAGTTACAAATTACTAACATTGGCAACTAAAAATAATTTAGATGAAATGGACTACTTCTTTGAAAGACAAAAACTATCAAAATTTACACAAGAAATAAATCATCTGAATAGAGCTGTATCCACTAATGAAACTGAATCAATAATTAATTACCTTCCAAAAACCAAAGTGCCAGGCCCAAATGGTTTTTACTAGTGAATTTTAGCAAACATTTAAGGAAGAAATTATACCAGTTCTTTACCATGTCCTCCAGGAAAATAAGCAGAAGAAAAACTTACTGGCTCATTCTATGAGGTCAGCATTACCCTATTACCAAAACCAGACAAAGACATTAAAAAAAGAAAGCCAAAATCCACTCTCTCTCATGAATATAGATGCAAAATATTCTTAATATAATATTAGCAAATCAATCCAACAACGTGTAAAAGGAATTATATACCACAACCAAATACGATTTACTCCAGGTGTACAAGGTTGGTTCAACATTCAAAAATCAGTCAATGTAATCCATTACATCAACAGATTAAATAAAAACAATTATATAATCATGTTGATAAATGAAGGAGAAATATTTCAAAAAAATCTAACAATCATTTTTTATTGTGATTAAAAATTAAAAATTCACAGCAAACTATGAATATAGGGGATTTTCCTCACCTCGATAAAGAACATGTACAAAAAAACTCTACAGCTATTATCATACTTGATGGAAAACTGGATGCTTTCCCACTAAGATCAGGAACAAAGCAAGAATGTCCTTTCTCACCACTCCTATTCAAGACTGTACTGGAAGTCTTAGCTAGTGCAAAAAGACAAAGAAATGAGAAGGCATACATACTGGAAAGAAAGAAAGAAAACTGTCTTTATTCTCAGATGACATGAATGTCTATGTGGAAAATCACAAAGAATGAACAAATCAACCAACCCACCCAATGAGAACACCACCAAATCCTGGAACTAATAAGCAAACAAGTAAGGGTATAGGATACAGGGTTAATATTCAAGAGTCAATTTCTTTCTAGCAATTACCATTGAGGAAAAAATGGAATTTGATTAAGAAATAACACTTAAAATAGCATGCTGCAAAAAAAACAAAAAACAAAAAACAAAAAAAACCCCCACAAAAACACTTAGGTATAAATCTAACAAAAGTACACAGAATCTATATGTGGAAAATTACAAAACTCTGATGAAATAAATAAATTGAATTTTCAGCGAACTATTTTTAAGTATCCATAAAATGATTCTAAAATTTATATGGAAAGGCAAAAGATCTACATTAGTCAACATAATACTAAAGAAAAAGAACAAAGTCAGTGAACTGACACTACCCAACTTCATGACTTACTGTAAAGCTACAATAATTAAGACAGTGTAAGGTTGGGGAAAGAAAAGACAAATAGATCAATGGAACCAAGGAGAGAATCCAGAAATAGACACAAATAGAGTCAACTGATTTATTCCTTTTCCAACTCCTTTGACAAAGGAGTAAAGGTAATTCAAAGGATATAGTGTAATATTTTCAACAAGTCATGTTTGAAATATTGTATGTCCACATGCAAAACAATGAATTTAGACAGTGACATTAGACATTCTGCAAAAATTAACTCAAAGTGGATCACATATGTAATTGTAAAACACAAAACTATAAAACATCTAGAAGATAACAGGAAAAAATTTAGGTGACCTTGGGTTAGGTGATAAGTTTAGATACAAAACCAAAAGCATAATCCATGAAAAAAATTGATAAGCTGGATCACTAAAATTCTAAAACTGCTCTGCAACAGACATTTTTAACAGAATGGAAAGACAAGCCACAAACTAGAAGAAAACACATATCTGATAAAGAAACTTGTATCTGAATATACAAAGAACTCTTAAAATTCAACAATAAGTAAACAAGCAATGTAGTGAAAAAGTAAGCAAAATATATGAACATGTGATTCACCAAAGAAGATATATAGATGGCACATAATATATATAAAGACACTCAACATCATTTGCCATTAAAAATTGCATATTAAAACAGCAGTGACATTCATCTATAAACCTATTAGAATAGCTAAAATAAAAAAACGAACAATGCCAAATGCTAAAAAAGTATGTGGAGCAAGATTCCAATTATGTGACATTTTAGAAAAGGTAGAACTATAGAGGCAATAAAAAGATCAGTGATCGTCAAGGAGTTGGGAAAAAAGGAGGGAAAGTTAAAGAGGTAAAACACAGGGGAATTTTTTTTTTTTTTTGAGATGGAGTCTCGCTCTGTTGCCCAGGCTGGAGTGCAGCAGTGCAATCTCTGCTCATGGCAAGCTCCACCTCCCATGTTCACGCCATTCTCCTGCCTCAGCCTCCTGAGTAGCTGGGACTACAGGCACCTGCCACCATGCCTGGCTAATTTTTTTTTTTTTTGTATTTTTAGTAGACAAGGTTACACTGTGTTAGCCAGGATGGTCTTGATCTCCTGACCTCGTGATCTGCCTGCCTCGGCCTCCCAAAGTGCTGGGATTACAGGCATGAGCCACCATGCCTGGCCAACACGGGGGATTTTTAACTTTAATTTTTTAATTGAGACGGAGTCTTGCTCTGTTGTCCAGGCTGGAGTTCAGTGGCACAATCTTGGCTCACTGCAAACTCCACCACCCAAGTTCAAGCGATTCTCCTGCCTCAGCTTCCTGAGTAGCTGGGATTACAGGCCCCTGCCACCATGCCTGGCTAATTTTTGCATTTCTAGTAGAGACGGGGTTTTGCCATGCTGGCCAGGCTGGTCTTGAACTCCTGACCTCATGTGATCTGCCTGCCTAGGCCTCCCAAAGTGCTGGGATTACAGGTGTGAACTACCATGCCCAGATGGGATTTTTAACTTTTAGGGTGCTGAAACTATTCTATATGATATTGTAATTGAATATGCATGACATTATGCATTTATCAAAACCACTGAATGTTAGAGTACAAAAAGTAAACCTTAATGTACGTAAATTTTAAAAATTCAGGAGGTGGGGGATCCCATGATGGAATGTAGTATGTCAAAAACAATGTAACTGTGTTACTAGTGTATAAAACGATCTCACTCTGTGTGGTGGGTGATTAAGGTGCTGACCTAAGTAACTTCAGAAATTAGTAGAGTCTGAAAAACTAAAGATAAAAAAACCCCCAACCACCCCCCCCCAAAAAAAAACAAGAAAATGCCAAGAAAACTGTATATAAGTACTGTCTTCCAGTTAATAAAGTTGTATTCTGCAATGGTATGAGTTAACAATTCTGGTATTTCTATACATGTATACTGAAATTGAATAATTAAGTAAATGGATGGCAGATGGTGGGAGCCAGATTTCTCATTATTTGAGGGGGAATTTAAATATAAGCAAGGAGAGCGAGTTAGAATGATCCATGTGGCAATAGATTACAGTAGGAAACCAGTGTGAATTCATGTTTAGCTTAATATCAAAAAGATGATTACATACAGAAATATTTATAGATATGGGTATATACATGGGTTAGGGTACATACACATTTCCTTGCTCTTTCAGCTGGGAGGGCCAAGAAGCATTGACAATAGCCCAAGAGCAATGAGCACACTTAGTGCCCAAATCTTGGTGTCTAACCACCAGTCTCCAGTAACAAGAAGCAGACTCTGGCCAGGCACAGTGGCTCATGTCTGTAATCCCAGCACTTTGGGAGGCCGAGGTGGGTGGATCACGAGGTCAGGAGATTGAGACCATCCTGGCTAACATGGTGAAACCCCGTCTCTACTAAAAATACAAAAAAATTAGCCGGGCATGGTGGCGGGTGCCTGTAGTCCCAGCTACTCGGGAGGCTGAGGCAGGAGAATGGCATGAACCTGGGAGGTGGAGCTTGCAGTGAGCCAAGATCGTGCCACTGCACTCTAGCCTGGGTGAGAGCAAGACTCCGTCACACAGACAAAACAAAACAAAACAAAAAAAAGAATCAGACTCTTTGGAGAAATGGCTGATTCCAGAACTGGAGCAGGAAATATGCACAATTAGCCTAAAGTGCCTTGTAGTGCCAGAAAGTAAGAATATAATAATTTTTTAAAACCTCACAAGACACACAATTACGGGATTATGTCAAAGGGTCATAGGAGCCAACTGAGGAGTTGCCAATGGCTACAACTGGAACAACTGAGTAACAAAACAAAGTAGTACTGGATTATAACCAAAAATATAAATATGTATGAGTTATCAGATGAATGAGTGAATAAATAAATGAGAAGAGACAAATCTCCCAAACAGCATAATTCCAAATTTATGTAGATATTCCTCCCACGAGGAGGTAGATCGTAACTTACTTCTCACTCACTCCTTAAGTTTGAGATGTGTTTAGTGACTTCTTTCCAAAGAGTACAGTGTAAAAAGGAAGGAGAAAGAGTAATTTTATAGTGGAGAAGCCTGACAAACACTACCTTAGGTGACCAAGGCCAACATCAATAGCGATAAGTTACACTGATAGTAAGTATCCTTGATATGATATGATGAGAATGGTACTTTGTCAGTCTTCTGTTTTCTCCCAAAAGACCAAAACTCCAATCATGAAAAAAAAAAAAATTAGACAAATCTCAACTGAAGGACATACTACAAAGTATCTGACCAGTACTCCTCAAAAATGTCAAGGTCATCAAAAGCCAGAAAAGCTTAAGGAGACATGATGACTAAATGTAACGTGGTGTCCTGGAAGGGATGCTAGAATAGAAAAGGGATGTTAGGTAAAATCTAAGGAAATCTGCATAAAATATGTGCTTTAATTAACAAAGGTCTCGCTTTGCTTCTATTACTGTGCTCACAAAACAAGTAAACACTATTGGATATTGCTGTCCTCAGGGAATCTGCAGAAGTCTGTGAATGTTGATACAAGTTGGTTAATCTTGGGCCCAGCTAATGCTAACTTGTTCAGTTACCTGTCAGGTGTCTTTCACTCTGTTTAAAAATACATTGCATTCCAAACTGGTGAACAAATAAAATAAAATAATAATAATGTATCAATACTGGTTCATTAATTGTAACGAACGCACCATACTAATGTAAGATGTTAATAATAAAGGTAACTAAGTATGTGGTTTAGAAAAACTCTCTGTATCTGCTGGGTGTGGTGGCTTATGCCTGTAATCCCAGCACTTTGGGAAGCCAAGGCAGGTGGATCACTTGAGGTCAGGAGTTCGAGACCAGCCTGACCAACATGGTGAAACCCTGTCTCTACGAAAAATACAAAATTAGCCGGGTGTGGTGGTGCACGCCTGTACTCCCAGTTGCTTGGGAGGCGGAGGCAGGAGAATTGCTTGAACCTAGGAGGTGGAGGCTGCAGTGAGCCAAGACTGTGCCACTGCAATCCAGCCTAGGCAACAGAGCAAGACTCCGTCTCAAAAAAAAAAAAAAAAAAACAAAGGAAAGAAAAGAAAAACTCTCTGTATCATCTTCACAATTTTTCTGTAAATATAAAACTCTTCTAAAAATAAAGTTTATTAAAATAAAATATATGGTCATGTTTATCAAAATAACACATAAGTTCATGCACATATATCACACAGATGGTGGTAAGTACTAGGGAGAAAAAAACATCAAGTAGGGCAAGGGGGACAGAGAATGGTAGGCGTGGAGCAGGCAGTTTGTATAGGGTGACTAGGAATGGCATCTCTCTGATAAAATGACATTTGAGCAGAGATCCAAGGGAATGAGGGAGTGAACAATGAAAAAATCAACGGAAAGATGATTCCACACGGAGGGAACTGTAAGCTTGAAAGCCCTGAGTTGGAAGTGTGCTCAGTGAATGGAAAGAGAGCAACGAAGCCAGACCTGCTGGGGCAGTTTGGGCAAGTGGCAGAAGGAGATGAAATTAGAAAGGGAGTGAGCACCAGGCCAGGAGGGCTTTGCAGGTCCTGAAAAGAACTAAATAAATGAATGAATAAATAATATGAGTGGAAACTTCCTCCTAAAGTTTATTCTAGGTATTCCAGCCTTTTTTTAAAAGTCATCCTTCATAATATACCTCCCTCCCCCAGGCAGGCACAAGTATTCATCATAACAATAAGAAAATCAATCTTAGCTGCAATTGTTACAACAAGACCCTCTAGTCTCCTGGAAGATGCCTAAGGCATGTCATCTCCTTTCCGAAACAAAATTTGAGTCTGTTTCTAGACAGGCAAAGTGAAATGAAGGCTTGAGGCCAATTTTTCACATAATTTAATATATACATATATAAAACTCACATATGCCTGAAATCTTTAGATAATGGAAAGAAAAGTGGATTTTCCTCTCTTCATTATTAAAGTAATTGGCTCAACCTCTCATTTCATTTTGCACATGTAGGCACAACCGAGTCTGTAATTAGTTTCAAACCACCAAAGTAGAAACAGAATAAAACCTCAGCTAACTGAAGGACCTTTTTTTCCCCCTGACATACTTGGCTTTCAATGGCTACAGGCATAAGGCATGAATCCGAAAGCAAGATCATGACTGGGACTTGCTTAAAAAACAAAATAACTTGCAAAGCATGCATTGGGTGAGTTCACTATGAGCCCCTTACCTGTTGCCTTTTCTATCTCTATTTTCAGTCCCACATAATGAGAGAAGGTATCCTGAATGATGATGAAATCCCCAGTAATCAGAGGAGAGACCCCAGGCTCATTGCTGGCATGCTAACAAAGGCACGAGAACACTCACCTCTTACAGAGATTTTTACCAATGAGGAGGAAATCACACCACTTTGCTCTGACCTTGACTTTAACAAGAAAGTTATATAAAGGCATTCTACTACATGGGAGTAAATTGTCGATCTCTCAATAGTGGGGACTTGAACTTAAAATATTTTGGTTTATTTAAGGGTGATGCATGCCACACTCAATCACAGGTCATGTCTTTTTGGGGATAACCTCTCTGAACCTCAGTTTTTTCATCTCTAAAATGACAATTATAATTTCTGCCAACTTGCAAGGCCCTTATCAATATTAAATGAAAGAATGTTCCTAAAATGCCTAGAACAGTGTCTGGCCTATAGTAAGTGATTAACATGCACCGCTCTTTTTTATAAACATAATTATACATCCCATATTTGCACTCAGCATGGATCTGGAGAAATGCAGGCTCTCGATAAATGTTTGTTGAATAAATAACTGTCTGAATGAAATGTCTCCAGAAAGTCTTAAAAGATACTTTAATAATATTTAATATAATGCTGATAATAACTATCATTTATTGAGCATCTACTGCTTGTCACATGCTGTGACATATGCTCACATATATCATTTCACAGAATTCTCATGATTACCTAGTAATGTGGGCCTTTTTTAGCTCCATTTTACAAATGAGAAACCGAGGTTGAGAAAGGTTAAGTAATTTCCCTAGGATGACATGGCTAGCAAGTGGCAGAACTGGATTTTTAACTCATATCCTTCTGATTCCAGAGGCCATGCTCTTAACTGCTGTAGCATCCTGTGCAGTATTTAAAACACTTAAAAAAAAAAGTTCTGTTGACTTCTTTGTTAAGAAAGACTCAATTAGGGTGAAGAGGTCTTCCTGCTTCTTCCCAGAATAGCCTCATCTTGTTGGATTGGCAGCTCCTAGGCTAGGAACAGGTGGGACCAGTAAAGCTGCCAGGGACAGGCCCTTGAGAAGGTGGCTGAACACACTGTCCAGTCCCTTTCAAAGTCTAGTGGGGATGGCTCTCACACAGGCTGGCAGGGTGGATCCTGGGTGTTGAGCTGGGGTGTGACCTTGAACAAAAGAGGTATAAGTACCCCAGGGGCAAAAGTCAATTGTTCTGAGAAGGAAGCTGGTGAAGTGGTCCTGGGTGCCAGTTATAGGGGGGTCAGGAAGCTAAAGCTAAGGGCACTGGGAGTGGCCATGAGCCAGGAGGCCAGGGGCTGAGAGTCTGGGGGAAAGTAGTGAAAGCCTCAGACAGGCTGCAAGCAATACCACGCTTGGCAAGGGGCCTTTGTAGTGCAAGGTCTCTGACCCCATGGTATACAGCGGGGAGTGTCAATGTGTAGGTGAAGGGGTGGTATGGGACAAATTCAACCTCAGAATGCTCCTCTGGGTAAACTCACTTTGGAAGAGGGACAAGTGACAAGCTTACAAAGAACCATCATCATATCACCATCCCAGGAGTTGGCAGAGGGCAAGTCGCTAATGCATGGGTGTGCCTGCTATGCCACTGGTGGTAGTGGAGAGCCTCACATGCTTCTATCTGGAACAAGTTGTGTTTAACAAACATTTGTAGAGAGCCACCCTCTGCCCCATGCCAGGCTCTGTAGGAACTGCAAGAAACAGAGGTTAGGAACTGGTTGGTGGCTCTCCTGGAGGGAGTCACCGTCTAGAAGGCAAGCCCTTTATTACTACCAACCACGAGCTTGGCTGATCTACCTCCTTAGTTTTCCTACTGAATCAGAGAAGCCTTATATCTATCATAATAATGTGTTAATAAACAGGAGGAGGTTTATGGTTGTAAAATGCTTTCACACCAACAGGAGGCAGTGTGATCTGATAGAAAGAATGTCTGGATCAGAATTAGGAAGACCTAGTTCAAATGCCAGCGTAACAGTTTGTTTAGTTGTTTGATCTTTAGTCAAATCCCTTATGGTCTTGGACCCACAGTCTCATCATCTGTAAAACTGGGCTCGTAACACCTATCCTGTTTTCTCCTGAGAGGTAATGTGACAGTAAGTAAGAGCATGGACTCAGGGGCCAAACTGCATGGGTTCAAAGTGTAGTTTCTCTACATACCAGCTGTGTGACCATAGGTGTGTTACTTAACCTTTTCTGTGCCTCAGTCTCCCCAGCTATACAAAGAAGATGATAATACCCCCAATCTAATAGGGTTTCTCTGAAGACTAAATAAGTTAATATATGTTAAGCGATTAGAAGAGAAATTAGAAAGTGCTGGCACACAGAAATACTTAAGTGCTATTGATGGGAAGACACAATATATTGCATAACTCAATCAGCATATAATTCTTGCCTTTTCCGTCCTTCTTCACATAGTGCCAGTAGCCGTGAGACTAGGACTTGAGCCTAAATCTCCATACTTCAAGTCTTATGTCCCTCAACTATGACTAAGTGGTAAGACTTAAGCAGTGCTGGTCATGGCCTTCTCAATCTACATGTGTGCCTTCTCTTCTTGGCATAAGTTCTTCAGCCATCCCAAACCCAAGCTCTGGGTGTTCATCCCAGGATTGCCTCTCCATCGAATATCACACTTCTGGGTTCACACGATTTCCTCCTTCCTGTCTTTCCCATCCGGCCTTTGTTGAAAGAACTGATCCTTTTCATTATGGTATCCTATGCTCTAAACCATGCCATAGCTGCCCATTGCCTGTGGTGGGCAGTATCAGAGTGGTCCAGGTAGTGTAAGGTCTTTAATTCATGGCACTTTCCATCTGAGTCCATGGGGAATTGTTTATAGGTAACAGTATTAGAACAAGCAGAACCTATGATTATATTAAATGGGTTTATAGGGTATATAGATTACCCTATAAAATCTCAACGACAAGCACATGTATCCAAGGAAGAACGTAACAACACAAAAGCTCTGCACTGTTGAACTAAGTAAGCAGAATATTTCTAATTTTCCCATCAACCTTTGATTGCTATAATCTAAGCCTCAATTTTCATATCTGTAAAACAGGATGATACCTACATCACAGAATGGACAAGGAGGGTTAAGGGCGAGCATATGTGAAATGTGTGTGGTCAGCAATCCTGCAACTAAGTGTTATGATGATCACTATTGTTATTCTGAAACCCAGGTACCTCTCTCTGGCCTTCAAAATCCTGTAGAATCTGTCACCACATTATTTACTCATTCTGATTTTCTACAGTTCCCAGGGATTTGCTGATTCTGTCCGTCTGAGAGCTCTCACTTCCATTTCTGCAGGAAATCTGTGGTTCCTTTTCCCGCTTCCATCATGCCTGAATCTGAGCCTCTCCTTTTTAAATTCAGTCTGTCATTCAAGGCACAGTTCACATTTGACCAGGAAACTTGAGAGCCCTCCCCTCCCCTGTCCGCTCTCTTGTTCCCAGCTCTCTGAATTCACACTCACTTACTGTCTGTACTAAATAACTTACTTTAAAATGCCTGCTGTTGTCTCAGTATTTTGGTTTTGTCTCCCTAATTAGATTGTAATCCTTTCTCAAGCAGCCACTGAGATTCTTTTTTCTTTGATGCTAGTTTGCCGCATAAAACAAATGTTCCAAAAGTTCCTAGCAACGTTTCCTCTGAGGGTCCCCAAATGGAGTGCAAAGATTCCTGGGAGCTCAGAGATCAAGATGTAGTTTCTTCATCTTTTAAATGAAAATAATGATACCAACCTCATAGAGTTGTTGGATAGACTGAGATCATGGGCATAGAATTGGCCAGAAATATGCTTAACTGAATTATCTTGCAGAAGAAAAGCAAAAGGTAACTGGAATTGATAGGAAACTGGGAAAGGAGGTAAAAAGAAAGGGAATACCATGCTAATAAAACAGATGTATTAAGTATCTCCTGTGTGCTAGGTACTATGCTAGGCATTTCATATATATTATATATAAGATACTGGTGACTAACACAAGTTCTGGAGTCAGGCTGTTTGATTCAAATCCTAGTCCTACCTGTTACCAGCTTTGTGGCCCCAGCTAACCTACTTAAAATAGGTTTTAATACCTTTGGCTTATTTCCTTCATCTTTAAGTTGAGATAATTTAAAGCAGAGGCAAACTTTTTTCTATGAAGGGCCAGATAGTAAGTATTTTAGGTTTTATGGGCCATTTGGTCGCTGTCACAATTATTTAACTCTGCAGTTGTAGCACAGTAGCAGCCATAGGGTCTATGTGAATGAATGGATGTGATTGTGTCTCAATATAACTTTATTTTCAAAAACAGTCAGTAGGCAAAATTTGGCCTGTGGGGAGTAGTTTGCCAATCTCCAATATAGAATCTATTTCCTTAGGTCTGTATGAGGATTAAAAAGTTAACATAGACTGTGCTCTTAGCACAGTGCTCTGCACATAGTAATTACTCAACAAATGTTGGCTGTTGTGTATATAATGGACCCATGGAATAGGTGTTAGTATGTCCCTTTACCGGGAAGCAAACTAAAGCTCAGAAGTAACTGAACAGTTTCTCCAAGATCTGACATCTCATAGTGGCAGAGTCAGACTTAGAGCACAGGCTTGACTGACTCTAAAACCAGTAGTTTTCTCAGCCATTTTTAGCCAACTTAAAGTTTGTATTAGAACCAAGACCAAATTTCATTGACCCAAGGGGAACCAAGTGTTTCGGGACTTGACTTAGACACTGGCAACCTATCAATTGATTAAATTGGGCTGCGGATCCCAATGAATGTTGCTGGAAAGCACACAACTTTTTGCCTTTGAATCCTGATTCCAGTCAGTAGGGAACAGGTGTGGAATTCATGTTCACCACCCTCTAAGGGTACTCACAGTCTTAGCCTTCCTTGGTCTCAGCATTGGTTTTTTATGGTACCAATGGATCAGCTGCTTTTGGTGAGCTCTAATTAAGTGCACAAATAGGGCAAGCTTCCCAAATCCCACATTAGTTCTGCTTTGGAATGCCAGAACTTTTCTACCATGGAAAAATGCTTCATGCCCTGACTCTTAACAAACCCAGCAAGTTCAAATGCATTTCTGGGAGGGACAAGAATCCCAAGCTGTTATGTGAGAAGGCAACGAAAGAAAGGGCTTTTCTTGAAAGGGGGAAACAAAGGGCATCCAGAAATGTCACCAAAATGCCCTGCAAACTCTCAAGCTTGCTCCAAGTTGTTCTTTGAAGGCCTCGGAAGTATGATGCATGTAACTCTTTCCTGGGTCAAGGATAGCATACTTAAACCTGAGAATCTGAAGCCAGTATCAGCAAAGATTTCTTTTCATATGTCAAATACAAGGAATAAAAAGGAAAAATAACTCATGCTAAATGGCACAGACTTTGTAACTTTCAAAACTCTCCACCTATTTGACTTGTTATTTCTCTCTCCTCTTCCTCTTTTCCTCATTTTCTTCCTTCTCCTCCTCCTTTTCTTTTCTACACTCACTCCAAAGTCCCATCTAATAACTGCTTGATTCTAGGGGGACTCTCTGGTACTGTAGCTGAGAAGACATAGTAATGGTTGTTTTTATGCATGTGAATTTAACAGCAATCAGCTGTTTGTTTTATATTTAATTCCACATGTGCCAGAGTAAAACCATTTAGGCTATAATCCCCCAAAGACACCACATGTCTGTCTATTCCCAGAGTTCAGTGGACCATTGTGTTGACATATTTTCCCTCATCAAAGGAAAGAAACTAGCTTGGCCTTCAACTTGATGCTCCCAGAGACAAAGCAATGATGGAAGCCACAAAGATTCACCCACCACTAGGTCTTTGAAGTCCCAGATCTAAGTAGATCCTACAGGCTTCATGCTGGCACCCAACCCAGGCCTCTGGTAAGACAGACATAATCCTTCCACTGGTCACCATGGCTTCCTGCCCAGGGAAAGAGCAGGCTCTTTGGGACTTTCTAGCTCAGGAGAGCTGAAGGGGCCTTCATTTAAGGTGGCCATAGTTTATTATCCCAATGAACTCACCTTTGAGTCCTAGACACTTTTTGGAAGGAAAGGGAATGTTATTATTAATAATTATGCCAAGATTAAGACATTAGCTAGGTCTGTCCTGGATATATTATCACCCTTCCACTTCATTTCCAAGGAGCTGCTGATGGTTTGGAGAAATGATTGTCATTGGGCACTTCTCTCTTAATGATGGTAAGAAACAGAAGTTTCAGACTTCAAATTTTGATTTTAATGCCTCTATTCTGTGTTGCTTCTTCTGAAAGATTCTACCAGATGTTTTAGACTTCCAAAAAGCAAAGATATACCTAGAAAATACTGAAGTATGCAACAAATACTAATTGTATCCAGGGCGGAAGCCTTTCTGATGATAGTGAAAGGGGAAGAGGTTCCAGCCCCACATGTGGGAAGGGCCATCTTCTTGAAAGTCTTAGAGTAGGAGTTCTCAAACTTTGGACCAATAAAATATTCAAACTTTTTGGAGATCTACAACATAATTGTCAGCTTTTTATTTGATTATATAAGGACTTTAAACAAAGCAACTGCTCCATATTTACTCTCACCATTATTTCATAACCAAAAGGAGATTTTAATACCAAAAAAGTGGTTATCATGATATCAGAATAAAGGAGAATCATTTAAATAGTCTACATTTAATTTTGTTAAAATCTCAATACCCTGTCCTTATTGTTTCATTTCTCATGGACTAGTGAAGCTTTGTGAAGGACCTGCAGTGGGGACCAGCTGCACGAGTGTGTCACCCATTAAATTGGTGCCAGTAGAGTGGGGTGTTGCTGAAAAGATACCCAAAAATGTGGAAGCGGCTTTGGAACTGGGTAACAGGCAGAGGGTAGAACGGTTTGGAAGACTCAGAAGAAGACAGGAAGATGTGGGAAAGTTTCGAACTTCCTAGAGACTTGTTGAATGGCTTTGACAAAAATGCTGATAGTGATATGAACAATAAAGTCTAGGCTGAGGTGGTATCAGACGGAGATGAAGAACTTGT
The DNA here is from genome assembly GCF_000001405.40 of Homo sapiens. NCBI lineage: Eukaryota > Metazoa > Chordata > Mammalia > Primates > Hominidae > Homo > Homo sapiens. The sequence goes on along the minus strand of NC_000001.11, from coordinate 59,713,176 downwards.
GGGAATGGGAGCAAAGGTGACTCTTGTTATGTTTTAGCAAAGAGAATGGTGGCATTTTGCCCCTGCCCTAGAGATTTGTAAAACCTTGAACTTGAGAGAGATGATTTAGGGTATCTGGCATAAGAAATTCCTAAGCAGCAAAGCATTCAAGAGGCGACTTGGGTGCTACTAAAGGCATTCAGTTTCAAAAGGAAAACAGAGCATGAAAGTTTGCAAAATTTGCAGCCTGACAATGCAATAGAAAAGAAAATCCCATTTTCTGAGGAGAAATTCAAGCCGGCTGCAGAAATTTGCATAAGTAACGAGGAGCCAAATATTAATCCCCAAGACAATGAGGAAAATGTCTCTAGGGCATGTCACAGGTCTTCATGGCAGCCCCTCCCATCACAAGCCTGGAGGCCTAAGAGGAAAAAGTGATGTTGTGGGCCGGGCCCAGGATCCCCATGATGTGTGCAGCCTAGGACTTGGTGCCCTGCGTCCCTATAGCTTGGCCTGTGGCTTCAGAGGGTGCAAGCCTCAAGCCTTGGCAGCTTCCATGTAGTGCTGAACCTGCCAGTGCACAGAAGTCAAGAATTGAGGTTTGGGAACCTCTGCCTAGATTTCAGAAGATGTATGGAAAAACCTGGATGCCCAGGCAGAAGTTTGCTATAGGGGTGAGGTCCTCTTGGAGAACCTCTGCTAGGGCAGTGCAAAGGGAAATGTGGTGTCAGAGCCTTAACACAGAGTCTCTACTGGGGTACCGCCTAGTGGAGCTGAGAGAAGAGGGCCACCGACCTCCAGATTCCAGAATGGTAGATCCACTGATGGCTTGCACTGCACGCCTGGAAAAGCTGCAAACACTCAATGCCAGCTTGTGAGGGCAGCTGGGAGAGAGGTCGTACCGTGCAAAACCACAGGGGCAGAGCTGCCCAAGATGATGGGAACCTACATCTTGCATGAGTGTGACCTGGATGTGAGACACAGTCAAAGGAGATCATTTTGTAGCTTTAAGATTTGACTGCCTTGCTGGATTTTGGACTTGCATGGGGCCTGTAGACCCTTTGTTTTGGCCAATTTCTCCCATTTGGAATGGCTGTATTTACCCAATGCCTGTATCCCCATTGTATCTAGGAAGTAACTAACTTGCTTTTGATTTTACATGCTCATAGGCAGAAGGGACTTGCCTTGTCTCAGATGAGACTTTGGACTGGGGACTTTTGAGTTAATGCTGAAATGAGTTCAGACTTTGGGGGATTGTTGGGAAGGCATGAGTAGTTTTGAAATGTGAGGACATGAGATTTGGGAGGGGCCAGGGTGGAATGATATGGTTTGGCTGTGTCCGCATCCAAATCTCATCTTGAATTCCCCCATGCTGTGGGAGGGACCTGGAGGGAGATGATTGATTCATGGGGGTGGGTCTTTCCTGTGCTCTTCTCATGATAGTGAATGGGTCTCGCAAGATCTGATGGTTTTAAAAATGGGAGTTTCTCTGCACAAGCTCTATCTTTGCTTGCCGTCATTCATGTAAGATGTGACTTGCTCCTCCTTGCCTTGTGCCATGATTGTGAGGCCTCTCCAGCCACATGGAACCTCTTTCTTTTGTAAATTGCCCAATCTCGGGTATGTCTTTATTAGCAGCATGAAAATGTACTAATACACCCGTGCAATGCACAGAGCTCTATCCAGAAAGAGCCCAAGCTGGGCATTAATTGTTTGCAGTCAATTTCTTTCAATTCTTTCTTTGTTGTTGTTTTTTAAATTATACTTTAAGTTCTGGGATACATGTGAAGAACATCCAGGTTTGTTACATAGGTATATATGTGTCATGGTGGTTTGCTGTACCCACCGACCCGTTGTCTACATTAGGTATTTCTCCTAATGCTATCCCTCCCCTTCCCCCGACTGCTTGACAGGCCCCAGTCTGTGATGTTCCCCTCCCTGTGCCCATATGTTCTCATTGTTCAACTACCACTTATGAGTGAGAACATGTGGTGTTTGGTTTTCTGTTCCTGTGTTAGTTTGCTGAGAATGATGGTTTTCAGTTTCATCCATGTCTCTGCGAAGGACATGAACTCATTCTTTTTTATGGCTGCATAGTATTCCATTGTGTATATGTGCCACATTTTCTTTATCCAGTCTAACATTGATGGGCATTTGGGTTGGCTCCAAGTCTTTGCTATTGTCAATAGTACTGCAATAAAAATACATGTGCATTTGTCTTTGTAGTAGAATGATTTATAATCATTTGGGTATATATCTAGTAATGGGATTGCTGGGTCAAATGGTATTTCTAGTTCTAGATCCTTGAGGAATCGCCACACTGTCTTCCACAAAGGTTGAACTAATTTATATTCCCAAAAACAGTGTAAAAGTGTTCCTATTTCTCCATATCCTCTCCAGCATCTGTTGTTTCCTGACTTTAGTGATCACCATTCCAACTGGTGTTGAGACGGTATCTCTGTGGTTTTGATTTGCATTTCTCTAATGAGCAGTGATGATGAACTTTTTTTCATATGTTTGTAGGCCACATAAATGTCTTCTTTTGAAAAGTGTCTGTTCATATTCTTTGCCCACTTTTTGATGGGGTTGCTTTTTTCTTGTAAATTTGTTTAAGTTCTTTGTAAATTCTGGATATTAGCCATTTTTCAGATGGATAGATTGCAAAAATTTTCTCCCCTTCTGTAGGTTGCCTGTTCACTCTGATGATAGTTTCTTTTGCTGTGCAGAAGCTCTTTAGTTTAATTAGATCCCATTTGTCAATTTTGGCTTTTGTTGCCATTGCTTTCGGTGTTTTAGTCATGAAGTCTTTGCCCATGCCTATGTCCTGAATGGTATTGCCTAGGTTTTCTTCTAGGGTTTTTCTGGTTTTAAGTCTTACATTTAAATCTTTAATCCATCTTGAGTTAATTTTTGTATAAGATGTAAGGAAGGGGTCCAGTTTCAGTTTTCTGCATACGGCTAGCCAGTTTTCCCAACACCATTTATTAAATAAGGAATCCTATTTTATCTTTGAATCTGTGTTTTATAGGTGAAAAATTGATGGAACAATGGGGCTAGTCTCCAGGGCCAGTTCTTGGCCATCCACTCCCTGTCTTCTGCTGCCCCATCCCACTGCTGACCACACATCTGTGAGTTGGTGGCAGGGTTACATGGCTAGGGGTGGGGGCATGTTTTGCTCTTGCTCTTCTCCTCATAAAGATGAGCATAGGTGTGGAAAGAGTCAGGCCAGACATTGGGCCCCCTGTGTCTCAGGGTGGGTCAAGGCAGTGACCCCAGCTGGCTACCACTGCCATGGAGTGTCAGGCTGACAACACACAGAGGGGTTCCATGTAGAATTTGGAAAGCCTTGGAAGTCACCTGTCAGCCATAGGTTGAGACAGAAGGCCTGTTGGAAGGAGTGACTTTCCTGTCCCTGGTCAGGGACCTACATTTTCATTTTGCACTGGGTCCCACAAATTGGGGGATATACAAATTGTAGCCAGCCCTGCCTGCAGTGGCCCTCCAGTGACATTTGAGAACTACTGACCTAACTGATAGGTGCTTGCCTCTAAATGTTTCCTCCGCTCCTCTCACTTGCAAGTAGATTCCTTGTGTGATGGCTGTGGCATGCTGACAGCCACTTCATTCTTGGCCTGGACTGGGTGGCTAATTGTCCACCTGTGGGCGGCATTTCATAGTTTGGAAAGCACTCTTCCAGTGTGTGTGTGTGTGTGTGTGTGTGTGTGTGTGTGATATAGTTTCATTCTGTGTCTCCACCTAAATCTCATCTCAAATTGTAATCCCCACGTATTGAGGGAGGGACCTGGTAGGAAGTGATTGGATTATGGGGGTGGTTTCCTCATGCTGTTCTTGTGATAGTGAGAGAATTCTCATGCCAGCTGATGGCTTAAAAGTGGCAGTTTCCTCTGCACTCACTCTTTTTCCTGCTGTCTTGTGAAGAATGTGCCTGCTTCCCCTTTACCTTCCACCATGATTGTAAGTTTCCTGCGGCCTCCCCAGCCATGTGGAACTGTGAGTCAATTAAACTTGTTTTGTTTATAAACTACCCAGTCTCAGGTAGTATCTTTATAGCAGTGTGAAAATGGACTAATACAGAGTGAGGACGTGTATGCGCGCGCGCGTGTGTGTGTATGTGTGTGTATGAACACATATATTCATCTCACTTTCTCTTACTTGGCAAACTTGAAACAGCTTAAACAGGTTTAGTTTAAAAGGTTGAGCCCTTATCCAAAATTCTAGGAATCAGAAGTATTTTTAATTTTGGATTTTTGAATGTTTGTATTAAATAATTACTGGTTGAGCATCCCTAATCCAAAATCCAAAACTGGAAATGCTCCAATGAGCATTTCCTTTGAGCATGACATTTGGGTGTCATATCAGTGCTCAAAAAGTTTCAGATTTTGGAGCATGTTGGATTTAGATTTTCAAATTAGCGCTGCTCAACCTGTACTTTGGATTTTTCAGACAAATCTAGGTACAGGTCCCAACTCTCTCCCTTTCTGATTCCATGGCTTTGAGAACGTGAATTACCTTTCTAGAAATCTAGTTCCTCATTTGCAAATGAAGATAATAATATCTACCCACCTCACATAACCTCCTTTAAAGATTAAGTCTGGTTATATAATTAGAGTTCAGCATGTATCAGGTGATCAATTACTATTTGTCCCTTTCCTCTTTCTCACCTGCACCTTAGAGATTGAGAATTGACACTTGGGTAGGCAATGTCTTAACCAAGGAGACCCACTTAATAGGGGCCGAGCCTGGTATTCCCCTGGTCTAGGGTCCCTTTCATTGTTCAAAAGGCAGCCCAGTTGAAGTAGGGAAAAGCTCTGAAATAGGTAAACAGCAGTAACTCTGGAAATCTGGGAGTCTGATTCTTAGGGAATGAAAATTGAGCACATTAGACTGGTTAGTTCTGACAGATGAGGAAAAAAAAAATGAAATGGGAGGAAAAGAATAGATGGGAAAGGTAGAAAGCACCAAGGGCAAACATAACCTCCTTCCCATTTCTAACACATTGCAGTCCCTCCCTTTAGAGAAGCCCAAAGACTTTTTGTCCCTGTATTGGCTGCATTCACAAGGGCAGAGTCAGACATGTTTTAGACTAAGAAACAGGAGGCCCTGGATTTCATCTCGGATTCTCTCTATATAACCTTAGGACAGTTACCTCCTACTCTGGAACCAAATGTCCCCTTCTTTTAAATGCATTGGACTAGATGACTTGTTAAAGTCCCTTCTAGCTTTGATACTTTTTTAAATTAAAGAACAGGTATACAAACATATTCTGTAGCAAGTGGGTAAACACCTATTCAAACAGACTGGGTCCCTTCAAAACAGAGGCTTTGGGAAGGCCTGCTTTGTATGAAGTCCAAGGATGCCGATTCTTTGGGCAAAGCCATTTGTCAAGAGTCCATGATGGCTGATCATCTGCTGATTCTCGTATCTCTATTCACATCCAAGGGGGCTTCATTTGAATGGGCTGTGACTAGACTTCATGAACAGCAACAGACTCAGCCATTTTCATGCATGGTGTTTCAACATTCATCTCCAAACAGAAGGAATACAGTGGGCTGTTGTGACGAGAATTCTGTGGAGAACTATTTATGGCTGTGTTTTGGTTTACCCTCAGCCTAGTACACAGGGTACAGTTGAAAACGGCCTCAGCTGAAAACACTCTCTTGTCTTTCAGGCAAAATTTCCAAATTTTTACATGAAGGCCTGTTAGCTCCGGGCCTACTGCCCCTGTGGCTGCCTACTCTGTTCACCCTGAGAAACACAGTCATCCCTCTCTCCCCCTCCTCCTACAGCTTGGCCTCTGAGTCATTCCCAGCAGAGGCAAGGCATGTATTAAAAGCATATCATTAGGGATTTAGAGTTGGACAGACTTGGGCTCAAATCCCAGTTTTTCTACTTTTTAGCTATCTGACCTTAGGCGAGTCACTTAACCTCTCCAGCTCGCAGTTTCGCTAGGCAAAACTGGAAATAATAGTACCTATCCAACAAAACTGTTTTAAGAGTTAAAATGAGACACACTGCTGCAGATAAATCCTGATGGACATCCTGAGTTGTGTTTCTCTCTCTCCCTCAATCATTTTGGCCTGATCCATAGAAACCAGGCTTTGATCTCAATTTCCCTTCCTTAGATTTGCTTCTCTTTCTTACCTTGTGCTATATCCCCAGAGTTGGAGAGGGCAGGGGGTGCAGCCCTCTGCCTGTGCTGTCATCACTTCTGCCCAGGGACCCCTGACTACAAATAGGAATCTTCCCTTAAATGGACAGGAGATACAGGTAACAATAATAATTAATTTTATTAAGCACTTTCTATGAACCCAATTTATTATTACTCCTTCTTCATCATGAACCTAGAGGTAGGCACCATTGTCAATCTAATTCTACAGATCAGGAAACTGAATGTTGAAGAGGTTAGGTCTAAGGTCACAGGGCTAAGAGTGTGGAGGCCACATTCTACCAGTCTCTTGGCTTTTGAGAATTAGGATAGTCTCTGTATATTCATTCCTGTCTTTTTTGATACTCATCACCACAGTAGCTACCACCTCTTGAGTACCTACAATCATTACACACATTATCCCATTTGACTTGCCCAGCAATTCCATGAAGTAGATATTTTCATACTCATTTTACAAATTAGAGAGCTGAGCTTGGAGTAAGCATATTATCCAAAGTCAATTGGCTGTGAAATGAGAAGCCCAAATTCAGATACCATATATGATTTATTAGTAGCTCCCTGAGTACTGTACTATGTGCCAAGTACTTTATAAATAGTGACCCATGTAACAACTCTGTGAGGTAGATAACATTAGCACTCTCATCTTACAGCCAGGGAAACAGAGGCAGAGAGTAATTAAGAAACTTGCTCCAGGCCTCACAAGTAAAGAGTGGCAGAGCTGGGTTTTAATTCCAGGAAGTCTGGCTCAAGAGGCTGGGCAGTCAGCCTCTAGTGCTGTGTTGCCTTAAGAAGAGAAGGATGCCAGGTTGAGGTGAGGAGAAGAGGAGATGATCTCAAAGGCAGGGGAAATTTATTCCTGTACAGGCAGGAGGCTCAGTGAGTTTACGATCCACAATGCTTGAAGAAAGAACTCTCCACCCACGTAGACAGGAGCTGTTCCCCAGAGCCCTGGCTTCCCTCCTCCTAAAGGGGTCGGCCACTGTGGAGAATTTTCCAGCATTGAGCAATGGTGTAGGTGTTTCGTTTCCTTTAGGCCCACTGAGATGTATCATCAGGAAATTGCCTCAGACTCTCAAGCTAGATATGCCTCCACCATTTGGCTACAAAAATCCTCAGAAGAGATGGAAGTCAATAGTTTTAGATGACCAGTTGCATTCAAAGGTCCAGGGGAAAAAAGGTCTTTAACCAGAAAAGGCAAAAGCAAACATGTATTGAGCAGATACCAAGTGCTGAAACATGGGAAATGTGAAACCTCACAATAGTCATTTGAAGTTGTGATTAGCTCCATTCTACAGAGAAATAAACTAAGGCTCAGAGAAGCAAAGTTATGTCTCAAAGTCAAGTGGTAAGTAGAGGAAGCTGGTTATGATCCAACGCTCAGATGACTTCAGGCTGCATGCTCAGTATCCAGCTTCTTGCAGCATCTCATTTGCCTGTGGCTGATCCCAATGGAGTTTTAGAATTTCCCCATAATTAATGATAAAATTACTAAGAATGTCTTTAACAAACACAGGGACCTGCCAGCCTGGTATGTTCTGATCTCAGCTTTGCCCTTGGTAAAACACTCACCTCCTCAGTCCTTACTGCGCACATAAAAGTCTAAAACTCTTGGGCACATAAAAGTTTACTCTTGGGCACATAAAAGTCTAAAACATTATCAGTCTGAAAAACACAGCTTCAAGTAAAGAAATAGTTTAAAGGGAACATTTCCAAGAAATTCTGATGTCATAAAGAGATTCACAGATAAAAGTTTATGAAGTTTTAAAACTCCGGTACCAGATATTGTAAGCAAAGGTAGATAAGAAGGGACATACTATAAGAATGTCTTCAGTATGTAATGATAGATAAAGAATTGGTATGTAGAGCAGATAAAGAACTCCTCTAAATCAATGAGGAAAGGACAAACAACCCTATAGGAAAATGAAGAAAAGATATTAATAGGCCATTAACAGAAAAGTACTTGATGGGTATAAAGAGAATGTTCATTCTTACTAGTAATGGGGAAAGGCAAAGGAAAAGAACAATGAGCAGTCATTTTCTGCCCGAAAATTGGCAAAAAATATTAAACAACTGACAATATCCAGCATTGGCAAAGGCACAGGGACATCATTGGCAGGAATACGAATTGGGACAGCTTTTTTGGAGGACATTTTGGCCACAGCTAACAAAATTTTAAATGCACAAATCCTTCCACTAGAAATTCCACTTTTTTTTTGTATTTCTCTAAAAGAAGTCCTCATATTTGTATATAAAGAACTACACCAACAATAATCTTTGTGTCTCTGTAACAGCTAAACACTAGAAACTACCTAAAGGTCTATCAACACATTGGTTAAACAGTTTTTTATATATGCAGATTCTGGAATTACTGTCAGCATGTAATAGACATGGGGCAGCTTTATATGTATTAATATATTCCAAAGTATCTTGTAGATAAAAAAAGTTATCTCTTTTTCATCCTCTACTATTTAAACAGTATAGTATTCTATTATACAATCTCTACTATATGATATATATGTGTATATATATGTCTGTGAATACATAAAAAATGTAAGACAGACATACAAAACGCATAATAGTGATTACTTTTGGGATCAGGAGAGGTTTGTGCCTTTTGCTTTTACTCTATATATTCCTACATTGTTCGTGCTTTTACAGAGTAAGTGTATTCCTGTCATTTTTCAATGATCTAAAGAAAAGCAAGTTGGCAACAGAGACAGAAACACTTGCTTTGTGCTCGGGGTTATCTGCTGTTCTCCCAGGATTGAGAAATCCTCTGACCCAGCCCCAGGGCTGGGTCGCTCTTCTGCTGATAGGAATGGTAAGATGCTCAGCTGGAATCCGCCTTTCTCTCATTCTCTTCTCTTTCTGTAAGTGCTCACACATCTGAACATGTGCGCACATATACACATTCCTGTCTAGCGCACATACTCAGAGTAACTACTGCATAGGCTAGTTCAACAGCCTGAGAACTTTTGAATCATGAACCAGAGTGATTCTTGTCATCTTGATAAAACATGTACACAATCACACTCCAATACAACTACAACAAGAATAACAAATTGTCAGGCCCCATAAGCAGAAGACTTGATTTAAACCATAGGGTCCAATGGGCGCACATTGGATGTGAAGTTCCTTAAATAATGGCTCTGCTAGCCTAAAACATATCAGATGTTCCTTTAGCCTTAGCTCACCCAAGACATAAACTATGTGTTCAGGGGAAAGCAAAGTCAAATGACTCATGACAGAGTTTGTTTTTAGTATGAATTATTTTTTCTGGCTCCTTGCTTTTAAAGACAGATCCTTTTCAGATGGGCTAAAGCAAGGACTGCTGGGAGCTGGGCTCACAAGACTAGCCTTCCTATTCTTCTGCAAGTTAGAAGTAGATGCCCAGGGAAGGAGAGCTTATTTCCCATTATGCTGACTTCCATCATGCACTGCTGCTTCTTTGTCCTTTCAAAACTGTGCAATGGCAGCCTTGTGGTAGCTGGGTGACATGGTGGAAAGAACACTGGATTTGGAGTCTGTGAGACTGGAGCTCCAATTCCAACTTTGCCATTTACTAATTGTGTGATGCTGGGAATGTCACATGACTTTTCTGTTCTGGGATGCACTTTCCTGGAAGATGAAATGGGTATAATGAGTATTGCAATGGATTGTGGTGGGGGCTTAATGATTTAACCTTAGTGCCTGGCACATGGAAGGCACTCAGTAAATAGCACTGGACAAAACCCCTCAGCACAGAGATGGTATCCTATTTACCCCTGTATCCCTTGTGCTTGTTGGAGAACAAGGCAGAAAATACCTGAGGAAGAAAGGCAACAATGAAGGGCTGCAGGAATAATTATGACAAATAGTATTAAACTATTTTTCATGTGCCAGGTACTGTTCTGGCTGCTTTACATGTATCTCATTAATTTTTACGAATAACCCTCTGAGCAGAGGCTCCCTACGTGGAGTATAAGAAAAGGCAACATCAGGAATAGCCAAATTCTCAGATCACTTTAGAATAACAGATAAAAGTGGGGAAGGAGAATAGCAGCAGTGTGTCCAACATAGGTGGTTAACAGCCAGAACCCTCCCAAGTGTATGGCAGATTAGGACAGCTTCTTAAGGTACTCTGGAGGATTGAGTGCCCCAGGACAAAGCTGTCATCCAGGGACCATGAGGAAGCTGCCCAGCTGGTGTCCATACACATTCAATACCTCTCCCTCCTCAGCAGGTATAACTAAGATGAACACAAAATTCTAGAGCTGATAGAGACTAAATTTAGACATTGCCTGGCATAGTTCCACTTTACGGGTTTGAAGATGGCTAGTTGCTCAATGTCACACAAGAGAGTAGTACAGCAAAGACTAGAATCTAGTCCCTACTTTCCAAGCCAGCTCTCCACCTCTGGCATCTAGACCACATTAACAGCCTCTCTCTCTTCTATGAACACCCTTGACATTTTAACTTATTTTTTTCACTCATTTGTTTACCCCATAGTTCTCATCTAAGCAATGTTCAGGATAAAGATGAATATTGGCCATCAGCTATATGCAGTTCCATTGATAAAGCCATCCCTACAATAAGATGAATGCCTAACCTTTTCTCCCAATAAGTCACTGAATAATCTACTTGACAAGCACATTTTTGATAAAGATATAGGTCTCCATATGAGTCTGCCTACATGGAAATAATGGGCAGAATTTGGAATAGTGATTTCTCAGGGTAAATTAATAAAAATGCCTTTTGGCTTTATACCTCTGATATAGTTTGTCTCCCCATCCAAATCTCACCTCGAATTGTAATCCCCGTATGTTGAGGGAGGAACCTGGTGAGAGGTGATTGGATCATGGGGGCTGTTTCCACCATGCTGTTCTCATGGTAGTGAGGGAGTTCTCACGAGAGCTGATGGTTTTAATATGGCAGTTTCCCCTGCTCTCTCTCTCCTACCGCCTTGTAAAGAAGGTGCCTGCTTCCCCTTCACCCTCCACCATGACTGTAAGTCATGCAGAACAGTGAGTCAGTTAAACCTTTTTTTGTTTTTAAACTACTCAGTCTCAGGTAGTATCTTTATAGCAGTGTAAAAACACGCTAATACAATCTCCATTTCATGAGCTGCCTCTGAAAAACTCACTCACTGATTCATTCATTTATACATTCATGTACTCATTCATTCACATTTTCATCCAGTACACAGTTGAGTTCACCTCTGAGTTCATGAATCCTTTGTTCCCAAGGTTTAAAATTCTGCACACATTCTCTCCCATCTCGGGCCCACTACACATGCATACCCCTCTCCAAACACACAGAAACACACACACATACAGACATATACTCGCCTTTATTTATACTTCCAAGTCCTGACTGGACTCAACTGTCACTTCCTTTGGAACATTTTCTCTGCCTCCCCAAAGCTGAGGCATAGCACACTGTATGATGCTATTTTATGGTATGCCTCTTCTGCAATACTGTTGGAAACTTGAGAGCAGGGACTGTATCTTTCTTGCTTGGAATTTTATCCAAGCAGAGATAGATGGGCCTAGTACGAGTGGTTGGCACACAGATGGCACTCAAGAAGCATTTACTGATAAAATGAATGCAAGAAAGAAAAATGACTGAAGAATGATTATGACATAAGCTCTGTCCTCAGTCAATTTCCAGTCTAGTGGAGAGGCAGACATAAAAAAAGAGTCACCAAACTTGTGTGAAGTACGATATCCAAGGTCTGTTCCGTGCTGTGGAGCACTGAGGATGAACTGTGCTGGGATTCCACTTCTGCCTTATGTTCATCTTAACTGACTTTGCAAGATAAAAATGTGTGGGGCTATGGGTATATATGGAAGATACTCAGGGTATAACCTTTCTTAGGCCAATTCTCTTGCACGTGTCCCCCTATCCCCAGCACTCCCAGTGGATGACATCTCAGGATTTTGCAATTCCAAACCATTTCTTTGAATTCAGTGAAACTAGAGTCTGAGACAGAAAACACAAGTGTTGGCAGCAGAGAAAGGAAAGAGAGAGGAGCCCCACAGTATTCTCCTTACTCAACACATTCCAGCCTCCCTGCTTTTTTTGCTTTCCTTCACACATGTTCAATTCATTCCCACTCCAGGGCCTTTGCACTTGCTGTCCTTTCTGTCATTTGGGACTCACCACGAACATCCCTTCCTCAGGAGGGCCTCTCTCCTGCTCACAAAGCCAGCCCTTCACACCCAGTCTGTCATTCCATTTTTGCTCCCTGATATCACTTTGCTTTCTTTTGTAACATTTCTTGTTACCTGAAATCAATATTACTTGTTGTGATTGCTGTTTCTTAGGATCTTCCCAACTGAATGTAAGTTCTATGAGGGCAGGTGTTGCTAGACAAAGCTAGAGGCACTCAGTGAGGAAAGCAGACAGGTATCAGACAGTAAAGGAGACGTGCACACTCCAAAGGGAGGGCAGGCTAATGGGGCTAAGAAAAGTGACACTGACTCCCAAGCAGTTCAAGGAAAAACTAATAACATAAACTCTTATTGCACACGACCTGTGATAAGCTCATGCACTACTTTGTTGAAGTTTCCTTGTTGGAACACAGAAGCATTCTGTGAATGTGGGTAAAAATTGGGATAATAACAGTTCCTGTCCCATGGTGACTGAGTTAATTCATGCAAAGTGGTTAGAACAGTGCTTGGCATATAAAAAACATCAATAAACTTTGCCTATCATCATTGTCACCATCATTATTTACAGAGAGATATGACAGATAGATAATACTCATCTATAAGAATTATATGCATTGCTGTGCACTGTATTTGCTTTTTCTTTTTGAAATGATTCTTAGAATTCCTACAGTGTACAAAGTTAAACATGTGCCACCTATTTTGAACTTAATGTAGTACAAAAACAGTTTTATAAGACTTGTTTGTCAGTTTTTATATAATCGAAGAATTTTAATGTGTTTGTAACAGACACATTTATGATTGCTTTGATCAAGAATTTAAAAGCTTCAAGCCATATAAACATGGAGAAAATGTAAGGGCTCTGAGAAGCTAGAAGAAATAATGATATCAGTGGAGAGAACAAATAGGCTAAAAGTCTCAATGACAACTTTATAAGGGTGAATATGGATATAGAATATTGAACAAGGCAAATAGAAGAATTAGAGATGTGAGAAGCGAGACATTCGCACAGAACAAGTCAAAGCACCACATACAGTCATCACTTCTCTGCAATCAACGCGGGACATGCCTGTTACAAAGGCAAGAACAGCAGGCAAACTGTTGCAAATAAGAACGAGAATTAAACATGTTAATAAATATGATGTTGTTTTATCAATAACTTTAAAAATCTGCTAGAATACTGTATGTTACTCCAAGTTCAGCTAGTTCTTTATTTTTATAAAAACCTCTTTTTATTTACCTCCTTTTTTTGTTTGCATATTGGAAGCCTGGTAAATAGAACTGGAAACCTACCTCGCCCAGGGTACCATTTGCCTTCTTTCTCCATCAGCCCCAATGACCCACAAATACTTTTTCTATCCATGGCAAAAGAGCAGAGGGGTTGTTTTTGAGATTTTAGCAGCCCATGCAATGTTCTCTACAGCCCCTAGGTGTCACTATTGCAAAACTAACAGAAGCCTGAACCGTCAAAAAGAAAAAGTACATTTAATATGAAACACTTTCAATAACTATGCAAAAGGCAGACATCATTTAATACAGAAGCTACAAACAATTTAGTATCTCTAATTGAATTTTTAATTTCCTTTTAAACTCAAAGGCTCACCCCAAGAAGAAGAAAAATATCATTTTTTAGCCAGAAAAAAAATCTCAGAACTGTTCTTTCTCCTAACATTTACACTGAGGGACTCAGCTGAAGCTCACGATACTAAAAGTTTGTGGTATAATTTGTTTTATAATCAAGATTGGTTTGATAGTACAAAAGCTTTCAGAGTAAAAATGTAAGACAGTAAATGAGAGCTGGCTGGAAGGAAAAATGTAGCTATGTTAGTTTGATATTCAACCAAAAGCTATAATCTTATTAAACATATTTAAACATGGTTTTCATTTAGATTTGGCAGCTTGATTAATGGGGATGTATTAAATAATACCTGGCTGCTAGGAGCATATTTAGGAATCAGTGCCACATAAAACATACGACATGTACAATTCAGTTTCATTATTATTTAAGGTTCTCTGTTCTCTTGGCTGTGGGCACACACATATTAAAAATTAAGTACACGCACTCAATGTATGCGCTGCGCTTTTAAAGGGCTTTCTCTTTAAGCAGAAAGATGAAATGGAAAACGAACTCAACTCTGGTGAAAGGTAATGGATTCATCCCTTTGGGGACAGCTGTCCTGTTTATCAAAAGAAAGGGGAGAGGTGGGTCAGAAGCAAGAAAAAAAAATTCCCAAGTGGTCAGCAAAGAGAGACGCCCAACTTCAGAGGGGAGCTGAAATCAGTTTCTACACCCAGGCTTCCTTCTTTGTCACAGTTGAGAGGTCGAATGAATGGTATGTTTAACCATGAGGCCATGGGGGAATTGAGATGCTGATTCCCAGAGCATTATAGAAACACTTTGGTAATGGGGGTGTGGGGGTTGGAGGGGAGTGTGAAGAAGCATCTGTAGTTTTTCTGGGCATAATGCTAGGTACTGACCAAGGGGTGGGAACTGCGGGGTGGGCATGGTTCTGACTAGCTGGGAAGATAGAAAAGTATGAAGTAAAGGACCAAGTATCATAATAGAGTTCTACTCAGTGTTTTTGATGAGAAAAAAATGATACATATGACATGCAGAACCTTATCAATAAATTATCTTTCTCCCCTTTCAAATGACATGAGGTTCCCTAATAATCTTTGGGCTGGAACAAGACATCTCAGAGAGGCCAAAATGTCATATATCACATTACATTTCTAAACAACCCAATGGGACAGGGAAAAGTACTATTAATATTTTAACTTTGGAAACTATGTTTAAATCCAGAAAAAATACAGAAAGCATCTCATCAATCAGAAGGAAAAAAAAGACATGCTTTTTTGATAAAAGTATTATTATCTCTATGTACAGATTACAGAACTGAGGCTCAGAGAGTTCAATCACGTTACCCAAGATCACATATTTAGTAAGTTTCAGAGGTAGGACTGGAACCCAAGCTTGTCTTATTTGAAAACCCACTTTTAAAATCTTCAACTCTCATTGCTTCTCTGATTGACTGAAGCCTTGGGCAGAAGAAACAAAGAAAATAGGGGGTGATGTGGAGGGGCACAGCATGCAATTCTGTTTACCTCTTGTGTCACCTACTTGCAAAAGACTGGAAGAAGAGAGTCTGATTTCTTCTCAAATACTGCTTCCCATTGCTGCTATCGTCCACAACTGAGCTATCTATTTCCCCCACTGGAAAGAAGTCACAAAAATGTTAAGCACGCCAAAGTCTTCACAGCGACGATGGTTATAATCAGCAGATCACAGAGAACAAGCTATGTTGCATTAAGAATACAACCAAGAAGGAAGGAAATTCTGATACGTGCTACAGCATGGATAAACCTTGAGAACATTATGCTAAATGCAATTAGCCAGTCAACAAAAGACAAATGCTGTATGATTCCACTTATATGAGGTATCTAAAGAGTAGTTAAATTCACAGAGACAGAAAGTAGAATGGTGGTTGCTAGGGGTTGGGGGAGGGGGCAATGCAGAGTTATTGTTTAACGGGTAAAGTTTCAGTTTTGCAAGATGAAAAGAGTTCCGGAGATGGATGGTGGTGATGGTTGCACAATAATGTGAATGAACTTAATACCACCAAACCGTACACTTAAAAATGGTTAAGATGATAAATTTTATGTTATGTGTATTACAAACAAACAAAAGAATACAACCAGGACCACCTCCTCCAATGGTGATTTACAATTATGTACAATGTTCTCTTGCCTGGCACAATATGAAGCATGACCTTCAACATTTTCAAATTTTTTGAAGTAAAGGTATTTTTGTGGTATTTCCTCGCCACTTTTCTGGAAAGCAGTACATCTGGAGGTAAAGGGTTTTTTTTTTTCATGTAATTTTACATTTGCGTGTTTCATATGGATGCTTGTCCTGGTTTGATCAGCAACGAGCTCTCTGGCCATGCACAAAGCACTTCCCGTTTCTGGGTCTCAACTTCCTCATCTGTAAAAAGAGGGTTTGTGTGGGATGATCTCTAAGGGCCCTTCCAGTTCTCAGTTCAGATTCCTATTTTTCCAAATGCTAATAGTGTCTACACTCTTAGGTACACATTGCTTACTATTAACACTCATCAGATCCTTTTTGCGAGCCACTCGTCATTTCAGAAATACCTGCACTTGCTGCACTTTTCCTGGGGGCTAGACAGAGAGATGAAGGACACAGTGTGAGGTAGGTAGACAGAAAGAAAACAATTGAAAGGCCTCTTGGAAGGAGCACTGGACTGGGAGTCTGATGCTATGAGGTTTAGTCCTGGGCCCCCGCCACTTGCTCACCATGTGAATCAGGGAGGAAGAAAGCATTTACTGGGGCCTTTTATGCATGAGGCACTTTTATACATATTATCGTACTATTTCACACATTTTAGTAATTCAGGTCCTATCTTCACAATTATTTTCTTTTCTCAAGTACTACCTATAGTATTGATTAGTCATAAAATATTTCTTTAAGTCCTGGGAAAAAAACTTTTCTTTCTTTTTAAAATTTTCTAGGGAAAAATGTTCATGAAAACCCAGGTTTAATGCTAGGTACTTTTCTAGTATCTATTAAAACTTAGAAAAAGGGTGTCTATAAACCAGGACGTAGAATGCCTGAATGTCACTGGTGGTATGTCTGTACATTTTGGAAGATGACACTTGATCTTATTTTATCTCCATTTTTGGCTGCTGGTGCCCATGGAATTCAGCAACTCATCCAATTTTGAACCAGCAGAACTCACAGCAATGTGCTGGTTCATATTTCTCTCACTTTTAGAAGGAATATGTTCTAGAAAGTTGCATACACAGAACTTCCATGATTTTTAGATTTCATAGATGGCAACACTTCCAAAATGACTTGGGAGACTGACATATGGTTAGAAAGTTTTTATTTTGCTAAGAAGAAGCTCAAAGTTTTCTCTGACAAGTAATATATAAAAAAAAAACCCACAGGACTTTCTACATCAAATGGTTGGGAGGGGGACATCTCAGGATAATATGTCATTTAAGAAGAAAAAAATTAGCTTAAGGAAGAACTCATGACATTCTGCTTACTCTTCCGTATTTCTGACTAGTAAAAACCCTGTTATGGACCAGCCACGGTCCAGGCCCAGCACTGGTTGACCACAGTGTAATGGGCTTTGGAATCAGGCAGATCTGAAAGTCCTGGTTTTGTACTAACTACATGTACAGGGTTGGGAAACCACTTATCTCCCATGAGCCTCAACTTCTCATTTGTAAACTGAGGATACTGCTCATTGCCGTCAAGATTATATGCAATAAATTTGTAAGATGCCTAGCACAGTGCCTGACTCATTGAGTAGGAACTCATTAGGTCGTAATGACCACTTAGTAACTTTTACCACTCTCATTGCATCTACCAAGAAAGGTTGTCATGAGGATACAACATGGAATGCATGGGCGAGTGTGTTGCAAGCTCCTATGTGTCCTACAGCTGTAACTCCTCCTTTGGGTCTCCACTTAGAAGTTATTTTCCCTGGGAAACTCTCCTTGACCCACCAGGTTAGGTAAGAAGCCGCTGCTCCCGGTGTCATGGCACCTGTCCTCTCCATCTTTTCACTTGTCATTGCAATAAAATTAGTGGGCAACTTTTCCCTCTCCCCAGTAGGCCCACCAGAACTCTGAGAGGGTAGAGAATATACTAGTCTTGCTTGTCATTGTTTCTCCACCATCTAGCACATAGTCACTGCCACATATAGAACTCTTTTAATTTGTTAAATAGATACATGAATTGATGGAAGGATTAGTAGGAGTTTTCAAACCTGTTTTGTGGTACTATGCTTAAGGCTTGATTGTCTTGGCTATGGGCTTACATCAACATTTCCCAATTTTGGTACTTGAAACTTTAGCAAAGTAAGATGCTCCATGAAAAACTAATTCTTCGATCAAGTAAATTTGGGAAACACCATACTCTCTATGCCTATCCAACCTGGGAGATTCACAATGCATGTTTACATTTTAAAGTCTTAACAGATGCCTTGCTATGAAGACGCCTAGTTAGAGCTGGGTACTGTGAAGTACATCCATAGTCCCAGCTACCTGGAAAACTGAGGAGGGAGGATTTCTTGGGCACAGAATTAGAGTCCAGCCTGGGCAACACATTGAGACCCCATCTCTTTAAAAAAAAAAAAAAAAGACACCTAGTTATCTTGAACATCATAGCAGTTTTCAAACTAATTTTTTCCAGAAATACTTTTTAATATATCGAAGAAGACTCTGAGAAATCCTGGCCTGTGGAGACCTTGGTCTCTGAGAAAATATTTCTCATGGTTTCTACCAATTCTTTGTCCTGGTTGTCCCTTTCCCATTGAAAACTTCATAGCCAAGGATCAGAGCAGGCATGCATACTGGGCATGACAAAAAAGGCTATGTAGACAATGGAAACTTTGAGAAAACTGATAAGACATGTGAACCAGTCCACGAACTGACCAAAAGTATTTTGACATTGACTATGGAGGTCCTCACTTGTATCACATGGAGCTTTCAGTATTTTATTTATTTATTTATTTATTTATTTATTTATTTATTTATTTATTTAAGACGGAGTCTTGCTTTGTCGCCCAGGCTGGAGTGCAGTGGCGTGATCTCAACTCACTGCAAGCTCCTCCTCCCGGGTTCACGCCATTCTCCTGCCTCAGCCTCCCGAGTAGCTGGGACGACAGGCGCCCGCCACTGTGCCCAGCTAATTTTTTGTATTTTTAGTAGAGATGGGATTTCACCGTGGTCTCGATCTCCTGACCTTGTAATCCGCCCTCCTCAGCCTCCCAAAGTGCTGGGATTACAGGCGTGAGCCACCGCGCCCGGCCATTTACTTTTTTTGAGACAGGGTCTCACTCTGTTGCCCAGGCTGGAGTGCAGTGGCGTAACATTGGCTCACTGCAACTTCTGCCTCCCAGGTTCAAGCAATCCTCCCACCTCAGCCTCCCGAGTAGCTGAGACTATAGGCATACACCACCACATCCAGCTAATTTTTGTATTTTTTGTAGTGACAGGTTTTCACCATGTTGCCCAGGCTGGTCTCAAACTCCTAGGCTCAAGGGATTCACTGGCCTCAGCCTCTCAAAGTGCTGGGATTACAGGTGTGAGCCACCGAGCCTGGCCAGCTTTCCCAGTTCTGTGCACGTATATGACTTCAACTGCTCTTCCTCCTCCTCTTCCTTCCTCTTCTTCTCCTTCCTCTTCTCCTTCTCCACCACCACTACCATTACCACCAGCTTTCACAGTTCTATGCACGTATATGATTTCAATTGCTCTTTCTTCCTCCTCTTCTCCTTCCTCTTCTTCTTCTCCACCACCACTACCATTACCACCATTAATATGTATGACACGCTGCCTGTGCCAGGCACTGTTCTAAATGTTCTTCCTGTATTAACTTACTTAATCATCACAACGACCTTATGAGGGAGGTGCCAGTGCCACCTCCATTTTACAGAGGAGTAACTGAAGTGTAGAGAGGTTAATTAAGCCACAGGTTTGTAACATGGGTAGAACATTTTACAGATTTACACTAAGAAATTTTACTGATAGAAAACTGAGGCTGAGCATGTAAGTGATGCGTTCAGATGAAGCAGTCTGTAAGCAGCCATATCTGTCTGATGCCAATGCAAACTCTTTCTAGCACGTCAAGCTGTCTCTTGGTGTTAATATTTTGTATTTGTGAATTACTTTATAGTTTACTAAGCACTTCCACATCTTTTATTCCATTTAAACCTTCTGACGATGCTTACACAAATATTATCTATCTTTTAGATTGTGAAATTGAATTTCAGAGAGTTCCTACTACTGGTAGTAATAATGATGATAAAATTAATGATAACTATCTTCTACTTTTGATGAACTGACTTGCTCAAGGCAACAGAGCTCAGCACGGGCAGATGTGAGGCTCAGACTCAAGTCTTCTGATGCCAAGTCCAGAGTTTCTTCCACCCTTGAAAGATGGGTCTCTCCAATATGACCATAGCATGATTAGTCTAGCCGCGGGAGAGGAGAGAGGTTTACAGCATCAGCTTGGCATTCAGTTGGCGTGGCTTTTAAAGTGGCTCAACATCTGCCATCAATTAGACTTCCTGTTGCTATGGTGATAGTTTATTATTGCTAGGCTGATAAGACGGCCCATGCAAGAAGACTATCTTCCTCTTTTTCCCTCCCACTCTACAGCAAAGTTTCTCCCCCAACTTTTTTTTTTTTTTTTGTCCTCTCATCTAACATAGTGGACCATTTGCCATATGATAATGATATAGTAGTTCCCAAATTGGGAACCCTGTTGGACTCCTGATGATAATCCTTGGAGTTAATGAGAATTTTTTTTCCCTTTTGCTTAAAACAGAGGCTTTGTCACACCAACTTTGGTTCAATTCATCTCTGACACTTATTAGCTCTCCAATCATGAACAAGTTACATAATTATCTTCCCTGGACCTTATTTTTGCATTTGGAATAAGTGATAAGAAAGCCTAACGGGCAGAGTAATTTTGAGAATTTTATATAATAAATACAAAGATGTCAGCACCAAGCTTAGAATGTAGTGGGTAAACAAGAAATGACAGTAGTTGTGATATTTAACATAATAGCAATGATTATTTACAAAGAGGTGAAATGAGACAGAGATTTAGAGTTGGAAGTCCGGGTCATTTACTTCCATTCATGTATCAACAATTCTAATTTTTCCTTCCATTGAACCTGTTCTTTTCCTTTATAGCACTTAACCCAAGATACATTTATTTGTACTTATCTTTTTAACTGTCTCTTCCAGTCAACTGCAGAGGTGATCAGTATTAGGACTATAGTTATTTTTCTTATCGTTGTACCTTGGGGGTATTTGTTGAATGAATGAACACATATTTACCAAGCAGCTACTCTATGTCAGGCTCCTTGTTAGCCATTGGAGATACAAAAATCACTTGAGCAAGATTCTTACTCTTGAGGCATTTACATAAGGGGTCTGTGAAAATGACAAAAATAAAGTAAGTGAGGCCTTCATCTTTGAATCCAAAAGGGGTTTTTTACAAATCCAATGACATAAATGGAATTAAATCTTCAGTAATCTTCTAGCACAAAGGACGGATGTGGGGGTGTATGGATATCTTAAGGCTGTAAGTACCAAGAAGAATTCAAACTGGTAGTGTTAAGTCCCCAAAGTAATCAGACTTTCCCTTTGAAACATACAGTTAAAAAAAAAAAAAAAAGAAAAGAAAAAAAAAGAACAAAAAAGAAAGAGAAGGCTTTTCTGAGGGCCAGCTCGTTGACTCCTCCCAGAACAGTCTGATCCCCTCTGCTAGTGAAGCAAGAGGTCAGATCCCCAGACGGAAAATCAATCTCCAAGAGTGGCTGGATAGAATTTCTAATTCACCAGTGCCATGACACGCAGTCTGTTTTCAGCCAAGGAGAATGAGGCCCAGAGGCTTTAGCTTCCCCAATCCACTGTACATTATCAGGCTGAGCTGACACCCCTCCGTGCCTGGAACACACAATGTTTGACAGTAACACAGACAGGCACAGTGACCCCATGGTGAGGGCCCTCCAACCTGCTTTTCTCAAGGTAGGCTAGGCTATTTTGAAGTTACTTTATTATTGAATTATTAAGTATCATTATTAAACATTATAATATTTTCAGTTATTTCCTTTGGAAAGATCTAGTCCAGTGCTTATGTTCAGCAAAGACCCTCCAAGGCTGCCAGGCAGTGGGGAAAGAGGGTGTGATGGATAAGCCAGAGACACAGTTCACCTTCTGTTTTCTGTATTGGCCTCCCAAAGGTTCCACTGCTTTACATTTTTGAAAACCAGAATCTGATTCTTTCAGTTTAAAGATGAGGAAACTGTGGCCCAAAGAGGTAGACCTCTTGTTCCAGATCATCCACTGAGTTACTAGTAACAGAACAGACTCTAATGACTGGGGAGTCAGTCTTTGAAAAATTAGAGCAAGTGAGAACCGTTAAGCAGCAGTTTACAGTCACAGCTAATGTGCACAAGTAAAGTTGTTTCTGGAGACATAGGTCAGATTTTACCTGCTAGCGACTTTAAATCTAAGTCCATCCCCAGCAGTGCCACTGCTTTAAGTGGCTGGGTTTCTGTGTAACTAGTCACAGGTGGCTGCCTTCTTAGCCAGCTTCAGGAAGATTACAAAGTCTCTGTAAAACTTCACCTCCAGTCTGGTACAGCATACATGTATCCAGCACTGACTACTGGCTAAGGATCAGTAAGACTTGGACCCTTATATGGAAGCTCACACTTGAGTGAGATCAGCAAACATGGCAACATCTAAGGGCGGTGCAAGAGATGGGCACATGGGGGTAGGGCCGTGTAGAGGTGGGCCTCACCAAGATGAGTTTCCCAAAGGAGCTTTATAGAGATGGGTTTCAGTATTTACAGTGAACAGACCACAGAGTCAGAAAATCTGGGTTTGTATCTGAGCTTCACCTTTTACCAGCTATGTAAGCTTGGGAAAGCGCGTGGCCTCTTGGTGATTCAGGTTCCTTGTGTGCAAAGTACAACTAATATCAGGATCTCATGGGACCGTTGTGAGGACTAAGTGAGCCAATAACCACAAAGTGCTTAAATGGCAGCTGGGGCATACTAAATGAATCCCCTCTATCACTTTTAGGGGCCCCTTGAAGACAGGAGTCCCAGCACCCCACCATACTATAATATGTTGGAACCTCACTAAAGCCTGTTGTTTCCTAGTCATTGAAACACTTGCTTCAATTTCCATTTTAGGATTTTCTATAAATTTCTCCTCCAGCCTCTGTAGTGGTTAGTCAGTTTACTGAGATGAAGACAACTGCTGTAGTCCAATTATCCAAACCAGTCTGGTTTGTCAAGATCCCTCTTCATCAGAGACACTGACAGGTGAAACTGAAAGGGCCAACTTGGTAGGAATTTCACTGCCGTCAACTCTATCCAACACACAGGCTCCTCTAGGCCCAGGTGTCAGGGAGGGGTTGGGGAGGGAGGAGGGAGTAGATTTTGAGCTGGTAGAAAGTGGCTTGCTCCCCATCTCTCAATGACATTGCTTCAGAAGGTGCTTTCTCCATCCTGAAATTCTCAAATGTGTGATTTTATAACACCCTATACACAAATGAACTGTAGTGAAAGAGGATAGCACTTTAGGGGCATTTAAAGAGTATTCCCTTCTATTTTAGAGACTCTTCAAAACTGTGAGAGATAAGTAATAAACTTTTATTATTACTCACAGGCTGAACTAATTTAAAAGCTATTTTTCTTAAGCAGAAAGCAGTATTATCTAAGAAGGACTTAACGTTTTTTTTTTTAAAGTGAGACTATCAGCTTGCAACATTTTTTTAAAAGACAGTTAAAGGATAAGGGAATACTGAGCAAAAAGTACTCCCAAGACTGCTGATCAAATTCCTAATTGATCTGTTTGTGGTTAACAACCCCTACCTGTAATCAACTGTGGTCCTATCTATCCAACTTTCTTTTTCACTACTCCTGAACTGGGACCCTTCCCAGGAGTTAACGTTGATCTCCGTTCTGTCTGTATCTGTTTCTTTGCTCTCACCAGCACCTTTATCTAAAAATCCCTCTTCCTGCTGCTTCTCTGCCTGTCCTAAATTAATGTTTCCACTCCAGCCCATTTCAAGCCCCATTTCTTACACAAAGCCAGGCTACTCTTTCCTGCTGGTAGTCACTACCAGAGAGTAGATTATGCAACAGCACTCTCTGGTTTCAGGTCACTTTATATATACTTCTCTAACCCAACTGTCTGTTCCTGGAAGATAGGGTACCTGGCCTTTCTCCCCAACCTTTTAAAAAAATGTCTAGGCCAGACGAGGTGGCTCACGCCTATCATCCCAGCACTTTGGGAGGCCGAGGTGGGCAGATCACCTGAGGTCAGGAGTTCGAGACCAGCCTGGCCAATATGGTGAAATCCTGTCTCTACTAAAAATACAAAAATCAGCCAGGTGTGGTGGCAGGTGCCTGTAATCCCAGCTACTTGGGAGGCTGAGGTAGGAGAATCACTTGAACCAGGGAGGTGGAGGTTGCAGTGAGCCAAGATTGCGCCACTGCACTCCAGCCTAGGCGACAGAGTGAGACTCCATCTCAAAAAAAAAAAAAAAATTCTAAAAAACACTTGGTCTTATACTACATATGGTCCAGTTCTTGGACGTCCCCAAGTGGAAAGAGCATATGCTTGGGGAGAGAAAAACCTGCATTCAAATTCCAGGTTGAATATGAACGTTCGGTATGAACTTGGGTAAATTCCTTTACTTTTTTGATTCTGCTTTGTCATCTGTAAAAAATGAACACAATAAACTTTCCACATAAACCTGTTCTGAGAATTAGGTGAATAAGGCTGAATATTGTTTCTGTAAGGTCATTTCTACAAGACCAGGGCAATATGAATTATGTATGTAGTTTTCTTACTATCTGCTTTGAAACTGACAAAAAGATTAGAAAACTTTGAGGAACAGATATAAGTCCCATAAACAGGTTCTAGGACATACAGACTTAAGCTGCTAAGACCACTACTTAATTGCAGTGTGACTTTGGGTAAATCACTTGCCCTCTCTGAGCCTCCATTTCCTCATTTTTCATGTGAGAATAATCACATATCTATTATAGTTACTTACCTAGAATAGTGAATGGTCCAGGGCTCTGGCTCAAGAAAGAGGAGTTCCTATTCCTTCTGACTAGACACTATCTTGTAGTGTGCTTGGCTATGACTTGTACTTGAATCTTGTCTCCTCAGAGAGGGGGTAAGCTACCTGAGGCTCCTGGCCTCAATGCCAAACTCAGCTGGGTGTATAGGCAGTATTCATCAAAGATGCTTAGGTCAATTTATTGTCTTTTGAGCTTTAGTCCAAGTGAACGTCTCTCCATGATAACCAGCCATCCCTTCTCCAGTTGGCTTGGCTCACTCCAACAGGGAGAGGAGGAGAAGTGAATTCTCTATAAGGACTACCTTTTCTTTTAGTAGTTAAAAGCAATGATATCAGTCAGAGTCCAGTCAGGTAGCTGGACTACCAGTCAAGTTAGCTAGGTAGCCCAAAGACCTACTCTAGGTCTTTGAACAGGAGGAATTAAATATAAGAAATTAGTTTCAGCCAGACGTGGTGGCTCACGCCTGTAATCCCAGCACTTTAGGAGGCCGAGGTGGGTGGATCACGAGGTCAGGAGATCGAGGTCATCCTGGCTAACACGGTGAAACACCATCTCTACTTAAAAAAAAAAAAAAAATAGCCAGGTGTGGTGGTGGGTACCTGTAGTCCCAGCTACTCGGGAGGCTGAGGCAGGAGAATGGCGTGAACCCAGGAGGCAGAGCTTGCAGTGAGCCGAGATTGTGCCACTGCACTCCAGCCTGGGCGACAGAGTGAGACTGTGTCTCAAAAAAAAAAAAGAAATTAGTTTCATTAGTGACAGAAGAGACCTAGAAGCCCAACAGGTTGTTGAAGCCACACAGAGGTTACCGACAGCAGACAGATGCTACCCCTCTTAGGAATCAAGGGATGACAGGAGGCAGTGGTGTGACTAGAGCCAGGAACAGGGAATGTCAGTATAGAACGGAAACCAAAGAAAAGCTGAGTGGCCAGAACTGGGATCTGAGAGAGGCTGGGAGCTGGAATCAGACAGAAAATGCAGCTGCTGCTGTAGTGAAGGGGAGAAATGACCTGACTTCTGCCTGCACATCAGTCATTCTCCCACCATTACCTCCCAATGGCCAAGCCTGCTCAGAGGCCAGGTGCAAGAGAGCCTAGGAAGTGTAACACACAGCAGAGCAGGGGAAGGAGCACTCTCTGAGAGCAAACAGGCAAAGGACCAGCCCAGCCACCTTTCAGTAATATATGTAAAGCATTAATACAGCATGTGACTTATAGTCAGCTAATAGTAATGATAGATATCATCATAAATATTGCTATAATTTTGTATACCTCTCATTGAGAGTTTATTCATACTAGCAACTGTGCCAAATACTTCTTGCATATCATCTCATTTAATTTTCACAACAATTGCATGAGGTATGTGTTCTTAATAGTCTTATTTTTATACAAATGAGTAAGCAGGCTTAGAGAGGTAAAGGGACTAATCTAGTGCACAGCTACAGGATTGAAATACAGCTCGATTTATTACTTATAATATGAATCATACGGCTAATAGTAAAAGAGAGGGTACTAGATAAGCTGAATATGAAACTCCTCTCAATTTCTGGAGACCTATATTTCCAGGGCTGAGAGCCTAGAACACTCTGTGAGCATTAAGTTTGCCCTTAAAAAAGTAGAGATTAAAAAAAAATAATAGAGGATAGCAGACCATCTTTCAGGGAAAATATTTCATAGGGTAGCAATTGTCCAAATGGAGAAAAAAATACATCACTTAATGTGGTTTATAAAAGTCCACAGCGTTCTCTCTTAAAGGCAACAGGGTATTTTTGCTATGAGGATGCCAAGTTCAGCAGTCTCTGTGGCTTGCTGTTTACTGATATTTGATATGCTTCAACATCTGTTGCCCTTCTCGATTGACGGGTGCTTCATTTTAGCACTTCTCTGATGCCAGGCTTGTAAAAAGCTTTAGTACTGAGGTACTATGAGACACTCCTAGGTCAGTAACACAGCTTTGTTTGCAAAGCTGGCCAAGGGAAGGAATATTCATGGAAAAAGGTGAAGGGACATGCTATCTCTCTACCAAACTGGGTATTCTTGGTTCTATCACTGAGTCAAGTGACATCTCCAAAAAGCTATAAACCCAGCCTATCCTAGACCCGAAGTCAGGTTTCAATGTTATGATCTGGGCTCTCAGCAAGGTGGTATATAATGAATTCTGCCTTCTTCTATAAGAGTTCCATGGAAGGATTTCTAAGTTCATTTTTAAAGAAATAATGATTTTAGAATTTGGTATAAGGAAAAATGTGGTCTCTTTCAAAGAATTGGTATAATTCTTTGACTCCATATGACTTGACACTTTTCCCAGTTTTGCCTTGGTTGCCTGAAGTTCAGTCAAAGTAACCCCCTAGGGGATTGCTTGAACAGGTGTTTGAGGCTGCAGTGAGCCATGATTATGTCACTGCGCTCCAGCCTGGGCAATAGAGCGAGACCTCATTTAAAAAAAAATAATAATAACTGCCTAGTCCAGATCAGAGACCCATAGATAAGCCAGATCTGTCCCATAGATATTTGGTGTGGCACTCACCAATCCAGAATTAAAACAATCTGATTTTCAACATTCTTTGGCAGTACTTTGAATACAAATATTAATACTAATACTTTTCTAGTACTTTTCTCCTACCTGATACAGAATCAAATCACCTTGTCCTTTGCTGGTATCTTCCCATGTTTATATGTATATATATGTGTATTTTCCTCTTTTTACATCATTTCTAACTTATGAGTTTTATTCCAGTAACTATTTAGTCACTTATTGTAAGCTTTCTTAAATCCTTTATGGAAGCAGAGTATGAATGACAAATAAATTATTCTGTTCACTAATCAAAACTGCCAAGATCAGTGCAGCAGCTGCATTCCTACTGCATCCTAGGGCTAATGCTCCCTGGTGAGTCACTTGTGCCTGCTCTACCTGCCCCACCTGTCAAAGGGTCACCACAGCTGTAGGCTCTGCCCCACCATTCCCTCAAGCAGAAGGAAATAACTTCTTCCTCAGTAGTGAGAGAGAGGTCCGGACATCCTTGAGAAGCGTCTACCCTATTTCTAGCATGTGACATGCAAACCTAGCTATAGGTGCCCTCCAAAGCACAGGGCTGTGGGGGATACGCAGAGGGCAGGGCTGGAGCCAGACCACTTGAGTTTAAACCATCGTTCTGCCACTAACCATCTAGATGACCTTAGGCGAGATTTTCAATAGCTTGGTGCCTCAATTTCTTGCTTAATAGAGTGGCACAATGATGCCACCTACCTCATAGGGTTGTGGTGAAGATCAAATGAACACAGGGAATGATAATAGTACTTTTCTGCTGAATAGGCATTGTGCTAAATGTGCTTTCATTCACAGAATCTTTGCAGAAACTCAATGGGGTCAGTTAATATGGAACTGAGATCAGAGAAATTAAGTAGCTTGCCCAGCCAGGTGTGTTCACACAGCTAGCAAGCCGAGGAGATGGCATCACCGTGAGGTTCAGCAAGGTGACTTAGAGGGCTACTTTCTGCTGCTCCATTTGATTTCATCTTACCCAGCCTGTGATGGACTCAGCTCACTTACTCTTTCTACTCCTCACCCCACATACTTGGCAGGTAGTTGCTAACATATCATGAGACTGAGGATCCAGATGTTATTACTAATATTTACTATGTTGAGCTGAAATGGAGAGAGATTTGTCCTGGGTTGAGGCCCAAGCTCCTTCTTCCGCTTTCAGAGGAGGCACTATGCTGCAAAGATGAGGAGCATAGGCCTGGGGGGTCCCACGGTACCCTGAGTTCTAGCTCCGTCACCAGCCAAAGGTTGCCTCTTCTGGAAGACTTTCCCAGCCCTCTTAAGACAGTGGAAGTCACTCCTCAAATGCTCCATCATTCCATTGCAGAGTAATTGCAATGGAATCTTTCACAGGTGAGGCCTCTGAGACACAGAGAAACTAAGTAACTCACCCAAGGTAAGTGGCTGAGCCAAGATTTGAGTCCAAGGAAATAGTCTTTGCCATTACACCTTAGACTTTTTCATAACTGTATCCATCTGTGCCCAACCTCCCGCCACCAGTAGACTGGGAATTCCTTGGGTACCGACATTGTGTCTAATTCTTCCTTGCCCTGCTACTGTCTAAGGCTGTTCCCGTCACATGCAGGCTTGTGCTGATGAGCCTTGGCTTAAAAAATGAAATGGCCATCGAGGCCCCTACACATGACTTTTCCAGATCTAGTCCACTGTCATCTGTCAGCCCAACTATCACAGCCCACCCAATCTCCAGCAGCAGAGGAGAGCAGAAAATGCATCCTGGTATCACAGGAAGGACCTGAGTAAAAGGTGCATTAATGGGGGCAAAAACAAGCCAGCAGAGTGATTAATTTGGCTTCCCCTTCAATATTCTGTTTATACAAGTTCATTATATAGCACTTAATTACTAATTTGCCCTACTTAAACCAAGAGTGCTTTTAATTTTTAATGAGATAAGGGAAGAAGATGCCTTTACTTAGTAAGGAGCAGCTATTTTATTTCCTTCTCTTGTTTTGCCCAGCCAATTAATAACATTTCTAAGGAAATGCATCCCTCTCATGAATTCTTTCTCCCTATCTTCTTCCTGACCTCCCAGGTTTAAAAAGAGATGGCAACAGACAACAGCCACTTAGAAACAAACTGAATTCATCTCTGACCTGGCTGGCTGGGCTGGACAAGGCCTTGTAACGTGGAGTAACATCGTATTCACAAACAGTGCCATCTGATTTGGGGGGAGCTGGGTTTTATCTATTCCCAGGAATCATGCATAGCATATGTATACAGAACATAGTCATAGGTCTCCATATAAGGCAATCCCCCAACAACCCTGCTTTATTTCTTGGTGTTAATGTCAGATAATTTTAAGCACAGTCCTGGGATAGCCTACAAACAGTGAGGGGCATGGACTTTGGAGTAAGATCTGAATTTGAGTGCTGGCTCTCTCACTTGCTAGACCACAGGCACATTACTTAAACTTTCTGGCCCTGTTTCTTGTCTGTAAAGATGAAGTGAATAATCTAACTTGCAAGAATTAAATGTCATCTAAAGTACCTTAGCACAGTGCCAGGCTCAGGGTAGGTACAGAAAAATACTCGTTATTCTTCTCTTTAGCAGAAGTTAAGGTAGGAAAATCAAAACAAGGAAAGGGATTCCAGCGTTTTTATCATTACCTACAGAGCAAGGAATCTAGTTTAGTGCTATTCAAAGGGCCCATCTGTGGTGAAAGGAGTTGGCCCCAGGATGTAAGCCAGCACACCGGTTCCTTCATTGAGAACATCTTGCTATGAATAAAATGACAGCTGAACTAAACAGTACACTTGGTGACATAATTGATTTACATTCTGATGCAAGTTCCTTGTTTCATAGCAAATCTGAACAAACCATTTAGAGACTGCCCTCTAGTCTGCAGACCGCTCTGAATAGTCCAGGGTGGGTGACTCAGTTGAATGTCTCCAAGTGCTTCTGAAGATTCCTTCCCACCCTCCTCTGAGCTTAGAGATGTGGCCTTCTACAGAATACATCAACAGGTTCCCTTGCTCTCTGATTCTGATTCCAGCCAATGGTGAGGCAGGCAGGAGATTAGAGAGAGGGAGAATAGGGTTAACAGTGCAGCCCTTTTCTTCCAGGGTCACTGTGCAGTCTCCACACAGCCCTCTGTTCTGGGCATCCAGTAACTGCACTTTTCCCTCGCCTCTACAGGCCCAGCTGTTACAAACCCGAGGGTCACATTCTCCCTGTGATTTCTCTATGTCTCTATGACTGCAATTTTGTAAACAGTCCCTCTTTTAAACCCTCTCAAATTACTCAAATTTGAGGGTGCCCTCTGTTTACCTGTGAGGACACTAACATTTACCAAAGGGATATTTTGATATACATTTAAATTCTTGTCATCTATTTCTGATACTAGTTTTTAAAGTAATGGTAATCACTTAGCCCCATAAGAATCCATTTCCACTTGTGGCTGAGCTGAACAGTCTTTGGTTTGGGAATCCCAGGCTAGTACTTGGATTCTGCCTCTCTCACTTTCTAGCCATTGGCTTTGGTAACTCACTTACTCTCTCTAACCCTGTTTCCTCATTTGTAAAATTATTATAATATTATAGAAAATGTCTTTATATACAATTTTTCATATGGTGTAACTTTTTAAAATGTTCAAATTTCTTTGAAATGCATACAATTAAATACATGCTACTCAAGATTCTGATCCCACGCTAGTTTTTTATGGTTCACTGCAGAGGATCAAATACCTCTGTTAGGAAACTATAATTATGATTTCTTTTGTTTTCTTCTGCATATTCTTGATCATCTGCCTAAATGCTGCAACTGAAACTCTTTTAAGACACTGTACCTTCCACACTCTGAATCGAACCTCAAACTTTTTCTAGTAGTATGTATGTGTGTGTGTGTGTGCATGTGTGTGTGTGTGTGTGTGTATTTTTCAAGGCAATTTTCCCCATCACAGAATATTACTGATTTAACTAAAAGCCTTGTCTTTCCTGATCTCTCATTTGAATATTATACAGCATGGATTTCATTGCTATTCATGAGTTATTTTAGTGTAAAGAAAAAAAACCTATTTCTAGTTTATTCCAACAAGAATGTTTACAATAAAAAGTAAAGGCATAAATAGTAATTAGAGTGAGGAATTAATTACTTACAGGCACGTCTTTCTATGAGATAAATCTTACACATTTTTGTTTAGGTTTACACCAGTATGAAATGCCATCTTGAACAAAATCAAGTCAAACAGGTAAACCTTATTATAGAAAGAGAGTTCTGTAATCCTTCAAAGTTTCTAAGAACTTAGTAGATGTTTAGCCCTTGGTTGCTTTTATAAAAGCCCAATTCTTACATTCCTGAATAAAAATTGTGGGGGGAGGTGAGAGAGATATTTGGGAAAATGCGTTTTGTTAGCCTAAACCTTTGTGTTAATAACAATAGCATTTAAGTATCTTTTAATTCAAGTTATTTTAATCTATTAAAGTATTCCTTAATCTATTGTACTTCATTATTGAAGTATCTTTTAATTCATGTTCTTAATTAAAGTGCTTTTTATATCTACCTAAAGTGCTTCTTTTATCTACCTTTTTATAGCTACAAAAAGTAAACAGGCATATATTATGATTAAAAGCAAACAAGTAGAGCAAAATAATACTGGTGAGTATGGTCATTCTCTGGGGAAATGAATTAGAATATTTCCATGCCAAAGAGGGCACCCTGCTTATTTTTATTTCTGTGTTGGACACTCAACCAAGCAATGATGACAAATACATAATGCTATTTTTTATAAACGATACCACCTTGTGAGAGGTGTCTCAGTTGCCATAGTGTACTTCCCTAGCAATGTATATGTATCTACAGGATATGGTCTGATGGAATACAAAGAGCGTGGGCTTTGTATTAAACAAGTTATACAACATTTCTGAGCTTCAGAGTCCTCATCTGCACAAAGATTGCTGCTACCAACCACTGGGTTGCTTCAAGGGGTCTATGAAATGACAATGGATGGAAAGTAACAGGTCCTGTTCTTGGATCACTCTGTAAGGAACAAGAGAGTCAAATGATGTGTATCTTATATTGAAATAATTTCCTTAAAAAATTACAATTTTCAGCTAATGTTTTGACTTTTATACCCATGGTATCATTCTGCAAACTGGATTGAAACCAGAGGTTTTATAATTAATCAGAACCTGATCTATTTTTGTTTTATTCTATTTTTTTTTTTTTTCTGGAGGGGTCGAAAAAACTCTTAAAAAAAAAAAAAAAGAATGTATTGTTAACCAGGTGTGGCAATAAGAATAATGAATGTTAGGGCCAACTTCATATTCTTAATTGAATTCTTCTTTCAATTATTAATTATTATACCATTCCAAAGTTTTCTGTTGACTTTCTGAGGGACACTGACATATGGGACAGGATACTCAGAAAATTCAATCAGTAATCTGAATCTATTTAATTAGGAATCAGAATCTCATCCAGAAACACATGCTTAAGCAGCAAAGGGCAAAAGGCTACTAAAAAAAAAAGCTGATAATATCAGGACCATATGTGAAATAAGTAGGATTATAAGAGGCCTGGGGATGAAAGCTAAATAGAACTAAAATGGAACTAAAATCCATGGCAAGAGATTCCTTATATACAAGAAATGTAAACCCTGAGTTTTCAGACACTACTGATGGGAGTATAAATTATTACTATGTATCAGAACCCTAAATGCTGGGCACACTTTTTGCCTGAACAATTATATGCCTCTAATTTTATTTTATAGAGATAATTTAGGATGTGTGCAAACATTTAGTAACAGAGATGTCAGTTGCAGCATTCTTTAAAACAATGGAGAAAACCTAAATATTCAAGTCTGGAGGACTGGTGAAATAAGCTATAATATATTCTATTAGGTAGAAAATTATGCAGCCTACAAAAATGATAAATAAAGAAGTTTACTACATATTTTTGAGTATAGGAAAAAGGTCTAAAAAGATAAAACTTTATGCATTGTATAATACATTTTGTAATTTAAAAGTATAAAATGATTTTAAAATATGTACAAAAAGACTAAGAGAATAGAAACCATAATATTAAATAGTTAATAAGTAAATAATTTAAAATAGGTTATTTTAGGATAACAAGATCAATGTTTTCATATTTTCACTCATCTTAATTAAATTTTCTTATTTTTGTCCCCAATGAACATGAAATGTTAGTATTCCAGACAAAGAAAAAAATGCAAGTAAACTAAATTGAATGCACCGAGAAATGGGATGGTTTCATACTTCTGAACATCTACGGTATTTCAGTTTTTTCTAACCTCTGGAAACTAAAATAATGATAATCAGCTTTATTTTGCAAATAGCAAAACTGTTATTTATCGTGACAGAAAGCCAAATAGAGCTAAAAAAAAAAATCACAGAAAGTTGACTCTTACAAAATAAAATAGAATGGGAGACATGTTATATACAAAAATCATAGGCTCTGAAATGCATAACAGGTGATGAGTATAACTGGCCCTAAATGAAGTGAATTTCATGAAAAAGAACAGAAGTAGAGGTTTCAGCTAAGCAATGAGGATGTTTGCAAGGAATGACCTCAAGGGTAGACCACTGCGGTCAGCATGGATGGTTTATCTTGTGGGCACACATTACAGAAAGGGTGAGTAATCACAGCTCTCAACTGGCCACTTACATGTATTGGTCTTGAAGACACAGGAGTCTGTCTGGAACGTGACAGGGAAAGTTGATGGTGAGAGTGCATGGAGTCAGTGGTTTACAGGGGTGGCAACACTCACACAGTGGGAGGAAGGAAGGTCTGTGATTAATTGGCTGATTCCAAGGGCTTATTTTCTTTACACTGGTACTCCCCTTAAAATGACTGCTGAATGCATTTTGATCTCTTGTCACTGTCTCCTTTTACTGATTTTTGCTTCAGATGCTTCCTCCACTCCTTTTTTTCAAGGGTGGGGGGTGGTGGTTCAAGACAAATAGCACTGCTGGAATTAAAGCTTGTTTTGTCTAAATAGACTTGAATAAAAACTGCCCCTGAAGATAAGAAATTACAGAAAGCTAATGACATCTGCAGGGGGCCTGAAGGAAACAGAAAGTGGAGAGCCATTTCATGTTGCTGTCTCTTTGCCATTTGATTGAGTTTTCTCTCACAACGACTTGAAACTGCTTCTTGTTTTATTTATTTGTCCTTGTATTTCTTAGAATCTTTTAACTGTCTGTGCTTAGAAAGTGTAAGCATAGTGATATTTCATAAACTTAGTTTTTTTCCAGTTTATTGATTTTCCAGGACCTGGGAGCCTAGAGAAGTGTTATGGAACACTCTCAGCTTCTAATTATAATTATTTGTTTTCCAAGATATTCAGAATTACAGAGGATCATTTTGTACTCTACTGATGATGGGGGAGGGATCAAGTAGAAAGGTCACAGAGGTCAAGACTGCAGGGATTCCACATTCCTAAGAGTAAAGGGAGGGGAAGTGAACTGCCTTCTTTGTGTCCCCTCCCACTTATTCAATAGCTAAATTTTTACTGTGAGAGCAGCATATCTGTGGCTTGATTCCATATTTTTCATTAAACCGCAGATATAAAGCTGATCATGATTTGCCTTCAAGAATACTTGTCCACAAGGAGACTGTTCTCTTTAGTAAAGACACAGTTTTGAAAACTACTAAAAGGAAAACACCCTTTCTAAAGAGGGGCAACTCTTTAAGATAGTATTAGTCATTGTATTCTTTAGAATGAACGAATGGCTATGTCAGTATCCTTTGTGAGATCCGAATTTGACAAAGAAATAGTAAGAAGACTTTAGATGTCTAAAGGGAGAGAGAGAGCAGGAAAGGACAAGGGAAGAGAGACAGAGACAAACTAAGAGAAGGAGAATCTGAATGGATAAAAGAACAAAAGAAGGAAGCTAGGAATTGTCAGCATGTTTCAAAATTTGCAATATCAATAGATCTTGTTGTTGGCCAATCTTTCATTAAGGGCCCACCAGAATATTCCATCCAGTCTCCCTTCCCCTGATAAAATTCTCCCAGAATTGAGATACACAGAGTCTACAAAAGCTACAAGTAAAATCTACAGCTGTGGATCCATTGGTATCACCCAAGAAAGGTATAGGACTCTACCCCCGGCTGAAAATCATCCATTCAGGGGCCTATGAAAACCCTGTCTCCTCAAGCACATAAAAGTTTTTCCTACCTCTACTGTCTGGGTCCTCTGGATTCTTCCCAGCCTTCCCAGCATCTGAAGGAGGTGACTCTGGTTGAGTCTACCAAAATTGGCCTATCTAGATAAGAAGTGAAATCCTCCATCTAACCACCAGATGTGTGGTCCATGAGAAGATAAAACATCTGACTTGCTGGAATAGTTGAGGTGCTGGCAGGAATTGCTCAACTTTCTTAAGGAGGGGAAGGCAGGTACCCTGCAAACCAAGCCAGGGTCCCTGAAGTTCAAAGAAAAGACTGTGTTGAAGTTCAGGTTGAAAATATGAATCACAGAAAGAAAGCAATTCAATTTTGCCTCACCTTGCCAGAATCTGAAGCTGGTCCTCAGACCTGGGGCACAAAGGTTGGCCCCTCTTCTTTGGAGGGGAGCAAATGACGCCAAGTCTACATGCATTTTCATTTCCAAAGCAGTTCCAAATATTTTATCATTCTAATGATATTGATTACACCTGAGAGGTCACTGGAACTTTCAAAGGCTCTTTATCTCGATAGTCCCATATGGGTGGCAATTCTTATTTAAACATTAAAAAAAATACATAAAACAGACAAATAAAACAAGCACCCAGAGAGAACAAGTGACATCGTCTGAGGACAGTAAAGCAAGCACAGAGCTCCAGACTATGGGGAGTCTGTCAGGTAAGTGATGACAGATAAGACCTCAGGACTCTCTCAGCTGGTGGCTCCCTTTACTAGATTGTGTCTCCTGAAAACGATCAGGACAGGCACACACATCCTTGGGTTGAATAGGAGACATGAGCTTGTCTTTACAATGCTGTGAGCCTTGCAGCTGCTACTCAAGTCATCAGTTCCAAATCTGATCTACTATATCTTAGATTCTGTTACAGAAGACTAACAGCAAATCTCATGTAGTCAAGATGTCAGTGTGGAATTAAGCTCAGTTTCCCATTAGGGGAAGATGTGAGTGGAATTCCTTTGGAGCTGGAGATCCCAGTTTTGAATAAGATATCAATGAAGCCATGAGTCATGGTATGATGTATCTAGTATAGCAGCCTCATCTTGAAAGGCTATTCTCTGTTTGAGCTACAGACTATCTCCTGATTTGTGACCTATGGCATTTCTTTTCAGAAAATACACCACTGAACACTTAAGAAGCCAGAAAATATTTTTAAAGAAAAAACAAATCGAACAAATTAGAAAAAGAATGACAGGATAAGATATAGACCCAGAGAGACCTTCATTTCAATTCTGCTTCTGCCCTTTCTGTGTAGCCTTGGACAAATTACTTAAAACATCTCTGAAGCTTGGCTTCCTATCACAGAAGGATAAAAACACGCATCCTGCAAGCAGGATGACTGTCAAGATTAAATGAGGTGTCTTATCTCAGGCTACTATAACAAAATGCCATAGACTGGGTAAACAACAGAAATCTATGTTCTCACAGTTCTGGAGGCTCAAAGTCTGAGATCAGGGTGCCAGCAATGTCAGGGTCTCGTGGGAGCCCTCTTTTGGCCTATAGAAATGGACTTCTTGCTGTGTCCTCACATGGCAGAGAGAACAAGCCAGCTCTCTGGTGTCTTTGTATAAGGGCCCATCAGACCATCATAACCCATCAGACTAGGCTCCTGCCCTCATGATTTCATCTAACCCTAATTAGCTCCCAAAGACCCACCTCCATATACCATCACATTGAGGGTCAGGGCAAATTTTGCAGGAATACAAATATTCAGTTCACAACACAGGGTAACCTCTGCAGAACCTTAGTAAGCATCCCCCCTGTTTTAACTATTATAATTTGCCGCAGGAAGGGCAAGATATTTAATTGTGAGAACATCTCCGTCAGCTGATACACTAAAATAATAATTGACAATTCATTGATATTTCAACAACAAATATCTCCATGTGCTATTTTTGAGAAAGGACGAGACTATCCAGAAAAAGTCGAGAACTGAACTATACCACCTTTGTTTAAAGACTCACTCAGAATCCACAAGAATTCATGAGTGGATTTAATTCCTTGTGAGGGAGATTTCACAGTCATTAGTTTCAGAGGCTTGGATAGTGTGTAGTGTACCACATTTTCCAAAATGCAGTACAAACAGCATCACACTTTTACATCTGTCTGTTCCCAATAGTGTACCCTTAAATTTTGGATCTCTATGGCCCAATCTCTGTGGCTCATGAAGCATTGTTATAGGTATTAGGAAGATTATACAAAAAGCACCTAGCATAGTGTCTGGAACATAAGAGGTTCACAATAAACAAAGCTCTAATTACTGAGCTACTAGATACCTGGCTTGTAGTCCTAAGCTTGAGACCATGGGCAAGTCATTTGGACTCTGCTGCTTTGCTGAACAAATATCTCTTGAACGTTCAGTTGAGAAGTGGGAGCCAGACTTCTTGATTCTGGCATTTACTAGCTGTTTCATTTAGGCCAAGTTATTTAACTTCTTTATGCCTCAGGTTCCTCAACTATAAAATGGGGATAATAGAGCTATTGCAGGGACTAAATGAGCATGCTTGACACACAGAACTCACGATGCGCTGTCAATTACTATTACAGATAAAGGAGTGGAAGTACAGAGAAGACTGTTTAGGCCACAAGAGCTGGTAGGTAATCAAGCTAGGATTTGAGCCCAGGTGGTCTAATGCCAGAGCCTGTATGCTCTTAGCTTCCATACCACATTCATTGTTTACCTTGTATTATTTTAGCACTCAAAACCTCTCCACAAAGCCCCATGTGTGCAAGGTCTTTCGCAATTTGGTGGGAGGAAAAGTTTTCCCTCTCACCAGAAACTAGTATGTTTCCTCTTTTTGAAAGTAAGAATTATGCAATTTATCATGTGTTCTTTTTTGTCTTGCCTGCCAGGAAGCTCTGAGCCAAATTATGTGTTTAATCACAGCCACCAAATTGTTTCCTTCTTCCTATATCTTTGTTCCTTATTTTCCCTTTTAATTCCTTTTTTATTTCATACTGACAGTTTCATTTGTGTCTCTTGTTGATAGAGGCCTTCAAGGTATTTAGAAAATGGTGAGGTTGACATAAGCAAATAAAAATCTGAAATACACATGAAACACTGAAGTTTTGAGCCTTACCTGTTTCATGTGCTCAAAGAAAAGTGGTCAAGGGGAAATTTAAAAGGAATAATTTAAAAGGTATTTTAAAGAAGAAAGAAAAAAAACAACTGAAAAACAGAACGACCAACACGAACCGAGGCCAAGTCAAATGAAAACTGCAATAAATATGTCTGAGGCTAGAAGTGTTTGTGCTTTCCCTGGCTGGAACCTATCATTTCTTAATTATATCCTGTGTGTATTTTGTAAAATGCGAGCTGCTGTCAAGAGGAAGGATGGCCTCAGACAGGGGAGGAGCCACAGCCCACCCCCTGGTCTTCACATACCTGTACAGAAGCGAAATCCCCTGAGGCACAGGCACCCAGAACAGCAGCACCCACAAGAACGGACTCCACCTCTTGCGACAGGACCACAGGCATGCCTGCGCAGGACAAGGCCACACCTTGGTTAGGGAGCAGAGCCAGGGGAGTGTGAGGAGCCAACAAGCAGCCGCAGTGGCAAAAACACCTGACATCAGGGCAGCAGCAGGCCCCCCGCCCGACTCCCTGCAGTCCTCCCTTCTTTATTCCTTGGGATTATTTGGTTCTAAAAGATTTCACTGCCTGTGCCTGCTGGTGCAGTAGCCAAGAGCCCAAGGGAACCAACACCATATATATCAACTCACGAGACCTCAGTGCCCAGGTTTTTCAGGCTTCTGCAAGCTGCTACCTGCCATTTGATTCAAGTTCAGATCCACTGATGTTTATTAAGCGCTCTGCTGGCCGAGGGAATACTGAGATGAATCGGACTGTGCCCTGCTATTCAGGTTTCAGAGGGAAATGGATGAGAGAGATGAAGGCTACGGAGGGGGTTGGTTCTCTAACTGAGATGTGCTAAGGGAAAGGAGATAGCAAGAGAGGGTGTGATTCATCCCTCCAGGGGCTTCTCCCCTCTCTCAGGGTGCATGCCACAGCCCTTACAGTGGCTGACAAGGGGCTCTCCCTCCCAGATCTGGCCCCACTTCTCCCTCTCTGATATCCTCCTCTTCTCCTTCCAGCCACGTAGTCCTGGCCTCCTTGCTGCTTCCTGAGTGTGCCTCGGGGCCCTTACCCATGCTGTTCCCTGTCTGGAACACTTCCTCCTAGATGCCCACATGCTAATTGCCGGCCCATCCTTCAAGTGTTTCCGCAAACATCACCTTCCTACTGAGCTTTCCCTGGCCATCAGATTTAAAATTACAACTTCCCTCAACACTCCTTACCCCCTTAACTGCTTCATCCCACCTTCCAACATTGTATTTTACTTACTTATCTTGTTTAATGTCTGTCTCCCCTCCAAAAACTTAAGCTACTTGAGGGTAGGGACTCTGTTTTGACTACTGCGGAATCCCTGGCATTTAGACCAGTATCTAGCACATGGTAAGTGACTGAATGATGAGTCACTTACATTTCTGGGGTAGCGGTCATCACAGATTACGGTGGAGATGAGGCTTAAACAGGCATCTGAAGGGTGAGCAGGAGTCCACCAGGCAGGGAGGAGCCCTCCATATGCCAATGCCCAGAGGTTGAGGGTTCATGGTAGGTTTAAGATTAACAGAAATAATTTAGGATTCTTAGGTCTATAATGTATAGATTAGTCTGCTAATCGGGAGATGGCAGCAAACTTTACAGAGGTAAACTTGTGGTGTAAAAACTGTCTTCTACTCAAGCCATAAGAGTTATTTTCCCAAAGCCTAGATTTCTTTTCCTATCTTGTCTGAGAAGACACTCTCTCTACATCCCATTACTTCCCCACTCAATTCTTTCCTCCAGCTACCCAGAGAAAAAGGGCAGGGGAGTAAATTCCCACAGACACCCCAGAGAATTTAGGAATACCAGCTCTCAACTGGGCCAGGACTTAAGACATTGCCAACATGGTGTCAGGTGGGGTGGGAATGCTGGGAGAAGCTCAGACCTGAGTTTATTTCCTGGTTCCACTAGCTCTGTGTCCAGTAAGTCACTTACACTCTTTAAGCCTTGGTTCCCAAATGCAAATGGGGATCATCCCAAATGTAAAATGGGGATGATGATAAGATGTACCACACAGGTGTGTTGTGAGGCTTAATGAGAGGGCACACACTTGGTGCTTAGCATATTTCCTGGCCTACAGTAAGCCCTGGAGAAATGATGGCTGCTACTGTTAGAATTCAGGTAGATGGCAAGTGAAGCCTCTATGCATGTACTAGACCTGGACTAAAAACTGGATAAGTGGGGAAGGGACAATAAAGGTTCCCATCAACCATCCAGAGGGGAAGGACAGATGCCAGGCCACACTACAGGGCTGTGCTGACACCAGCAGGAGAGAGCACTGCAAGCCGTTGAAGAATCCTAGGAATGATACAGATGGGTGTGCGACTATGACCATCAAGCCTTCTCTATGGACCTGGGACGTTTTTGAAGACAGTGCCTCCAAACACCATTCACTTCCCGGGCCTTCCTACCCTGCCAAAAGCTCCCTGAGTTGTGAGCAGGGAGGAACTACTCACAGGCCCCTCCCCTTGCGAACCAGAGATGTGAGTGAACCTGGTGAATCCCCTATCAGCTCTCAAGTTGCTGCCCAAAGTGCTCTGAACCCAGACTGCCAGGGTTTGAATCCTGGCTTCCCCACTGACTTAGCTGTGTGATCCTAGGCAAGATACCTAATCTTTCCGTGCCTCAGCTTTCTCATCTGAAAAATGGGGTTAAAATTCCGCCTATCTCATAGAGTTGCTGTGAGAATTAAAACTGCTATTATAATAAGGCTCTTAAAATGGTGCTTGGCTTAGAGAAAGCACTAAATTAGCATTAGTTGTTATTCTTAAAGTTTACCTTACTTCTGAAGTCTCTCCTCACACCTGTTACCCAGGGTGAAATCAATCCACTGCTTCCATTTGCCTCTAAGACCAATCCCACCTCTTCCCTTCCTCCCTCCACCTACTCTGAGCCTGGGAGACTGGCCAGTGGGGATCACAGCTGTGGGCCCCTGCCCTCTGGTTTCATCCTTGGCTAAGCTTCTGCTGGGCTGCCCTCTTCACACATCCCACCAGGCTCAGATTGCCTGCTCCCTACCCTCACCCTTGTGAGCCCAGGGGTGGAAACACTGTTAGTATCCCAAGGTACTTCTTGGTTGTCTGGGCTTCCAGCACCCTGCCCACAGCTCTGTACACTGACTATTCAACTTCCCTCCGGTTAACCTAACTGGAGTGTGTATCTGTTCCCTGCCTGGACCTGACTGACACCGACACATTTTGTCCTCTGGGTCCCCACTCTACTCACTCTGGATATTGGTCATAAGACCAAGGGCACTTTTTCTGTGTTTTATAAAGAACCTCTTGGCTGGACATTACTGTTCTTCTTAGCATCCCTGTGCCAACCTCAGGGCTTGGCACACTGGTGTGCACAGAGAATGCTTTTGAGTGAATAAATGAAAGAACAAATAATTAAAATAATGAGTAAGACCAGAAGAGGGAAACCCCTACTGAAACTACCAGTACTAAAAAATAAAACTTAGAAGAAGGAACATTTAGTCCCAAGTCAGTGGGGGAAACTTAACAATTACTTAGTACATACCAAGTATTTCTTGAAACCACAGTTAACCAAATGACCAGGGTACAAGGAGGTTCTTCCTCCTCATGTAGACAGCATTTCCCAAGCTGGCAAGGCCCCGCTCTCCCTGCTTGTACAGAGCAGGCTGTTCTCAACATGGCAAAGATTCACTTTCAAAATAATAAGCTGCTTTTTTTTTTCCCTCAAATGCCCCTCTTTCTTTTTGGCATGGGGCTTCCTAGATGGAATAAGAGAATTGACATTTACTGATCACCTACTTGGACTAGGCACAGAGTTTGATGCTCACAAACTCGCAAGCATTTATTCCTCAGCAGTGATCTACATGAGGGAGATGATAATGTTTTTTGGTTTGTTTGTTTCAGAAGAGGGAACTGAGGCTCAGAGAGGTAAAGTAACTTGCCCAAAGTCACAGAGCTGATCTGCTTTTTCCACTGTTCCACACT
Organism: Homo sapiens; assembly: GCF_000001405.40. Taxonomy (NCBI): domain Eukaryota; kingdom Metazoa; phylum Chordata; class Mammalia; order Primates; family Hominidae; genus Homo; species Homo sapiens. Next base: position 59,670,453 of record NC_000001.11, on the reverse strand, counting down.
ATCTCCAAAAAAATCTCCCAAATTCGAATGTGTTTTTCACATGCATTTCTGAGAATCATGTTCCAGGTCTACAGTCCTCCCTAACTGTCTTTGTAGGAAAACTAGAGCAATACAATGTTTAAAGGCACCAATGACACTACCTCTATACTGGCTGCTTGTGTACGTGCCTTTTACAGGGACAAATGCAAATGTGTTCTTTTCTCTGAGTCCTGGGTGAAGGAGAGGAAGAGGGCAGCTTTGGCTGGAATGTGAACTATTTTATCTGATGCATTAATGAGTTTAGCAGAACCCAAAGCATTCAAAGGCAGATGCACTTTGCCATCACTTGTCAGTCACAGGCTTCCAAAGGCAGAGGAATTCCAGGCTAAATAAAAGGTCTCTTTGTCTGGAACTGTAACTGGTCCATAGTTAGAGACAAAAGGTCCAGTTTCAATCGGAATCCAAATAACGATTAACAGCCTTTTCATTCAACAGCCTAGAGGAGAACAGTTTCCAAAGCAGAACTTTCTGTGAAGCCGCTGCACTCCCCGCCGTGCTTCTGAGTCAGCCCAGGGATGTAGGGCCTGGAAGATGACCCATTTTCACAAAGTCCAGGGCTGCAGCGCGGAGTCAGTGCCGGGGTCACTCACAGCTAGCTGTTCTGCTCTGGGAGGCCCTGTTTCCCATTTTCTAGAGTACTGTGTTCTCCAAAGCTGACTTTCATCTTTCCTCTTGCATCCAGATAGGAAGTTTTTTGGCTATCAGAAGGCTGGAAATTGGGGCCGGGTGCGGTGGCTCATGCCTGTAATCCCAGAACTTTGGGAGGCCAAGGCGGGTGGATCACTTGAGGTCAGGAGTTCAAGACCAGCCTGGCCAACATGGTGAAACCCTGTCTCTACCAAAAAATACAAAAAAAAAAAAAAAAAAAAAAAAAGAAGTCTAGAAATTGGAATGTCACAGATCAAATTTTAAGCTTGAATGTTATCTGAACTAGCCAGCTGATTTTTAGATAAAATGTTATGGTTTTTCTCCTGAGGACAATTATAAGGCAATCTGGGCTCTTTTTATGTCTTTCCTCCTTCTGCTTTGAACGGCCCACTTCTATAGGGTTTTGGACATCTCAGGAAAGTGGCGTCATCATCAACTGGTTACAAACTTGGCAGAAAAGTCAAGAAACCTGGGTCAGCAGTACAGTACAAAGGGACGGTGGGCCCCGACACACCACAGTTACAATATTGGTCCTGCCCCATACTGGCTGTTTGACTTTAGATAGCCAATTTAATTCACCTACCCACCCATCAACTTGCTTGTCTGTAAGATGGGGGCACCGATTTCTACCTTTGGTGGTATGGGAGGATTAAGTGTCTACAGCGTGATTCACACTGACACATAGTAGGTGCTTGGTTAATGGTAATACTTTCTATACTTCACATCCCAATAGTTCTGCCCTTAGACTGTATGCTTTTTTTTTTTTTTTTTTTTTGAGATGGAGTTTTGCTCTTGTTGCCCAGGCTGGAGTGCAATGGCGCAATCTCGGCTCACTGCAACCTCCGCCTCCCAGGTTCAAGCAATTCTCCTGCCTCAGCCTCCCCAGTAGCTGGGATTACAGGCATGCGCCACCACGCCTGGCTAATTTTTTTTTTTTTGTATTTTTAGTAGAGATGGGGTTTCTCCATATTGGTCAGGCTGGTCTCGAACTCCTGACCTCAGGTGATCCGCCCACCTCGGCCTCCCAAAGTGTGGGGATCACAGGCGTGAGCCACCGTGCCCGGCTGACTGTATGCTTTTCTTACTGTCCTCAGACTTGTGTCTCAGTCTGCTTATCTCTAAGCTGGGAATAAGTGACTTACTTAGTTTCATCTCATGATGTGCAAAGATCAGTTACGTCCATCGTGTTAGACAAGGCTCTCATCTGCAGGAATCTGTGTGGCTTAGAGGGGGATGGAGGATATAATGGGGCAGGGACTTTGACCTGGCCAGAAGTCAGAGGTAAGAAAGTAGGGGATGAGGGACAGCAAAGGATAATGATAAATGGAGGTAGGGTCAAGTGGGCTCTTATCAGGCTGGAGTTGGGACTATGGGATGGGTACAACCCTTCCCCACTTTCCCTCCCCTTGCCCTGCCCTGGTGGTACCTGGCCACCCAGTGATGGGTCCTGGGAGAGAATGGGTCTCCAGTCCCCAGGAGACACTAGAGGGGCAAGGAGTAAAAGGGGTGAGGGTATCAGGTCCAGAGAGACAGAGGTCCAGGCCACTCTCTGCGACAACAGAAAGCCTCCTGCCAATGGGGCCCCTTCCTTGGGTCCTAGGGGCTTGCTAAGGATCCTTCTCCCCCACTGTCTGCTGATATCACAAAGAGCTCAGCCCATTATTTGTGATTCCCTGCATCTCTATTATGATCCCTGATTCTGATGAGCTGAGAAGGAATCACAGGATCTCAGGGTCTTAGGGCTCAAATTCCCAGTCTGCAATCATACCCACAGATCCTATAGCATCCAGCCTCTGCATTCTTTCTTCAAGACAGCTTTCTTATCACTTCTTCCAGACCACACGCCCTGAGCTGCCATTAGGTCCCAAACCAGACAAGGTGCCCCACTATGTTTCCATGATACCCCGTACTTTTCTCACGCCAAGCTTTTGCCATACTATCTTTAATATGCCTGTTTGCTGTCTCCCTTCCTCAATAGACTGTGAGTTCCTGGGTGGTGGGGAGCAAGGATCATGTCCTATTCATCTTCGTATCTTCAATATTCTCCACAATGTGTGGATCAGAAGAGGTATTCAAAACTGTTGTGTAAATGCTTGAATTAAGATCTAGTCCTGGCCAACTTCTCTCGTGTTATTTCTCACCATTATTCAATGGTTGGATATACACAGAAATCACTTTCTCCATCATGCATATAAAGACGTCATAGAAGTCACTTTCTCCATTGTGAATATAAAGACTTCAGGATTATTCTAATAATCTGGCATACCGCATATATCCTCCTATTCTCACTTCACCCAGAACTTGGCCATGCCCATTTGCTGCCAAGCCAAAAAGTGACCTTCTCTCCTCTTTCCCAGACTTACCAGTAATGTCCGCATGCATTTGCACAAAAAGGGGATTCTTGCTGAGGCCTCCACATAGGAAAAGAGTACTGATTGAGTGCCCTGCTGCCTCCATGGCTTCTATAATGAAGCGAGTCCCCAACTTGAAAGGAAAAGCAGAAGATAGCATCAGTATAGTCACAAAAGTAAACACTAGGGAACACTTCTTAAATGTCTACTCAGTGCTAGACACTGTACTAAGCTCTACATACACTATCTCAGAAAGCTGAGACTCACAGAGATTATGTTGTCTATGATCACACAGTTACTTAAATCGCAGAGTGGGAATTTCAAGTTGGGCCTGACTGATTCCAAAACCCTCTTAATTACACCATTTGCTTCTATCAGTAGTTACACAACACTGACAAAAACAGTTGACAATGTCAACACAGTTAATGGTAACATAGTTCATTCAAACAGATATTTAATGAGTGTCTACTATAGCCCAGGCCCTGTATTAGCAGTGATTGCAATAGTACTCTGAAACAGAGTCAATGGTATCTTGGTCAGTCTTCCTTTACTAAATGGGAACTAAAGGCTTTTTCCTTAGAAAAAGCACCAAAAAATCCAGCAGCAGAATCATGGAAAGAGGGCTCTAACTGCATAAAGAAGGTGAGATCCAAGGCTTCAGGGTGGCTAAGGGCTAAAATTACCGCTGCTATTGCCTGAAACCAGGTAGTGGTTCTCTAAAAGGAGACTTCTGAGCCAAATCCATTCCCTGGTTGTTTCAGGGCTTCACCATATTTTCAATTCAGCCTTGTGTCTCAGTTCTTGTGCATTAATATCTTCCTAATATGCATTATCCTCATGTCTGTCTTGCTAAGTTCATTAAACTCAGTAAAAACCATTATTGCCTTAGAGTTATGGAAGTGAATCTCAATGTAGAATTCTTCAGTTTTAGATAGGATAGTTGAACATCTGAAAAATCTTAATTTACTTGAAAGTTCAAAAACTAGAGTTCGAAAATCAAAATTTATTTGGGATAAGGACTAAAAACAAAAAGATGAACTGTGATGTGGCCATAAGGGGGCAGCCACATGGTGATGTTTGAGAAAGGGGCTCCAGAAAAAATAGAGGAAGAGGATTTTTTGGTGGGTAGCAAGTCTTTGAAATGTTTAGAGATTGAGCAATCTGGGGAGATGTCACAGTCCTAAGTGTAGACCTGGGAGTGAATTGCTAAAAAGGAGGGAAGAGAAGTCAGAAGAGATAAGAAAGTCAAGGATCTGGGAGGACAATGTGTCTCCACAGATGGCACAGCCACCAAGAAGAAGGCATGAGCCAATATCTTGGTTTTTAGTGAAAGTGTGACAGTATTGTTCAGGTTGAAACCTAGGAATGTAGTGAGGGAGAGGAGGTGTTTTAGCTGAGGGCAAGAAGAATCGGAGTTTAGCCAAGGTAAGGAATAGGGTTTTGGGCCGGGCGCGGTGGCTCACGCCTGTAATCCCAGCACTTTGGGAGGCCAAGGCGGGCGGATCATGAGGTCAGGAGATCGGGACCATCCTGGCTAATATGGTGAAACCCCATCTCTACTAAAAATACAAAAAAATAGCTGGGCGTGGTGACGGGCACCTGTAGTGCAAGCTACTTGGGAGGCTGAGGCAGGAGAATGGTGTGAACCTGGGAGGTGGAGCTTGCAGTGAGCCGAGATCACACCATTGCACTCCAGCCTGGGCAATAGAGCAACACTCCATCTCAAAAAAAAAAAAGGAACAGGGTTTTGGAAGTCAGCAGGATGCTGCCCTGACCTCACGTCTTAGGGGGGTTGGGGGTAGAGGGCAAATGGAGCCTCCTTTGACAAGGCTGTCTGGGGAGCTGTCACCCCAGGGGATGGGGGAACCTGGGGACAGGAGTGGTCAGAGGGTGATCTGGGAACCATAGGACATGAAATCCTAATTGGTTTGGCATAAATCATGAGGGACAGGGGCAGTTCAGGAGCAAAAGGCACAGCAGTTCTAGCCCAGAGGTCTTGAGGGTTTGTTGAAGCTATTCATGAATCTGGTAAAAATATGGATTAGGTAAAACCTGGGCCTCCATAAACAATCTACAGATGTAGTGTGTTTAAAAAAATTCAAACATGTTGTGCCATATAAGGCCAGATCCTACATACTAACTAGGGCTGATTATTCCCAGATGTTCTTTGTTAAGCTTTTTGGGGGGTCATGAACCCCCTTGAGAATATGCCAAAACCTACTGACCTCCCCAGAAAAAAAAAGTCACATACAAAATAGTACTATAAATAATTTCAGGAGGTCTACAGATGCCTGAAGTCCATCATGGATCATTTGATGCCTGTGGATTCTGGGCAACCCCAGTCTGCTCTAACGGCATGAATTGTAGTAGCTAAGAGCATGAGTTTTGAATTCAAAAAACCCAGGCTGGCATTTAGGCATTTCACATATTTCTTGTACCTTAACCTTTCTATAACTCAATTGCCATTTTTTTTTTTGCCATGGGAATAATAGTATCATATTCATTTAGTTAAAAATTCTATAGATTGTCAGAAATGTCAACATGCAAAAAAATTAAAAATGTGGTCTTAGGCTTGATGAAATCTAGTAATACCTACCATACAAGTCTGCTGCTGTAGGCAGCAAAGGTAAAACTTGTAGAAGTGTCCAGCTCACGAAAGGTGCATACAAGGAGAGTTCTTCTGGTTATCAACTATATGCTAGGCACTCTGCTATGCACTTTAATAGCATCTCTAATCTTAAGGCAAATGTGAAACCTGCATATTGTTTTCTCCACTTAGGAGATATATAATTTGACTAAGCAATACAGTCTGTATGGAATGGGAGAATTGCTGTCTCCTAATTTGTATGGAAATGTCAGGAAAAACTGGTATCTTTGATATTTCTAAAACCAGGGACCTAGGGGCTTGCGATTAGCAGGCCTGAGACAAGAATAAAACAAAGCACATTTCCTGGGAAAAGGAAAGAAATGATCCGAATGAGAGGCACTCCCTCGAGAGGGGCTGTGACAGACAGCCTGTCTCTCCCCCATGTGGTATTGTCGGCTGGAATTTCCCACTCAGTCTGGCGGTTCCTTAGAGGACCTTCCCTTTCGGTGTCCCAGACTCCAATCTGTGTAATACTCCACCCTACTGAAATGCCCCACCAAAGGGCTTTGTGTGAAAATGATTTTGTGCTCACCTTTCTGGAAAAAATGTTTTCACAGAGAAATTTAAATTAAAATTAGGCTATTCCACTGGGAATGTACAGAACCGAATGCAAATCAAGAGACTTCAAATGCAAATAGTACCTTTTAAGGGTCTGTTCTGCAAAGAAAACTATAGATGAACAGGCTATGGATAAACCGGGTGGTTGACAGGTCTTTCAATTAAGCATGATCAAGAGAGAATTTTACTTCATGGAGGGTTTTGCACAGTCCCAAGTTAACTTGATTACAATCCTCTTTAATTTCATTTCACCCCTACAAAACAGCACCCAAAGATATGACTATATATAGAGAGAAATTTGCTTAACTTTCAGTTGACCGACAACAAATAAGTGCTCCGGCAATATTCAGGGCTAATGAAACAACATTTTTTTTTCCCAAGTTGAACATTATGGGAAAATATCTGTTATCAGAATACCTCATTAAAATGCACATTTTTTTGCCTAAAAGATCAGCACATCCAGATACATTTGCAAAACAGACTGAACCCCTCACAATTCACTTGACTCCACAAAAAAGGCTTATTGAAAAAAATCTCTGTCTTAAAATGCCTTCCTTTCATGGTATTATAAAGGTCATTAAGACAATGGACAGAATAAATATGATAGCTTTTAATACATGTACGGCCCATTAAATACAAGATTGATTTTCCAAGTGTGTGGTACTTGAGAAAATGTAGCTGGCTTTTTTTCTTCCCCTCTCCTGCCCGCATTAAGTTTAACCTCATTTATACATTTCTGGACTTCTGCTGCAGTACTCTTACCAGGAAAGGAACCTCTGTGAGACAATCCTGGCCAAATTAATGATATTTTCTAATATATATTAAGTAAAAACGATTCTTAGGAATATCTGAAAGCTTATTTCACCCATGTAGCTTTTACAAACAGATCAAAGGAAAATGCAGCATGGTAAAGTGGAAAGAGCAGAAGCCTGGGAGTGAGATGGAGAAAGGTTCAGATTCCAACTACCATACTCTAGCTGTTTGACCTCGGCAAATGGTCCTCCCCTTGTCTGTAAAATGAGAACAAACCCACCTACTTACAGGGTTACAGTGTTAAGCTACCAGTAGGCAAGGCACCGTCTTTGGTGCCTGGCACACAGTCGTGTCTGACGAAAGGTAACTGTCATTACCACTATGTGATGGTGCCCCTTGGTCCCTCCTGTTTGCCTCATCCTTCATGTCCTCCTCTTAGCATGTGCTCAAAAGGGGGAATATCACACCACTCTGATTTTCCAAGATTATTCATTTCAATATAAGCTATTCATTCTATGACTCTTTTATACAATAACATTAACAAATCTGAAAATAAAAGTTCCTCAATACAGTCAAATGTCCTTTAACCATGGGAATACATTGTGAGAAATGCATTGTTAGGTGATTTTGTCATGCAAACATCATAGAGTGTACTTCCACAAACCTAGATGGTATAGCCTACTACATACCTAGGCTATATATAGTATGGCCTATTGCACCTGGGCTACAAACTTATACGGCATGGTATTGTACTGAATACTGTAGGCAACTGTACCACAATGGTAAATATTTGTGTATCTGAACATATCTAAACATAGAAAAGGTACAGTAAACATACAGTATCATAATCTTATAGGACCACCATCATATAGGAAGTCCCTCGTTAACCAAAACGTTATGTAGCAGATGACTGTACTTCACATGTCTAATTTTGTTTTAGAATGCTGGGGGTTCAAATCCCACCTCTGCCACAAGCTATATGGCCCTGCACAAGTTAATTAATCACACAGAGCCTTAGGTTTCTAGTTTGTGGAATAGGAATTATAATATCTACGTAGTAAGGTTAAATCAGGTGTGTGTAATGTATCTAGCACAGTGCTTGGCACATATAAAATCTCTCTCTTTTTTTTTTTTTTTTGAGATGGAGTCTCGCTCTGTGACCCAGGCTGGAGTGCAGTGGCGCGATCTCAGTTCACTGCAAGCTCCGCCTCCCGGGTTCATGCCATTCTCCTGCCTCAGCCTCCTGAGTAGCTGGGACTACAGGTGCCCGCCACCATGCCTGGCTAATTTTTGTATTTTTAGTAGAGACAGGGTTTCACCATGTTAGCCGGGATAGTCTCGATCTCCTGACCTCGTGATCTGCCCTCTTTGGCCTCCCAAAGTGCTGGGATTACAGGCGTTGAGTCACCGCGCCTGGCCTATAAAATACCTCTTAACTCGGCCAGGTGCGGTGGCTCATGCCTGTAATCCCAGCACTTTGGGAGGCCGAGACGGGTGGATCATCAGGTCAGGAGATCCAGACTATCCTGGCCAACATGGTGAAACCCCATCTCTACTAAAAATACAAAAAATCAGCTGGGCATGGTGGCATGCGCCTGTAGTCCAAGCTACTCGGGAGGCTGAGGCAGAAGAATCGCTTGAACCCAGGAGGTGGAGCTTGCAGTGAGCCAAGATCGCTCCACTCTACTCCAGCCTGGCAACAGAGCGAGACTCTGTCTCAAAACAAAAACAAAAACAAAAACAAAAACAAAAACAAAAACAAAACACCCTCTTAATTCACTCATTATTATCATCATAATCATCATTATTATTATAAAACAGGACAGCTAAATAATTATCTTTACTACTGATGCACACTTTTTTTCTCTATTTTCATCTTACTGTTCATTTCCTACATTTTTACAGATGTCAGAATTGTGTGCTTTTGACCAAGTTTCCATGCATAAAGATATTTGACTGATTTCACTGAATTGGCCAAGCTATTAAGACCAATAAGAAAATTGCTTCAGGAAGATATAGTAAAACTAGTGTAGAATCTAAAAGGGCTGTTTAATCAAGTTGACTGATTCCATACTTCTATGTAGTTGCATTAAAGAAGTTATATCCCTTCAGTATTAGTATTATTACTATCTGGGAGGTTCCATTCTTTATTGCACATACATGGTGCATGGACAAATCTGAGCATTAAAAAAGCACTTCTGTTGGTGGTGTGAATAAATATACATATAGTTTAAAGGAATAAAGTTATGAAAACAGTTGTGTGAAGAAACAGAATAATTGAATATCATATATGTACGTATAGCATTAAACATATTTGCTTAAAACAGGTGTTACTGAAAAATAAATTTTGAATTAAAATTAGATAAACTGATTTTTCCTTTCTGTTAATTCCTATTCTCTTTTCAGAAGTGGCTAAGCCTCACTGGATTAACTTAATTTCGGTTACATACCTGCTGTGAGACCCCGAACACCATGATCTACTCTCCTAAAATGCACTTTGTAATATATGCACACACACAACCTTCTGGATGTGATTTCAGGATTAGAACCCTCTTGTAGCCCATCCATAGCCACCTCTAGATAAGAAGATTCTTTAGACAATGGTTAAGCTTTTAGGATTTCATTTCCATTTTTGATTTATCTTTAGTGTAGAAACTCCTAACATTTCAGATTTAAATTCCCCTCTTCCTCCCTAATCATCCTAACCTCACTTAAGCAGCTAATTATCTAAAAACAAACACTTTCATGTTCTAAGGAAGCTTACTATTTAAAGGACCCCTATCATGAATCCTTTTGCAAAGTGAACAATATAATGTATTTTATAAATCAGACATTCTTAACAACTTTTCTTAATGCAAGCATACATAGCATCTGTTTGCTTGCTTCTATTTAATTAAATTTAGAAGACAAATTAGATAAATGACAAGTATAATCTTCACAGATTTTAACTCCTTTCAGCTTTTTGTTATGTGAGGTTATTAGTTAAAGCAGGTGAGGCCTTTCATCAACACTTCCTTCCAGACATACAAGAATCTCTTTTTTGCAAACAATCTTTTAATTAAGAATCTCTGTCACAAAAGCATGTGCTGTATCTTGGGGAGCCAGTGGCCTAGAGTATACTGATGGCTCTAAGTCTCTTTAAAAATGGCATTACAGTATCTTACAGCAATGGCTTGAACTGTGGCCAGGTAGAGAATGGCAAGATCATCAAGGTCCTGAGACAGTTTCAATCCGGTGACCTGCAGGCATGAAGGGAAGAAAAGAAGAAGATGGTCAAAAGAAGCTGCCGTGGATAAAGATAGTTCCCATGAAATACGTTCAGATGTGTTTTCTTGCCGAAACAAGTTCATATGCAAATCCCCTTTTTGTGAGCGGAACGTGAAATGCCTATTAAGTTGTTTAATCTCCAGACCTGGGAAAAACTATCCCTTCCTCCCCAAGAGAAAATACCCTGACCTTAAACAAAAACAAAACAAATACCACAGGAAGATTATGTTTGATATTTCTTAGACGATAATTAAATACTTTTTATTTTAAAACATTTTCTTTTCTTACAAATACCTATTTTCTGTGGCTTACAAGAAATCAACACTAACAGTGGCATTCTAGTACAAGATGATCTTGTTTTGAGTTCTGCTACTGTCAGACTTCAGTGTAACAGCATTCAGTGTCCAATCCAGGGTAATATAATATGTCTCCTACAAATATTATACCTACTAGGGGATAACTTAGAATCTGTGGGTTGCAAGGGGATCCCATTAAAGTCAATCAGAATCGGATGTTTATATGGAGTATGTCAATCTCTGAGAGAGTCCAGAACTGAACAGGATGCCGGATTTGTATGCCATCAGGACTTGCTCACAGTCCTGCTTTCATGTCTCCCACTCATCAAGGTGTTCTCTTGGGACATTTCTAAAGGGTGAGGGCTGCTGGGTTCTTCAAGCCGAGCCCAACTTTTGTGGGCATCAGCACCATAGTTCACTTTAGATTATCACATTATAAAATTAATTCACCAACATTCATTTACTCAGTTCCTATGGTGTGTGTTGTCCTGAGCTCAACCAGGTATGGACATGCGGTTTGCATCAAAATAAGGGAGCTGAGTGGTCTACCTAGGTCCCTTCCTTCATATTCTCTGGCCCCATTTAATTACTCTCTCCAGATTTCACCCTGAACCCCACTGCAATTGGCTTATGACAGTGCACAGGCACCATTCAGTTACCCAAACCAGGAAACTTGGGAACCCTCTTTTTTTTGAGACAGAGTCTTGCTTTGTCTCCCAGGCTGGAGTGCAGTGGTGTGATCTTGGCTCACTGCAACCTCCACCTCCTGGGTTCAAGCAGTTCTGCTGCCTCAGCCTCCCCAGTAGCTGGAATTACAGATGTATACCACCACATCTGGCTAATTTTTTTGTATTTTTAGTAGCCAGGCTGGTCTCAAACTCCTGACCTCATATGATACACCTGCCTTGGCTTCCCAAAGTGCTGGGATTACAGTTGTGAACCACTGCGCCTGGCCAGAAGCCATCTTTCTTGACCTCCCCTGTCTTCCCATATTTAAGCAGTCTCAAAGTTTTGTACATTTGATCTCCCAAATCTCTTTTGAATGCATCTCCTTTTCTTGATCCTTACTGTCATTCACTTCCTTAATTCAAGCCACCATTATGTCCTTCCTAATTGCTGACAGAGGCCCTGAGCAAATCTCACTGTTTCTAATTGTGCTCCTTTCCATACTAGAGCTAGATCGACTGTTCTTAAATGCAAATCTGATCGTGTTACTCCCTGTAAAACGTTCTCCCCATTGCCCTCATTTCACAGTAGAAATGCGTTCACTGTCTCATGTGCTTCTTCCTGGGCTCGCCCTTGCTTCTTCTCCAGTGTTTACTCTTGTCCCTCCTCACTCTGTATCCTATGCTCCAGCTATGCTGAATTATTTATCTAAGTCTGTTGATGCGGGGATTCCTACATTCAGTAGAGCTACCTGCTGACAGTTTTTCTTGGCAAATAATTGGGCAATCAGATTAGAATGATGGCTTTGATTTTTTAATACACAAGAAGATGGAAAATTTAAATGAGAGACACGAGAAGAACTCTGGCGCTGAATCATCCTAAGCCATTAACTGTGAAAGAACATCCTTCACAAAGTTTCCCAGAGACCTAAGCATATGGTAAGAATTCTGGAACTCAGAGAGAACATGAACAATGCTGACATTATGGAACTTTATTTCACAGTGAGGAAATAATGTGCCTAAGGGAACACAGAGAATGGACACCAGAATGTAGGTGTTCTGATGGTCTTTGCTCGTCTTACTCACCAAAGCTCTAATGTCCAGTGCTGTGCCTGGAACATAGTAAGCACTCAGTTAATATTTGCTGAGTGACAATTCACTCAGCACTGTGAACTATGAACCAGTGACAATTCAATGCTTCTTTTCACCTTTTAGACACCACTTTCTCTCCTTATGTCCTATCCTTCTTTGTTAAATTCTACAAGTACAGGTGGACAAAGTTTACTGCCTCAGCTCCTCACACAATCAGAGAGGAGGAGACCATGCCCCAAGAGAAAAGAACACTGGAAGAACACTTTTAGTTACTTGCTCCATGTTGCCACCTGCCCTCCACCATCCCTAAACTTACCCTTTCTCATCAGAGAAGTGGCTTTTATGAGAATAGGGTAAAAGGAAGGGTCCCTGTACCTCATATAGAGCCTTTGTCTTGAGTTTGAAAAAGGCACCCCATCTGGGAGTATGAATTATAAAAAGGTGCAGAGTAAGCAGGATTTCAGCCTGGTCATAGCCCCCTGAGTGGAACACTTTCTGTGAGCTGCCTGCACCATGCTGGCATGCAGTGGTCCTGGCAATGATCACTAGTCATGAACACCAGTCATGAGCTGAACATCCCTGAGCTGAACACTTTCTGCGAGCTGCCTGCACCATGCTAGCATGCGGTGGTCCTGGCAATGATCACTAGTCATGAACACCATTCACACACGGTTTCTCTGTCTCTCCTGTACTGGCCTGGCCTCAACAGCACCTCTGCTATTAGGTCTCCTAGGGAAGTTGCTGGGCCATGGCTTAGTGCACTGTTCTAGAGCCTGTCCAGGAGGCTGCCTCCCTTTGGCTTCCTCTCTCTGGTCATCAATGGGAAGAGGATTAAGCCATGATCCTCTGTGTGGCTGACCCACTCCTGAAGACCAGATTTGGATGATTTTTGTTGGGAGTGGGGGTAAAATATGACTTTGTATATAAGATGCATTCCCCTAACAATATTTATTAGGAACCCCAGTGCTTTGTATAATAATACTGATAATGTAATGGGTTCTGATATCCTTCTCAATTAGTAAGAATCCATAAGAGAGAAGAAAGGGTGTGACATAGCTGGATTTAACTTCCTTAATCCCCAGCAGATATCCACGAGAATTTCCAAAAAGCATTGGTATTCATGCAAAAAGATATCACGGACCCTTCTCTAAATTTCCAGTGCCTCCAGAGCTCAGAAATCATAGAGCAGAAACGGGAGGATAATTTTTTTCCCCAGAAACTGAGAATGATATAATCAATGTAATTGAGCACTAAATTTAAATCCTGAGCTTGCTAGCAGCTATGGCAAAAAGGGACACATGAGGGTGAAATAGCTTTTTTTCTGATAAATAAAACATAGCTATCCTTGAAGGGAGACAAAATTATTCCTGGGAAGAAATTCTAGAAGAGATTTCTTGCATGGATCATAATATAGAAGGTATTCAGTATCAAAAGGGAAGCCACAAACACAATTCTCATACAACCGTTTCCAGTATTCCCTCACCACTAACACTAGAGCCATGGTATTGAAATGTGACTTAGTGAAAGATATTTATCTCTCAAGTGCAAAGACACTGTGGTCTGAGGTCCTTGTTTCCTTGACATCTCATCTGATATGCAGATGATCGTTAAGTCCATTTAATTTTCTCTCAAATACCAGGGACCTCAGCCCAGTCAACCCATGACGGAACTTTGCAAGGAGTGCCATGAAGACTGCTTGAGAGGCTACAAAGGACCCTCGGGGAGCTGTCTTCGAAGGGAGGTGGTGACAGTGCCCTGGGAGTGCCAAAGAAGTCCTGGGAGAGGCACAGCTTTGAAATGGCTGAAAAGGCTAGGATAGGCCAGATGAACTGATTCCCTAGCTGGAGGCTGAATGGTTCCAACAAGAGGAAGTGGAGAGGAAGCATGAGTAGAAGGAGTGTGTTTATTGATGTGCCTGTGCCTATTTTGAATGTTTGGGCGAGACAGACAAATGTGTAGGGAAGCCCGATGTGAGAGTTGCAAGGGTAAGCACATTTTATCTATTTTGGATATTGTGTAATGAAGAGAACTATAAGAGAAAGCTCTTACAATTAATATTAGGGTGCATGAAAACTATATATAATGGCCAAAACAATGCAAATAACTGCATTGCCTAATTTTAACCTCCTAGATTATGAATATAAAGCACTTATGTAAATATTGGGATTTTCGAGGTTAGCGGTGTATGCCAATTGAAACAATGAGCTTTAGAGGAAGGCACCTGGGTTTAAATATTGACATTTTCTCTAATTTAGCTGCATGACACTATATGAATTTTGTAACATCTATGAGCTCAATTTTTTCATCCACAAAAAAAGGGATAATACCTCAAATTATTTTTGTGAGGATTACATGAGGTATCATTTGCAAAGTGAATTACTTTTTTCAGTAAGCTGTACTGAGTCTACAAGAGCTACATACTCCTGTAACTCTTATGGTGCCAACTGTGCAAAGAGGTGGCATTTAAATGTTCATTTTCTTAATGTGGCACATATACACCATGGACTACTACACAGCCATAAAAAAAGAATGAGATCATGTCCTTTGCAGGGACATGGATGAATCTGGAAACCATCATCCTCAGCAAACTAACAGGAACAGAAAACCAAACACCACATGTTCTCACTCATAAGTGGGAGTTGAACAATGAGAACACATGGACACAGGGAGGGGAACATCACACACTGGGGCCTGTGGTGGGGTGGGGTGGAGGGGAGGGAGAGCATTAGGAGAAATACCTAATGTATGTGGGGCTGAAAACCTAGATGACGGGTTGATAGGTGCAGCAAACCACCATGGCACATGTATACCTATTTAACAAACCTGCACGTTCTTCACATGTATCCCAGAACGTAAAGTAAACTTACAAAAGTAAAATAAGTATTCATTTTCTTTCCGTTTCTCTTAATAAGTGTTCATTCTCTTTCTCTCGAATTGCATGAAAGGCTCAATCCCATTCATTTACTGGGATATGGGAGTAACGTATCTCCTTCACCATGCTGTGGGTACTACTGAGGATATTAATGAGGGGCACTGGAGACTAGTGACTGTTCAGTGTAGGGAAGCCAGGGCAGAAGTTGCTCATCAGCGCTGGGACCATAATGTTAAAGGTACAGGCATGCAGGAGTATGGAGAAGCCCCTGAGTGCCCAGGGACACAGAGTGGGGGGACTCTTGCAAGAACTCCTTGAGGAAGCCTTAGTACTTATCAACCTACACACTTCCATTCACTATAAAAAGAAGAGACAGATGGTTACTGTCCACCCTGGACTTCACCTTAAATCTTGCAACTTAGTAGCTGTCTAAACTACGGCACCTCTCTCAACTCTTTCCTGGGATCCTAGTCGAGTGTAGGTTTCCTGGGATCCTACTCTAGATTTACTGAACCTTTGGTGTGGGTCCAGCAATTTGCATTTCACCACAGTCCTAATGCACAATAAATTGTGGAAATGACTGCTCTAAACCTTGGTATTATAAATTATAGGTTCATAGGTTCTAAAATAGTTGAGATTATTAATAAATGTATTAGCAATTACACTTTTTCCTTCCTAGTTGTTAAAGGAATTGAAGTGTTTATACATATTAGCAAGAAAAAAAAGGCTTAAAAATAGTTTCCCAAGGGATCTCAAAAGATTACAAAAGACAAGAAAATGGGATTCACAAGTCCTGAGATTTTTCTATGGTCATCAGAGCTTGATGGGGGTATCCAAGGCTCAGGGGAATTCACTGAAAGCTTTCCAGAACACAATGGAGAGGCAGAAATGCTCTGCTTGCTCAGTCAATAATGAAGGTGGAGCTGATGGACAAGGCAATGAGGAGGATCAGAGAAAGATTTATAGGAAGCCTCTAAAGGGAAAAGGGACATTGGAGGACAAGTCTGAGATAATCACCCGCTTGGAAGAGAAAGGGGGACACATCTTACCAAAAATATTTAGAGGTGTCAGTAAGTGTCTGGAATCTAGGCTAACACTTGGCATTGCCTAAATCCTATCCACATTTGAGAAATGCAGATGACTGTGCTACCACAATGTGGTAAGCAGAATCCTAAATATGTCCCCTCAATATTCTGTACCCTGGTTATTCAATTAAACACTAACTGAGGCCCTGCTTTAAAGGAACTGGGCAGATAGAATTATTTAATAGCCAGATGACGTTAAAATAGGGAGATTATCCTGGATTCTCTGGTTGGATCCAGAGTAATCACAGGAGCTCTTAAAAGCAGAAGAGAAAGGCAGAGGAGTCAGTCAAGCGACACAGTAGAAGAGGAAGACAGGAGAGATGAAGCAGAAATAGAAATCGGAGTGGTTCAAAGCATGAGAAAGATTTGACCCATCATTGCTGGCTTAAAAGATGGTGGCAGGAGGAGGAGCCAAGATGGCCGAATAGGAACAGCTCCAGTCTACAGCTCCCAGCGTGAGCAACGCAGAAGACGGGTGATTTCCGCATTTCCATCTGAGGTACCGGGTTCATCTCACTAGGGAGTCCCAGACAGTGGGCGCAGGCCAGTGGGTGCAAGCACCATGCGCAAGCCGAAGCAGGGCGAGGCATTGCCTCACCTGGGAAGCGCAAGGGGTCAGGGAGTTCCCTTTCCGAGTCAAAGAAAGGGGTGACGGACGCACCTGGAAAATCGGGTCACTCCCACCCGAATATTGCGCTTTTCAGACCGGCTTAAAAAACGGCGAACCACGAGACTATATCCCACACCTGGCTCGGAGGGTCCTACGCCCACAGAATCTCGCTGATTGCTAGCACAGCAGTCTGAGATCAAACTGCAAGGCGGCAGCAAGGCTGGGGGAGGGGCGCCCGCCATTGCCCAGGCTTGCTTAGGTAAACAAAGCAGCCCAAAAGCTCGAACTGGGTGGAGTCCACCACAGCTCAAGGAGGCCTGCCTGCCACTGTAGGCTCCACCTCTGGGGGCAGGGCACAGACAAACAAAAAGACAGCAGTAACCTCTGCAGACTTAAATGTCCCTGTCTGACAGCTTTGAAGAGAGCAGTGGTTCTCCCAGCACGCAGCTGGAGATCTGAGAACCCGCAGACTGCCTCCTCAAGTGGGTCGCTGAACCCTGACCCACGAGCAGCCTAACTGGGAGGCACCCCCCAGCAGGAGCACACTGACACCTCACACGGCAGGGTATTCCAACAGACCTGCAGCTGAGGGTCCTGTCTGTTAGAAGGAAAACTAACAAACAGAAAGGACATCCACACCGAAAACCCATCTGTACACCACCATCATCAAAGACCAAAAGTAGATAAAACCACAAACATGGGGAAAAAACAGAACAGAAAAACTGGAAAATCTAAAACGCAGAGCGTCTCTCCTCCTCCAAAGGAACGCAGTTCCTCACCAGCAACGGAACAAAGCTGGATGGAGAATGACTTTGACGAGCTGAGAGAAGAAGGCTTCAGATGATCAAATTACTCTGAGCTACGGGAGGACATTCAAACCAAAGGCAAAGAAGTTGAAAACTTTGAAAAAAATTTAGAAGAATGTATAACTAGAATAACCAATACAGAGAAGTGCTTAAAGGAGCCGATGGAGCTGAAAACCAAGGCTCGAGAACTACGTGAAGAATGCAGAAGCCTCAGGAGCCGATGCGATCAACTGGAAGAAAGGGTATCAGCAATGGAAGATGAAATGAATGAAATGAAGCAAGAAGGGAAGTTTAGAGAAAAAAGAATAAAAAGAAATGAGCAAAGCCTCCAAGAAATATGGGACTATGTGAAAAGACCAAATCTACGTCTGATTGGTGTACCTGAAAGTGATGGGGAGAATGGAACCAAGTTGCAAAACACTCTGCAGGATATTATCCAGGAGAACTTCCCCAATCTAGCAAGGCAGGCCAACGTTCAGATTCAGGAAATACAGAGAATGCCACAAAGATACTCCTCGAGAAGAGCAACTCCAAGACACATAATTGTCAGATTCACCAAAGTTGAAATGAAGGAAAAAATGTTAAGGGCAGCCAGAGAGAAAGGTTGGGTTACCCTCAAAGGGAAGCCCATCAGACTAACGGCTGATCTCTCGGCAGAAACCCTACAAGCCAGAAGAGAGTGGGGGCCAATATTCAACATTCTTAAAGAAAAGAATTTTCAACCCAGAATTTCATATCCAGCCAAACTAAGCTTCATAAGTGAAGGAGAAATAAAATACTTTACAGACAAGCAAATGCTGAGAGATTTTGTCACCACCAGGCCTGCCCTAAAAGAGCTCCTGAAGGAACCACTAAAGATGGAAAGGAACAATCGGTACCAGCCGCTGCAAAATCATGTCAAAATGTAAAGACCATCGAGACTAGGAAGAAACTGCATCAACTAACGAGCAAAATCACCAGCTAACATCATAATGACAGGATCAAATTCACACATAACAATATTAAGTTTAAATGTAAATGGACTAAATTCTCCAATTGAAAGACACAGACTGGCAAATTGGATAAAGAGTCAAGAACCATCAGTGTGCTGTATTCAGGAGACCCATCTCACGTGCAGAGATACACATAGGCTCAAAATAAAAGGATGGAGGAAGATCTACCAAGCAAATGGAAAACAAAAAAAGGCAGGGGTTGCAATCCTAGTCTCTGATAAAACAGACTTTAAACCAACAAAGATCAAAAGAGACAAAGAAGGCCATTACATAATGGTAAAGGGATCAATTCAACAAGAAGAGCTAACTATCCTAAATATATATGCACCCAATACAGGAGCACCCAGATTCATAAAGCAAGTCCTGAGTGACCTACAAAGAGACTTAGACTCCCACGCATTAATAATGGGAGACTTTAACACCCCACTGTCAACATTAGACAGATCAACGAGACAGAAAGTCAACAAGGATACCCAGGAATTGAACTCAGCTCTGCACCAAGCGGACCTAATAGACTTCTACAGAACTCTCCACCCCCAAATCAACAGAATATACATTTTTTTCAGCACCGCACCACACCTATTCCAAAATTGACCACATAGTTGGAAGTAAAGCTCTCCTCAGCAAATGTAAAAGAACAGAAATTATAACAAACTATCTCTCAGACCACAGTGCAATCAAACTAGAACTCAGGATTAAGAATCTCACTCAAAGCTGCTCAGCTACATGGAAACTGAACAACCTGCTCCTGAATGACTACTGGGTACATAACGAAATGAAGGCAGAAATAAAGATGTTCTTTGAAACCAACGAGAACAAAGACACAACGTACCAGAATCTCTGGGACACATTCAAAGCAGTGTGTAGAGGGAAATTTATAGCACTAAATGCCCACAAGAGAAAGCAGGAAAGATCCAAAATTGACACCCTAACATCACAATTAAAAGAACTAGAGAAGCAAGAGCAAACACATTCAACAGCTAGCAGAAGGCAAGAAATAACTAAGATCAGAGCAGAACTGAAGGAAATAGAGACACAAAAAACCCTTCAAAAAATCAGTGAATCCAGGAGCTGGTTTTTTGAAAAGATCAACAAAATTGATAGACTGCTAGCAAGACTAATAAAGAAGAAATGAGAGAAGAATCAAATAGACGCAATAAAAAATGATAAAGGGGATATCACCACCAATCCCACAGAAATACAAACTACCATCAGAGAATACTATAAACACCTCTATGCAAATATACTAGAAAATCTAGAAGAAATGGATAAATTCCTGGACACATACACCTTCCCAAGACTAAACCAGGAAGAAGTTGAATCTCTGAATAGACCAATAACAGGCTCTGAAATTGAGGCAATAATTAATAGCTTACCAACCATAAAAAGTCCAGGACCAGACGGATTCACAGCCAAATTCTACCAGAGGTACAAAGAGGAGCTGGTGCCATTCCTTCTGAAACTATTCCAATCAATAGAAAAGACGGAATCCTCCCTAACGCATTTTATGAGGCCAGCATCATCCTGATACCAAACCCTGGCAGAGACACAACAAAAAAAAGAGAATTTTAGACCAATATCCCTGATGAACATCGATGCAAAAATCCTCAATACAATACTGGCAAACCAAATCCAGCAGCACATCAAAAAGCTTATCCACCATGATCAAGTGGGCTTCATCCCT
This sequence comes from Homo sapiens, assembly GCF_000001405.40. Taxonomy (NCBI): domain Eukaryota; kingdom Metazoa; phylum Chordata; class Mammalia; order Primates; family Hominidae; genus Homo; species Homo sapiens. Next base: position 59,650,088 of record NC_000001.11, on the reverse strand, counting down.
GGGATCAAGGCTGGTTCAATATACGCAAATCAATAAATGTAATCCAGCATATAAACAGAGCCAAAGACAAAAACCACATGATTATCTCAACAGATGCAGAAAAAGCCTTTGACAAAATTCAACAACCCTTCATGCTAAAAACTCTCAAGAAATTAGGTATTGATGGGACGTATTTCAAAATAATAAGAGCTATCTATGACAAACCCACAGCCAATATCATACTGAATGGGCAAAAACTGGAAGCATTCCCTTTGAAAACTGGCACAAGACAGGGATGCCCTCTCTCACCACTCCTATTCAACACAGTGTTGGAAGTTCTGGCCAGGGCAATTAGGCAAGAGAAGGAAATAAAGGGTATCCAATTAGGAAAAGAGGAAGTCAAATTGTCCCTGTTTGCAGACGACATGATTGTATATCTAGAAAACCCCATTGTCTCAGCCCAAAATCTCCTTAAGCTGATAAGCAACTTCAGCAAAGTCTCAGGATACAAAATCAATGTACAAAAATCACAAGCATTCTTATACACCAACAACAGACAAACAGAGAGCCAAATCATGAGTGAACTCCCATTCACAATTGCTTCAAAGAGAATAAAATACCTAGGAATCCAACTTACAAGGGATGTGAAGGACCTCTTCAAGGAGAACTACAAACCACTGCTCAAGGAAATAAAAGAGGAGACAAACAAATGGAAGAACATTTCATGCTCATGGGTAGGAAGAATCAATATCGTGAAAATGGCCATACTGCCCAAGGTAATTTACAGATTCAATGCCATCCCCATCAAGCTACCAAAGACTTTCTTCACAGAATTGGAAAAAACTACTTTAAAGTTCATATGGAACCAAAAAAGAGCCCGCATTGCCAAGTCAATCCTAAGCCAAAAGAACAAAGCTGGAGGCATCACACTACCTGACTTCAAACTATACTACAAGGCTACAGTAACCAAAACAGCATGGTACTGGTACCAAAAGAGAGATATAGACCAATGGAACAGAACAGAGCCCTCAGAAATAATGCCGCATACCTAAAACTATCTGATCTTTGACAAACCTGAGAAAAACAAGCAATGGGGAAAGGATTCCCTATTTAATAAATGGTGCTGGGAAAACTGGCTAGCCATATGTAGGAAGCTGAAACTGGATCCCTTCCTTACACCTTATACAAAAATCAATTCAAGATGGATTAAAGATTTAAACATTAGACCTAAAACCATAAAAACCCTAGAAGAAAACCTAGGCATGACCATTCAGGACATAGGCATGGGCAAGGACTTCATGTCTAAAACACAAAAAGCAATGGCAACAAAAGCCAAAATTGACAAATGGGATCTAATTAAACTAAAGAGCTTCTGCACAGCAAAAGAAACTACCATCAGACTGAACAGGCAACCTACAAAATGGGTGAAAATTTTCGCAACCTACTCATCTGACAAAGGGCTAATATCCAGAATCTACAATGAACTCAACCAAATTTACAAGAAAAAAACAAACAACCCCATCAAAAAGTGGGCAAAGGACATGAACAGACACTTCTCAAAAGAAGACATTTATGCAGCCAAAAAACACATGAAAAAATGCTCATCATCACTGGCCATCAGAGAAATGCAAATCAAAACCACAATGAGATACCATCTCACACCAGTTAGAATGGCAATCATTAAAAAGTCAGGAAACAACAGGTGCTGGAGAGGATGTGGAGAAATAGGAACACTTTTACACTGTTGGTGGGACTGTAAACTAGTTCAAACATTGTGGAAGTCAGTGTGGCGATTCCTCAGGGATCTAGAACTAGAAATACCATTTGACCCAGCCATCCCATTACTGGGTATATACCCAAATGACTATAAATCATGCTGTTATAAAGACACATGCACACATATGTTTATTGCGGCACTATTCACAATAGCAAAGACTTGGAACCAACCCAAATGTCCAACAATGATAGACTCGATTAAGAAAATGTGGCACATATACACCATGGAATACTATGCAGCCATAAAAAATGATGAGTTCATGTCCTTTGTAGGGACATGGATGAAATTGGAAATCATCATTCTCAGTAAACTATCGCAAGAACAAAAAACCAAACACCGCATATTCTCACTCATAGGTGGGAATTGAACAATGAGATCACATGGACACAGGAAGGGGAATATCACACTCTGGGGACTGTGGTGGGGTGGGGGGAGGGGGGAGGGATAGCATTGGGAGATATACCTAATGCTAGATGACGAGTTAGTGGGTGCAGCGCACCAGCATGGCACATGTATACATATGTAACTAACCTGCACAATGTGCACATGTACCCTAAAACTTAAAGTATAAAAAAAAAAAAAAAAAAAAAAGATGGTGGCAGGGGTGGTGGGCCCAGGAATGCCGGAGGCCTCTGAAAGCTGAGAAGGATCACTGGCTGACCTTTAACATGGAAACAGGGACCTCAGCCCTACAACTGCATGGGACTAAATTAGGTCAACCACTTGAATGAGTGTGGAAGCAGATTTTTCCCAGAACCTTCCAATAAAACCTTTGATTTTGGCCTTGTGAACACTTTCTTTGGTTACGGAGGAACCAGTAGAACCAACCTAGATTTCTGACCTGAAGAACTGTAAGAGAATAAATTTAAGCCACTAGATTTGTGTAATTTATTATAGCAAGCAAAAATGATGGATGGACACTGCCCCTCATGACCTTACTCTATTGGTGAATTCTACACCACACAACACTACTTTGTTTGCTGTTTACCCAAAGGCCCTTCACACCTTGTTTGCCTTGCTTCTGAGGGTTTAAGTCTAAGCCATTTTGATATGCTCATATACTGTTTCTCGAAGCTGGTCTGTACAACTCTTCTGGCCCATACTTGCTGTTGTCTAACCCTGTCTTGGGTCTGCACACCAAGATTATACACAATGGACTCTATCCTTGGTCCTCTGGCCTTAGTTCCTTTGCATTGTTTATGTCTTGGACCTTCCCAGTAGATTCCACCTGATTCGCCCCTCAGTCTTTTATCATGCCACATGACCTTGGGAAACACTCCTGCCCATAGTCCATTCCCTGGTTTTACTTGTTGTTTAGTGTATATAGGAAAGATAAAGGAGCAGTAAGAAAGGAAAGTCTGATTCTGTGATAGAATTTAAAAAGTCATTAAAATGAAAAAGAAAGATGCCAGGCACATTAAAAACAAAGCAGAAGCAATGAAAACAACAGTAATGACAAAGATCTAGTTTTTTATTTTTCTTTTTCCCCAAAGAATGTCATTGACCCAGGTTTGAATTGACTGGTTCCCGTTCCACTTATACCCTTTTCTCCTCTGAGTAAGCTACTTAAACTCCTTGAGCCTCGGTTTCTCTCTTCTTTTAAATGGGACAACAACATTGTCTTGCACGGTTGTTGTGAAGGTTGTTGATGATACATGGAAAGCATCTACCATGGTGCCTGGTGCATCAGGTGCCTGAAAAATGGTACCTATTAAAAATCACAATACCAGCTGGCGAATTAGTCACTTCAGTAAAATATATATATTTTTTCAGTAAAATACATATTTTAAATAAAATATAAATATGTAAATTTATATATAAATATACAAATAAAAAATATGTATTTTCAGTAAAACATATATATATATTCAGTAAAATTTGTGACCAATTTGGAAAACACCAATTTGGTATTGTGATTATATATATATAATCAGAAAACCAGGTAAAGACACTGAGGATATTAAGCTTTGTTATAGGATTTGATTTTTCATAAGCAAAAATATGTAAAAAAAAAGTCCGAATAAATCAGTGTTAAATAACAGCAAAAACATCCACAAACTCATATCAAAGAGACCATGTGTTTCCAAAGCTTATAAATACATCATTTGAAAGCTACTTCAATTAGCTCATGAGCTTCCAGCTCTATCATCCATCTCCCTATCGGAAAAGCCACAGGGGTGCAACCTCTGCTCTCTATTGAGCTCTTGCAGATACCCTGAGTTGCTGACTCCTTCCACATCTGGATCTGTTTAGTGATGCCTACAGCTAGCTGGGATTCAGTCCCTTGGAAACTGGCTAAGATCTCCCAGTGCTTCCTCCCTGACTCTCTCCTGGTCTCCCACATACACACTATCTCTGTGTTTGCTTTGAAGAGTTGTTGGAGCAGCATTCAACCTCTCCAGCAGTTTGAGTAGCATACGCTCTGATGTTAGAAGTCACAGCTCTTCAAAGAAGCAGAAAATCACTTTTTGTTCTGGGTAGTTCTGTACTTTTAACATGAAGCAGAGAAAACATGTTTCAACCAATGATGAATAGGGTGCATTTGGTGTGTTTTCAGGGCCTGATATGTCTCCAAGGTCATTGCTTTGTTGAGTGGTTGAGTGGTTATTTCAGGAAAATAATTTTTAAAAATCCCAAACACCACAAAACAAAGGCCACGCCAATTTTTTGTGAATAGAAACTGCTCATATATACCAGACGGCAAGGACTCTTTGAAAATTCCTACAATGCTAGCTATTCCATAAGGTACACCACATTTGAGTTTCCTGTTGTATTGATGAGGAAACTGAGGGCCAAGGACTTGAACAAAGAAGATCAATCTCAAGAGCTGTATGAAACTTGCTTTCTGTGAGGACCAAGGGACTGGTGGGCTTCTCTGGCTGGTTGTTTGGGCTGGTGAGTCCAGTCAGTTCTGGGGCTAAAGTGGGAGGCCCACGGCTGGCTGCTCAGGGTTCAAAAGCCACACAGGATCCTACTGGCCATCTCGTAAAGATGCAAGTAAAGGCCACCAAGCAGGAGCTGCCAATTCAAGGGCATTGTTGTGCTGTCTGTCCATCGTGCCAACACCTACTGTCTGGCGCTGACAGTGACCCTGCAAAGAAGCCTGGGCCACTCCTGCTTCCTCATGAGCAGATCAGCTGCACAGAGTTAACCCGCCAAAGGTCATACACTGGTATATCTTCAAGACAAGTTCAAACATAAGTCCGATTTCAAAACCTGGGCCCTCTTTACTGCTTTGCAGTGGTAAAAACCATTCAACAAAACATTTAAAATAAAAATAACCACCAAAAAAATCCCTAAAACATGCAACTATTCCTGATGGTGAGTATTTATCTTCATCTATCTTTTTTTTTTTTTGAGATGGAGCCTCGCTGTCTTGCCAGGCTGGAATGCAGTGGCGTGATCTCAGCCCACGGCAACCTCTGCCTCCTGGGTTCAAGCGACTCTCCTGCCTCAGCCTCCTGAGTAGCTGGGACCATAGGTGTGTGCCACCACGCACAGCCAATTTTTTGTATTTTTAGTAGAGACGGGGTTTCACCATGTTGGCCAGGATGGTCTCAATCTCTTGACCTCGTGATCCACCCGCCTCGGCCTCCCAAAGTGCTGGGATTACAGGCGTGAGCCACCGCACCCGGCCTATATTCATCTACCTTTATGTGTGACCATGTCATTTTCTTACTTTAAAAGTAAGCATTTTTCTTTGGGTGGGGGGGGGCGTGTCTGTCTTGTTTTTAATGAACCTAAAATCATCAGCGCTTACTGTTTTGAGACCGACTGTTATTACTTAAGATTCTGCTTCTTTTAAATAATCGTATGTGTAGCCCTCACCTTTCTGTGCTTCATTTATCAACTGGAAAGGAGAAATGTTTACATAGTGGGGTACCTAGTCCAGCCATGCTATTAGGCTGCTCATCCCCCACCTCCTCCACCTCTCTTTAGTCCAGTGCTTCAGGCTGATATTGTATCATCAAAAGAAAAATGAAACAGCTAGTCACATGATAGGAGTCAACTGTTACCAGAACAAAAAGAAAATGATACTATCAAGCATAAGGAAGAGATTCCTGGGTTATGTCCTGTTCCTACTTACCAAGGTAGGCACCTAGTGTGGAAGGCATTAGAACCAGGTCAAACCACGAGTGGCTATTTTTTTTTAAATCTGAGTCAGTTAGGGTGGGAAGGAAACTAGTACCTTACTGAGAAGAGACAGGGTCAGAGTTTAAATCCAAAGACCATGGTTAGGGTAAAAGTGGGAGGACAAGCCACAAGGTTGGTGGTCAGAAGAACAGAAGAGCCAAGGACTAGCTTAAGGAACATGGTTCACTATGAAACCATGTATAATGCATGTTTAAACTCCCTTTCTTAATAGTCCTCCATGCGTTTTGCAAAGTCCAGAGTTTGCATCCTAAAAGGCAAGCGCTGCCACTTCTTGGCTTTGTGACTTTGGGCAGGTCACTGTTCATTCCTCATTTGGCAAACAGTGATTGAAATAACTGTTTGACCATAAGGCAATTATTTGGTGCCAGCTTCTGACCTAAGAACTGTTGATATTTTAAAAAGTAAATAAGCCATTGCTCCTATCCTCAAAATGTTTTTCCTATAGAGTAAATTTAAAACATATGTTATGTCTTATGACAGCCTTGATCTTATTTTCTTCAGTGAAAATTATACTCCCTATTGCTTTCAATGTAGGTTTTAATTCTTTGATTGCATTTTTAGTTGTCTTGTGGTCTTTGCCATTTCCCCCTTTTTCTCATTCCATTGTCCTTTCATCTTAACTTGTTCTTTCCTAATAAGTTTCTGGCCTATTTCATAGAGATATGCCTTGAAACAAAATTTCTGGCTGGGAACAGTGTTTCATGCCTATAATCTCAACACTTTGGGAGACTGAAGTGGGAAGACGGCTTGAGGCCAGCAGTTTGAGACCAGCCTTGGCAACAGAGTGAGACCCCATCTCTACAAAAAAATATTTTAAAAATTAGCTGGGCATGCTGACATGTGCCTGTGTAGTCTTAGCTACTTGGGAGGCTGAGATGGAAGGACTGCTTGAGCTCAGAAGTTCAAGGTTACAGTGGGTTCTGATTAGGCCACTGCACCACTGCATTCCAGTCTGAGTGACAAAGAGCAAGATCCTGTCTCTTAAAAAAAAATTAAAAATATTCCATTGAATATACCACAAAGTTCTCTAACATTTTCTTTTGGTTTCAGTAGTAAATAATTTTCAAGAGGGCTTTCCTTTAAGTGTTCACAATGGTATTTTTTTCTTTGTATGTAATGGTTTTTCTTTTTTTTTTTTTTTTTGAGATGGAGTCTCACTCTGTCACCCAGGCTAGAGTGCAGTGGCGTGATCTTGGCTCACTGCAAGCTCCACCCCCCAGGTTCTCGCCATTCTCCTGCCTCAGCCTCCCGAGTAGCTGGGACTACAGCCACCCGCCACCATGCCCGGCTAATTTTTTTGTACTTTTTTAAGTAGAGACAGGGTTTCACCATGTTAGCCAGGATGGTCTCGATCTCCTGACCTCGTGATCCATCCGCTTCGGCCTCCCAAAGTGTTGGGATTACAGGTGTGAGCCACCGCGTCCAGCCGTATGTAATGGTTTTTCTAAGGGGCCATTATTTTTCAACATTTACGCTAACTAGACAGGTACACATGTTCAGTATTTCCCAGCATACAGTACACATGATTTGCTCTTTTTTTTTTTTTTTTTTTGAGACGGAGTCTCGCTCTTGTCACCCAGGCTGGAGTGCAGTGGCACAATCTCAGCTCACTGCAACCTCCGCCTACCAGGTTCAAGCAATTCTCCTGCCTCAGCCTCCTGAGTAGCTGGGATTACAGGCGTCCACCACCACGCCCAGCTAATTTTTGTATTTTTAGTAGAAACGGGGTTTCACCATGTTGGTCAGGCTGGTCTCGAACCCCTGACCTCATGATCCAACTGGCTCGGCCTCCCAAAGTGCTGGGATTACAGGCGTGAGCCACCGCACACAGCCGTGATTTGCTCTTATCCCCACTCACTGTATACTTAAATTTGTCTCTTCAGATCTACAGCTAAATGCCAGTTGGCAGAGTACAGCAGTTTTTATTTTCTGTAGCTTTGTTGGACTGAGGTAGATCAGCACTGCCTGGCTTTCCGAGCCTAGAACTAGTAGTGCAAACTACACCCTTCCTCCCAAGTTTACAGAACTACTAAGGCCTTTCCTACATCTGCCCCATTAACAGATGCTTAGAATGCAAGCCATCACCCTTCCTCCTAATTCACACTTCCTGCTTGGGTGGATTCTTGAGCTGGCAGTTTTCAAATGGAATGAACTGAAAGAGTGGCTGGGAACAGGGTTGTGGGGGGATCTAGGAATTTAAACTCACTGGCTGCTTTCCAAAAAGAAAACAAAAAACCCAACCATTAGCAGTAAAGTAGAGGAATAGCTATGCTGTTTTCAGGTTTAAAAGAACCTTGTGCTTTTATGCAAGGGAGCAGAAGGTGGCGAGGTCCAAACTGTTTCCACAGTGGATCACACATGACTTTGTTCTTATGTCATATATGATGTTATCAAACAAGTTGCATTCATCATATAATTGGGAATACCAATTCTAGTTTTCCTAGTTGAACACCATCCTAATTCCTAAGGCCTGCATGAATTCATGACTTTTTTGCATTTTTACAAATATTTTCAAGAGAAGCAGAAAAAGGCTGCATCAGGGTTTGCTAGCCCAATGCCACATAAAAACAATTTCAAAGTCAGACATGTATTGAGCATCTCCTTCAGCTTGCACTGATTATTACAGAGATCACACTGTAAAATGATTATATACACACACATACACACATGTACAATAATTACCTCCCCTACTTTTATGTGAACTTAGGATAGGTACTTTTCTGTTTTCTTTGTATTACCTGGGTTTAGCACAGGCCTGCACATAGCAGGTATTCAATAAAAACACAGTGAATGGGTAAATGTTTAACAATGCAAGAAAAGAGTCACCTGAGGGGAGAGTAGAGAACTGGGAGAGTGCAACGCTGCCAAAGCCGGAATATACAGATATCCAGTGGTTCTCTGAGAAATCCGAGAAAATTTTCTTTTTTTATTATTAAGATAAAATGCTAAAGGCAATCTATCATTGGTTAGACAATGATACAAGGAGCCAAAATTGTAGACATTCACATGCCATGCTCTCTTCCCTCTAGAATACTGCACATACTATGATTCCCTTGGCCTCAAACCCCCTTCCCAGCTTCACTCAGTGTCAATGTTACTTCCTGTCTGGAGCTTTCCTGACCGCTGGGACCAGGTTGGGCAATCGTCTTCCATGCATCTGGAGAGCTCTGGACAGTGAAGGACATCTGGAGCTTAATACTATCTTTCCATTCCCTGTTTATATATTTTGTCTGCCTCCCAAAGATGGTGATATTCCTGAGGGCTGGGATTGTGTCTAGCTACTCTTATATCCCCCAACAACTGTAACAGGGCCTGTATTTGTTTGATGAATAAACAGTCTCATAATTATGATACAATTGGAGTTTATCTTCATTTACTTGGAAATTAATATTGGTATTAAATACTTACGATATGGATAGTCAGTGTCAGTAGCCACTTAATTCATTTGGTATTATTAAATTCTTCATATGTTTGTTTTATCTAAGGCAACAAATGACCTCTTTATTATCTCTATGTTGCCTATAAATTATAAATAAGCATATACTGAGCACTTACTCTGTGTCCAGGGAAACGTTTTAGGGGCCAAAAGAAGAAATTGTACATGGATCTTGCTTTATTGGAATTATCCTGCTAGTTCCTATTAACATTTTTTCAAGCACTCGCCCACTCCCAACTTTAAACATACTCCATGAAGGTAGGTATTGTTGCATCTTACTCATATCTACGGCAGTGCCTGGCATACAATAGGAACCCAATTAATATTTGCTGAATGAGTGCTGGAGATAGGCATCATCGTAGTTTCCAGCAAAAGGATATAACATAACAGAAGAATTTCAGGGTCATTATTTTGATGTTTTCCAAAACTGGACTGAAGGAAGGAGATTTGGGGTGAAGTGTTTAGCTCAGAATTGCTTTCCTTCTATCTTATTTAGGTCATCTTCTCCTTCCAGTGTTGTGATGCAAATTCATGGAGTGATAACTGTTCCATTGCAGCCTAACCCAAGGACAGTTATAAAGGGAATCATTGCCAAGAACTACCAAGTGATATATGAGGTATGTGAACAAACATACAACTTTTTAAAAAAGTAAACATACCCAGGATTTTTAGATACAACTGGGCATATGTCCCCATGTAAGAAGTTCCTTTTGGTGCATACATACTTATTCTCATGATATGAGAATTCTTCAGAACACTCCATTGATTTCTTTGGAATTTCATTCTGCATTTGGGTCAACTGTATTAGAATATCCTTCTGATGATAATTCTTAGGTCTTGGATGTCAGGATTGGTTTTAAAAAATGGATAAAAGCTACTGGGAGACATGAAGCCTGACATGCTGGGTACTGAATTTGGGTATGACAGACATTGGCTAGGGAAGGCTCCTAGGTCAGTTTTATCTAAAGCAACAAATGACCTCCAGAGCAATGACCATTTTACTATGCAACACTGCTTTGTTTTGGGGTCATTTAAAACACTGGTCAAGCTTCTTAACTGCTTCAACATTTTAAATATCTAGCTCTATTTGGCTTCAGATATTTGTCTCTAATTAAGACACTTATTTCTGTACCCATATGAAATGTGTTCTTCCCCTACCCCCTGTTTACAGAGAGAGTTGGTTATCTGAAAGTATGACTTTCTAGTTGCGGTCTGTTGCCACATGGCCCTCTCTGGACATTATTCTTCTGCCTCTATAAAAAAGGACACCAAGCTCATGATTTGTTGTGTAGGCATGCTTCATGGACTCCAGATCAACATAACCTTTGTCATGTCTAATTTTCTTTTCTTTTCACCATGACTCCCTTTTAGTAATAGAAGTTGATCATGTCAACTAGGTAATGAAAATAAATTTCAGGTCTTCCTGCTGGCATCATAAAAATATTTAAAACAATCTCAATAAAACTAACCACAAAATTGTAGTAGTTTGAGTCTTGAATTCTTGACTCCATCAGGCCTGCTCCACTGTTACGCGGCTTCCTTTGCATAAGCCTTGCCTTGTTTACAGCCTCCATTCTGAACTCTGCCTTAATGTACCTCACACTCACCTTCTCAGCTTCATGACATTTTCCTGGTTCCTGCATTCATGGCTTATTTTCTTATTTGTGGCCTCACCTGGCCCCTCCTCTACCTTTAACCTGCTTCATCACACCTCAAACATGATTCTCCTGGTGTCTAAGATGTTATTACTTTTATATCTCAACTGGGGTGGTTGAGAGTTCTCCCACCAAGTTCATCTGGCCCCTCTAGGAGAGCCTAGAATATCCACAGAGGAAGTGACCCTAAAGGGCACTAAGAGCAGGATTTATTTTCCAACATAAGTTATAAATTACATTTACTTATACCAAAGTTTAATCTGAAATCCTAACTATATTAGTGTAGAATCTGAACAGCCCTGACTCAGAGCCTAGGCAGATGTGTGGCTGTGGCCAGCAAGACCATGGGTGGTAATATTTACTACTGATTTACTGGGCAACCTAAAGATGCAGCTGGAAAATTTGACTTTACAAACTGATATAAATGCCAAAATTACATAGGCATGACTTTTAGCCACTCCACAGGACAAAGAGGCAGCAGTAGCTGAACTAGGAAATGCTGCTTTTAACGCTTTCAAGGTTGGCTCAGAAACAATGAAAACTTTCAGCAGCTCATCCCAGGGAGCAGCAACAGCAATGCATCTGCACAAAGCCAGAGGGCTGTTGGCCTGTTTTATTTTTTTCTTTTCCTTTTTCCTCACTTTGCTTCTTCCAAACTTTGTAGCCCTTTGGCCTGCCTTCACCCATGTGCAAGGACTAGCTGTTACTTACCATGCCCTTTAGTGTCAGATCTGCTAAGGGAGACCGGTTGCCATGGAAATCTGGCCAAACATGTAAATCAACAGTAAGGAAACCCACAGGCTGAGCCTTCTTAATCAGATCCAGGTGACTGTTCAAATATGCATATATACTCTGGCATCTGGAAGAGAAGTGAATTTTATTTTTAAAGGGGGGATAGGGTCAGGGAGCAAATCATTCTATAGAAAGAAACCATTTGTACTTCCAGATCCAGGAAAGTAAGCAGGCTCCTAAAAGCTTCAGAGAAGCTAGCCCACTGTACTCTCAAATCACACTGTACTATCACCAAGAAAGGTGCCACATCCTAGTAGAAAGGTTTGGAGTCAGAAGACTGGATCCAGGAATGGCTTTACTCTTAGTAGATGTATGGCCATGAGAAAGTTATTCAAACTTTCTGAACCACCCTCTTCTCATCTGTAAAAACAGATATCATAATCCCTGTCCAACTTACCTCATAGGGTTATTGTGAAGATCAAAGAAGATTATGTATGTGAAGGCGCAGTATTTTGTAAACTGTACAGTACTGGTCATATGTCAATAATTTATTAAAATCAGTATTCCTAATTGTAATAATGATGATGAGTTGATAAATGGAGAGAAATTATAAGTTCCCAGACTCAGGATAGGATTTTGCTAAGTAAAGTGACTGAATGTCATAAATGCAGTTAGGATCAGGAGTTAGAGACCTGATTTTCAACCTAAACCCACCAGATGACATTGTGTACGTTTTTTCTTTTTCTTTTTTTGAGATGGAGTTTCAGTCTTGTTGCCCAGGTGGGAGTGCAATGGTGCAATCTCGGCTCACTACAACCTCCGCCTCCCAGATTCAAGCGATTCTCCTGCCTCAGCCTCCCCACCCAGCTAATTTTTGTATTTTTAGTAGAGACGGGGTTTCACCATGTTAGCCAGGCTGGTCTCAAACCCCTGACCTCAGGTGATCCACACATCTCGGCCTCCCAAAGTGCTAGGATTACAGGTGTGAGCCACCTCGCCTGGTTTTTTTTCTCCTTTTTAAGTCTCAGTTTCTTCATGTGTAGAATGAGGGAGTCAAACCAACTCCTTCATTCTTTACATGTTCAGGTGAAGAGGAGGTGGAGAGAAGATGATGGGCATGAGAGCACTACTCAGTTCAAATCTTGATACTACCTCTCCTAGCTCGGTAAAATGGGCCAGTGACTTAACCTCTGACCTCCAATTTTCCCACTCATAAAATAGGTTTAATAACACCTACCTCACCGGGTTAAATCACACCACATGACACAAAGATGAAAGCTGGTCAACCTTCCCCTCTTAAAAGATGCTGCTTTCTAAAAGTTCTGAACCAATGATTTCAAAAGAAAGTGGATATTGCAGTAGTTGGCATCTGTGCTACTTCCCACTGGGGTCCTTGGAAGTCTCTTTAAAGGTTAAAAACATGGCTTGTATAATGGCAGAAAAAAAAGTATAGGAAATCAATATCCAAAGGAGGTTAATATCTAAGATACCTAAGGCATTATTTATGCTTTGCATTTTAAAAGTGTTTTAGAAGGAAGGCTCAGTGATTTCTAGTTCTAGTTTGTGATTGGGTGAGTGATCCCATGGATCCCATGAAGTTGCCAAAAGTTTCCTGTACTTGGTGTAGGGAAACAAACCAATGAGTAGAGCATTGATTTTTAAATTCTCTTTTTTTCCCCATTTACCAGTAGAACTCCTTTACTTATTTTTTATTTTATTTTATTTTTTTCTTTGAGATGGAATCTTGCTCTGTCACCAAGCTGGAGTGCAGTGACGCGATCTCGGCTCACTGCAAGCTCCGCCTCCCGGGTTCACGCCATTCTCCTGCCTCAGCCTCCCGAGTAGCTGGGACCACAGGCGTCCGCCACCACGCCTGGCTAATTTTTTTTGTATTTTTAGTATAGACGGGGCTTCACCGTGTTAGCCAGGATGGTCTCAATCTCCTGACCTCGTGATCTGCCCACCTCGGCCTCCCAAAGTGCTGGGATTACAGGCTTGAGCCACCACACCCGTCCAGTAGAACTCCTTTATTAAACAAAAATTGTATGTAAATATTCAATGTAAAAATATAGAAAAGCAAAGCTGCTCTGTGTGAGCATGAGTGAGTGTGTAAATGTGAATGCATGTATATGTGTGTGTGTGTGAGTGCGTGTGATGTGTACTAGGGTGGAGGTGAGGGCAGCCCAACCGCCCTACCTACCAGCAGTTTATTTGCTTCTTGCTGTAATAGCTCATTCTCATCTGCAAAAATCTTCTTCCTTAGATCTTATTAGGAGGAATAAGATATTACTGGGAAAAGGCTTAACAACTACAGTTAACACCAGTTGCCATTCCCTAAATGTACACCAGACCTTCCAACACTGCCCAGTTGGGGAGGTACCACTAACATACAGAGGAGATGCTTCAAGAGGTGAAGAGACAGGTCTGAGTCCAGCTTTAAACCCTTCTCCTTGTGATTCTGAAGCCATGGACTTTCTGTATCTTAGGTCAGAAATTATTTATCAAAGCCCTAAAAACACAAACCCTGTTTTAGAATGATTCTATTATGGCTTCAGGAAAGGATCCTCTGAAGCCTCCATACAAGGTACAGCCAGAACAACGTATCAGCGAACACGAATATGATAACCTCCTGGTTTTCCATCTCTTTGCTCTCTCTGCTCCTGGTCCAACAGGAATCACATTCACAAGAAAAGCCTTGAGAACATCTTTTCTAGCCAGAAGTCAAGAGTCTGCACTAATTCTTGCGACTTTCCACTTCAGAATAGCCACTGTTCTTAAAGTAAAGGGATTTTTTTTTTTTTTTTTGGAAACGCATGTCTATAAATCTTTTCATTCTGCCTCTCAAGGAATCTCTGAGCAGGGCATTTGGTTTCAGACATCTGGGTCAATAAGAACGTATAGGCCTAATTATTATTGATTCGTCATTGTCTCATTTACTGCAGGTCTTTGCAAACAGTGAGATTCATTTAGCCTCTACATATATGGCCACTCATGCACTAATGAGATCCCTGAGGGATGGGGCATATGCTTACCCCTTTGACTCCTAACCTCCTTGCAGCTGTATGTTTATTCTTTGAATGCAGCCATTCTCCTACATGTTTTTTCAATTATACCTTACCATGTGTGCTATCTGAGTATATCATTCAAAATGAAATGCACTTGGAAGACATTAAACTAACTAATACACATCATTATTCACATAATTTTAACCTTGCATGATGCCTTTTTTGGTTCTGACTTTGTGTCATTTTGCATGTTTTATCAGTTCCTTCTCAAATGGCAGCCTGCCTTCTTCTAGCTAGGGAATCACATATTAACTGTGATCCCAAGTGGATCGCTCACCCTCTCTCTCATGAACCCCAGGTTGATATATCCTGTCTCAAAAGGAGAAACTTTTGCTGTCCACATCCCACTGGGTATCATGAAGAAAATATAGTTTCAATAATCATAAAGTGACTTTACCACGTACCAGCTGGATGATCAGGTAGGCAAACCCTCTCTGAGCCTATTTGCTTTTTTGCTATTGGGGCTAATACTGTCTACTTAAAGGCTGCTATGAAGATTAAACATAGAGCCCTGAGCACTATAAAATGACAGGTTTATCAATAAATAGTTTCCTCTTCTTTGCCATCATAAGAAACTCATTTCTAGTTTTTTAAAAATCCAAGAATCAAAGAAGATTTTTTTTTTCGGACCTATTGCTTGTGATCTTAAATGCAGACAACATCCCTGAAATCTCTCATGTCCTCTCCCTCTCCATAAATCACCTAATTCTATGGGTTCACAGGCTGCCCAGAGAGTATGGTGGTCATACTCTTAAACCAAAAAATCAGAATACATGGTATAACAAAATATACTTGTGCCTTTTCTACCAACAAGAGAAAGTCTTAGAAAAGAAGCTTCCATATTGCCTGTCTCTAGTTCCTTACTTTTTCTTTTTCTTTTTTTCCAGACAGAGTCTTGCTCTGTCACTAGGCTGGAGTGCAGTGGTGTGATCTCAGCTCACTGCAACCTCTGCCTCCTGGGTTCAAGTGATTCTCCTGCCTCAGCCTCCCGAGTAGCTGGGACTACAGGCGTGTGCCACCATGCCCAGCTAAATTTTTTGTATTTTTAGTAGAGATGGGGTTTCACTATGTTGGCCAGGATGGTCTTGATCTCCTGACCTCGTGATCCGCCCGTCTCAGCCTCTCAAAGTGCTGGGATTATAGGTGTGAGCCACTGCAACCGGCCTAGTTCCTTACTTCTTAACCCAATACACTATGCATTCTGCCTGCTCCATTCTACTGAAACTGGTACTACCATGAGGAACAATACCCTCTTTGTTGTTAATGCCGATGAATCATTTTGGGCATTTTACATCATTTGACCACTCCTTCCTCATTTGTTCTCTTGTTTCTGAAACACTATTCTCTCTTGATTTTCCTCCCTCCTCTTTGGCTGTTTCTCCTTCTTCACTTGTTCATTAAACATATGACGTCTTCCAGAGATCTACTGTCTTTCACCATTTTCTTACTCTTTATCTCCTCTTGGATGATCCTAACCTCTTCTCATTGCTCCAGTTACCATCTAGTGCTGAGGACTTCCAAATATATGACCTTAACTCCTGTCCATTTCTTTCTTATGAGTTCCAGGTCAAGTATCCAACCACTCTTCAAATGCCTCCTCTTAGATGTCCAAAGACAACTCAACTAAGAATGTCCAATCAGGCTTTCTGTACTCTTTCCTGATTGGTTCTTCTACAATGCAACCTTGATTATTACTCCCACACCATCTAAAACCCTTCAGATGGACACAGCCTTCCAGACATGCTGGAATATACAGAAGATGGGGACAGGGCAAAGGAACAGGCATCTTATGACTTCCCTACACATGCCCCTATGCCACCAGGCACTGTGCTGAGCTACTGGTAACCAGTTGGGAGGTAGAAAATAAGAGGATTTATGTCCTAAATCAGCACAGACCCTTGGTCTTCTAGAGAAGACCCCAATGCCCTGAGCACTTTCTTTTATTTGCATGCAAAACAGAAACCAAAGAAACGTATAATAGGTCGGGCGCAGTGGCTCACACCTGTAATCTCAGCACTTTGGGAGGCCGAGGCGGGCAGACCACGAGGTCAGGAGATCGAGACCATCCTGGCTAACACGGTGAAACCCCGTCTCTACTAAAAATACAAAAAATTAGCCGGGCGCGGTGGCAGGCGCCTGTAGTCCCAGCTACTCAGGAGGCTGAGGCAGGAGAATGGTGTGAACCCGGGAGGCAGAGCTTGCAGTGAGCTGAGATAGTGCCACTGCACTCCAGCCTGGGTGAAAGTGCGAGACTCCGTCTCAAAAAAAAAGAAAAAAAAAAAAAAAAAGAAATGTATAATAATATCCAGCTAATTTCTGTAAGAAATCTTTCTGAACTCAGAGCCATCAAGAATTTACTGATTATCTTTGTATACCATGGGGGAATGAAAGGTGTTAATATTATCACACTGACTGTCCTAGCTCAGGGAAGGCTAAGTAAATATTCAGTGATAGACTCAACACCCCAGTTATCAGAATGACGGTCCAAGGTTTAAAAAGTCATAAAGGCTAAAAGGGGACTCTCAATACAAAAGAGCAGAATGGAAAGAGAGAAAAATTTTTAGAAGTGAAGTTTGAGAGCTCCCAATAATCCTCATTTCCTCATCTAGAATTAAATGAGATAATATACGTGAAACTATTATCACTAAGCACAGTGCCAAACATACTGCAGATTCTTAATAAATGTTATTGTCCTTTTTTTCCCTTTCTTTGCTTGAGGGGGATTTGTACAGCCTTTAATGGGAAGTTTTAATCTATCTGCGATTCGCGATATAGAGGACTAGTGAATTTTAAGAAATTGATATTTAGTGGGATTATGGGAATTACAAAAGCAAAAGAAGTTTGAGGAATAAATCAGATCAAGAAAAATTAGCTGTCCTCAGAGGAATAACAGAAAAATTCAGGGAAAGTAGGAAAAAAGAAAGGCTGAGGAAAAAAATATGCACTAGCACAACAAAGACAACATTAAGGGCTTTGAAACCAATGCTCTATATCTCCTTATTTATCTACAATTTTCCTTAGAGCATTTATCAATGGCTGGCTATATCTGTATATATGCATATGTGTATATGTATATAGTATGCATATTTGCATGTATGTACTGCATGTTTATATATGTATGTGTGTGTATATTTTTATGAAAGCAAAGACTTTGTTTGCTTGGTTCATTCATGTATCACAAATGCTCAAAAGATACTCATCAGACAGATGGGCCACAGACCCTGGATTTTAAGTTTTGCTTTGCTGCCAACCTTGAATCTAGCACTTGTGGATTATGCCAAAATGTTCTCACTAAACCCTGTTGTCACCAGAACCTAATTCAGAGACACTGTTAGTTAAGAACCTCTAAGAGAATCAAGTTTAGAGGAAAAGAGTCAAAATTTATGATTGACATAAGGTGATCTCTGCTAAAGAGTGAAATATCTGCAAATTTGGCCCCACATGAAGAGAAACTTTGGTTACCAGTTACATGTACGGGCACATCCAGTTCTTGTTTACTTAATTTATAAGCTTGCAAAACACTTCTCTTCAGAGATGGGGCCTAAGAGGATTATTGTAAATCAAGAGTATAAAATACTCAATCTGTTTATCAACACTTGTTTCCACAGTTTCAAACAGGATTTGCTGACCCTAAGCTCTGAGATAGGGGTGACCTGCATTGCTGTTTTCAGAAAGCCCCAAGTCATAGTAAAAGAGACACATGGTTCTTGATTCAGAAGGATTTGTCCACTCTTCCAAACAGCTAACTTCATTTCAAAAACAGCTATGCCTGTTTCTTTCTAAGACCGGAAGCATAAAGGGTCCCATAGTTTTAGAATATTGTACTCATAGATCTAATAAGACACAGATGCACTTTCCTTTGTAAGACAATAAAAGAAAAGTGGAAGGAAACCGAACTAACATTTACTGAATACCTACTAAGTATCTGGGCTGGACATAAAAGAGTCATCAAAATATAGACAGAAATGAAGTCAAGAGCATAGCTGAGATCATCTTGGAAGAGATGGCAAAGAGAGAAGAGGGCCAGGAAGCTAGCTGTGACAAAAATTAATGTTAATGGTCAAGAAAAGGACTATAAACTCAAGAAAAGTGGTTAGGAAGGAGGAATCAGAGATATAGGGAGAAAACAGACAGGGTGACATTCCAGAAAGTCAAGGAAAGAGAATGTTAAAAGGAGGAAAAAGTGATCACTGATGCCCCATGCTGCTGAGAACTAAAGAAAGGGGAATAAAAAACATCCTATGGACTTAGCAAAATAGAGGTCACTGATAACCTTAATATGAAACGTTTCAGGGGGCTGATGGTGACAGAATTCAAACTGCAGTGGGCAAGGAAGGAGTAGGAAGTGGAGAAGTAGAGACCAAGAGTACAGGCGATGCTTTGGAGAAACTCCACTCTAAACAGAAGGAGAAATACAGGAAAGTAGCTGGAAGTGGGTTTGAAGTTATGTGAAAAGAGGTGGGATTTAAATCCAGTTCTGACTCCATCACTGAGTTCTGTAAGTTGCTGCTTCTGAACCACCCGATACTGTTGTTTCTCTGAGTTTGCATGGTAATCCATAAATTCTTTCTTCTTTTTATTATGATTTGCAACAGAAGCTACTCAAATGAAGTTTATCTATAGAAGAAAGTTCTGGAAGTTTAGAGTATGTCATTGCAAAACTAAATATTCAGTAAGTTTGTGTTACACACTAAAATGTTCATATACAGACATTCCTGTGACCTGCTTTCATCCTATTAATGCCTGTAAAATGAAGTAAGTAGGGTATCATTATTGTAATTTATGGATGAAGAATCTAGTAGTCATTGAGACATTCAGGGCAGAACAGGTACAAGAACTCAAGGACTCTAATTCACAGTCCCTGTCCTTGCTGTTCCTCCATGCTTTCCATAAGAAGGCAGGCAAGGTATGAATGACTGACGTATGCTGCTTGAACCCATAGCAACCACCACCAAACTTCCTCCTCTTACAATCATTAGTAGTAATAGTAGTAGTTGATATGGTTTGGCTGTGTCCCTACCAAATCTCATCTTGAATTTTAGTTCCCATAATCCTCATGTGTTGTGGGAGGGACCTGGTTGGAGGTAATTGAATTATGGGTGTGGTTACCCTCATGCTGTTCTTGTGATAGTGACTTCTCATGAGATCTGATGGTTTTATAAGGGGCTTTTCCTCCTTTTGCTCAGCACTTCTCTCTCTTGCCACCATGTGAAGAAGGATGTGTTTGTTTCCCCTTCCACCATGACTGTAAGTTTCCTGATGCCTGCCCAGCCCACAGAACTGTAAGTCAATTAAACCTCTTTCCTTTATAAATTACCCAGTCTCAGGTATTTCTTCACAGCAGTGCAAGAATGGACTAACAGAGTAGTAGTGATCATCATTATTGTCACAATTCAGTTTACAAGGCCCCGTCAAATATATTACCTCTTCTAAACTCAAAATAAATCCTTAGAGGTGTTTCGGGTTGATTCTCCATTACTATCCTATGTTATAATGAAGAAAATGGGTTTCACACAATGATACATGTTGGAGCTGAGATTTGGATTCAGGTCTCCAGACTATAAATTTAGTGCTCTTTTCTTTGGCTTAGTGGTTTATAAATGCTTAAACCCTTTAAGAAAATAATGACCGTTATGGTCCCTTCACAGAAATACATGCAGAATTATGTAATCAGCAGAACAGTACACAATTTAAAGAGGTTCATTGATGATCCGAAATTAGGAATCCCTTTTCTAGGTTATATGGTCTCTATGCCACTAATATGCTAGTTGGTAAGGTTATGTGACATAATCCCTCTCAATGGTAATTGTAATTAATGACTAATTGCAATGGCATTATAACTAAAGACTCCTAGAAGGGAATGCCTATGAAGCTTTTCTTAAACTCCTTGTCAAAATCAGTCCTCCTTTTCTACACAGCCTGATAACACACTACGTATATTTTACTACAGTATTCATTTATTCTGCTCTGTGTAGGTGTGCTGATCCTATTAGAATGTAAGTCACTTAGTAGAATGGAAATGTCTAATATACTAACTACAACAATCATTTATTTATTTATTTATTATTTATTCATTTTTTATTTAAGTTCCAGGGTACATGTACACAATGTACAGGTTTGTTACATATGTATACATGTGCCATGTTGGTTTGCTGCACCCGTTAACTCGTCATTTACATTAGGTATTTCTCCTAATGCTATCCCTCCCCTATCCCCCCATCCCACGACAGGCCTCGGTGTGTGATGTTCCCCAACAGTAATTTTTATCATTACCATTTTTTTAGTTGAACACCTATTACAGCCTGACTCTTAATCATCACTCTGTATCACCCATTATTCTAATTCATTTAATTTTCTCAACAACCTTATGAAATGTTTACTATTATTCCCTTTACAGTGAGGTACTAAGGCACAGAGGTTAAGTAAATAGCCCAGAAACAGAAAGTGAATAAGCGACAAAGCTGAGGCAAAGGCAATTTGGCTTCAGAGTCTATTAGTGGCCACCTTAGACTATCTCTCTTTTGTCCTGTGCTAGCTAGCTACATGGGTTTCTCTGATAATTCTATAAAAATATCTTACTTTACTTAAACAGCCTGACAACTAAGCATTATCAGCATGAAAATCCATTCATTATTTTTTAGACTTTTTATTTCAAAATAATTTTAGATTTACACAAAAGTTACAAAAATAATACACAGAGTTCCCTTTTACTCATCACCTAAGAAATTGCCATAAATAACAATACTATTAATCTCTATTTGAATTTCAACAGTTTTCCTCCACCAATGTCCTTTCTCTGGTCCAGAGTTGAATCCATGATTATATACTGCTTACAGCTGTAGTACCTCCTTAAGTCTCCTCCAATCTAGGACAGTTCTTCAGTATTTAAGTTTCTTAATTTTCCTTTGGAGCAAACTGGCTAATAGCTTTGTGGAATGTCAATCTAGGTTTGTCTGATGCTTCCCATATTTACACTGAGTTTAATCATTTTGGGCAAGAACATGGCAGAAATGATGTTGTATCTTTATCGGTGCCTCATAAAAGGAGATACATGATATCACTACATGTTATTGCTGGTGTTGTTTACTTTCATCACTTGGGTAAGGTGGTGTCTGCCATACTTATATACTACTGGAAAGTTATTATTTTCCTCTTCCTATTACTCAGTATCTTGTACTGAAATCCTCTGGGTTTATGAAAATATCCTGCTTCCCACTTTTACTCACTAATTTTAGCATCCATTAATGATTCTTGCCTACAACATTTATCTCTGTAGTGTTTACCTAATGTTGATTATCTATTTCCATTATTTCTTCTACATTTATTAATTGTAAGGCTACTGTCCTGACAGTGAAGAGGAAGACCTGTCATTTCGTCCTCGTTTATTTCCTTCTTCAGTAGTTTACTTACAAAGTTATTTACTTATGGACTTACTTTACGCTATTACTGTTTATTTTATCCTGAGTAGGCCACTGAGAGATTCTTAAAGTTGGTTCCAATGTACCTTGACAATTCCTTGTTGAGTAACTTTTTTCTTTCTGGCACCATAATTTTACTGCCGCAGCGTAGACTCAGCCATCTTTCTAAGAAGTCCTGATTACTTTTATTGGAGAAATGGGAGAATGGTACTTAGAATACAGTACCTGTGAGCTAGGTACACACATTGCTACTATCGTGTCATTGCTTCCAAGCCATCTCAGCAGAGAGACCTAGGGAGTATATGCATGTATATTCATGCATGAATATACATATCTATATTTACTTATATTTATATCCAGCTGTGTGTGTGTGTGTGTGTGTATATATATATATATATATATATATATATATATATAAAATCATAAGTTGATATTGACACCATGAGGTTCATTCTAACCTTCTCCTTTTCCCATTTGTGAGGAACCTGGCTCTTATTATCCACAATATATTGATTTCTTCACTCAACTGTAGCATACACATAAAGAGTTGTCACTATAGCTAACATATACACCTATGAAAAACAGATTTACCAATTAGAGTATAATATTTATGTATGGTTATTTTTCTCTTTAGCCATATGGCATATAGTCAAAATATTCTTTCCCAAATTTACTTAGGTTCTTTTCTTTTTTCTTTTCCTTTCTTTTCTTTTCCCAACCCCCTTTGTAATACAGTAGGTTCAGTTTTTACTGTGTGCATTTCATTTTGCCCATGCCAACATACACATATATCCTGGTTATCTATCACCTATTTTATCGGGGTATCAGGGACATGAGGCATGACAATAATTCTAAGAGTTATAGTTATATAAAAAGGTATACTCAGAGAAGTGTCATTTCTTCCTACTACCATGGTCCCATTCCCACATTCTTTCCACCCCATTCCTACCCACCCCCTGTAGGTAACTAATCTTATTATTTTCTGGTTTAAACTTCCTGTATTTCTTTTTTTTTTTTGAGACGGAGTCTCACTTTATTGCCCAGGCTGGAGTGCAGTGGCACGATCTCTGCTCACTGCAACCTCCACCTCCCGGGTTTGAGCAATTCTCCTGCCTCAACCTCCCAAGTAACTGGGATTATAGGCATACATCACCATGCCCGGCTAACTTTTGTATTTTTAGTAGAGATGGGGTTTCACCATGTTGGCCAGGCTGGTCTCGATCTCTGAACTCGTGATCTGCCCGCCTCGGCCTCCCAAGGTGCTGGGGTTACAGGAGTGAGCCACCGCACCTGGCCACTTCCTATATTTCTTTTGCAAAAATGAACAGATACACATGTATTTTCCTATGTCTTTCTTTTTACATGAAAGGGAGTATATCGTAAATTTTTTTTGCACTCAGCTTGCTTCAAAATATTCTAGAAATCACTCCATATCAGTTATTATCTTCAGTTTTACAGATGAAGAGACAGGCATAAAGAGGTTAAGTAACTAGCTCAAGGTCCTGTATCTATTAAGGAGTATGGCTGGGATGTGAAACTAAGAAGTTTTGACTCCAGAATCCATGGTCCTTCTTCTACATCAGAGTTTCTTATCTATAGTCCCTGGGTATATTCTTGGGGTATCTCTAGGTTCTCTAAGTTCTCTTACCTCATTTAAAGAATTAATACATCTATCTTCTGGATCATCCAGGTGACTATCTTTCAAGCACTAACAGGCATTTTCATTGTCTGTAGGATCTGAAAATCACCCAACTGCCCAACGTGAATTCTCTCAATACAGTCACACAAGGAAAATTTTAGAGGGAACAGAGACAGCAGTTACCTGGCTGTGGCCTTTACTTGTAGTTCTGGAAAAGCAGCATGGCCTTGTACCATGTGGTCTATCTGAAAAATAAGAGACATGGGTCAATTTTATAGCTTCTTTAATTTATGTATAAGATAGAAAAATTTATATTAAAATGAGTATATGTTTCTTTCAACTCTTTGTCCATACGGGTTCCAAGAACATTAAAATGCCAATGTAGCAAGAGTGCCTCAGCTAAAAGAAATTTAGCTTTGATTTAACCTACTGCTAGCCTCTTAAATACATAAAACAAAGAAGTTTAGAGAGAAGAGTAAACAGAAATGAAATTTCCAAGGCTAAACTGGTAGAAGCAGGTTAGCAACAGGCCCAAGAATGAGAAGGAAGGGTAACTTATGTCAAATGGGGGGGGTCTGAGTGTTAAAAGCACCAACCTTTTCTGGATCACATCATTTCCCCTTCTTGATCTAGGCTGTCATCCCTGGGCAATGTCAAACCTTGAATTACTCACTGTGTCTTACTAATGGAGAAGCTGAATGAAAGAGACTATGATGAGGGTTTTTGAAAAAACCCTCATTAAAAAAATTTTTTGAAACTCTCAGTTAAAAAAAATTGAGATGCCCCAGACCTGTCAGGAGAAACTCTCCTGACTGAACAATCATCACATGGGAAACACAGCTCTCCAAGGACAGAAATGTCTGAGCTCTGCAGATAATCACCTCTCATTTGAAATCCCAGGTCTAGGATCTTATTCCTTAATCCACTTGGTGGCTCTAAACAAAATAGTATGAAATATGTATCAGGGACAGAAATGTTTCTCCATGCATTTACTCTGCTTGCCATAACACACCCAAGCAACACCGTGCTTGAGTTCCTGAACCTCATCTGTATATTTTCTGAATGTTTACTTGAGTTTCTAGGATGCTAAAACAACCATTCTGATAGATTTATTTTCATTCCAACAAGGAAAAGATTTGGTCTTTTGGCTGCACAGGGATAGGCTCTCTGAGCATGTTTCCTGAGAGCTAGGGCTGTGTAAAGAAGATAATTTGTTCAGGAGACACAGAGGCCAGGGTTGGGTTCTGGCTCTGAGTCTCACTAGCTGAGTGACTTTGTGCAAGTCACTAAACTGTTTTGAACTTCCATGGCCTCCTTTTAAACAGGATTTCTAGGAAGTTAAGTGTGTCTGCTTGATATGGTTTGTCTGTGTCCCCACCAAAATCTCATCTTGAATTGTAACTCCCATAAATCTCACATGTTGTGGGAGGGACCCAGTGGGAAACAACTGAATCATGGGCGCAGTTTCCCCCATACTGTTTCGTAGTAGTGAATAAGTCTCATGAGATTTGATGGTTTCATAAGGGGTTTCCTGTTTTACTTGGCTCTCATTCCCTCTTGCCTGCCGCCATGTTAGACATGCCTTTCGCCTTCTGCTATGATTGTGACGCCTCCCCAGCCATGTGGAACTATGGGTCCATTACACCTCTTTTTCTGTATAAATTACCCAGTCTCAGGTATGTCCGTATCAGCAGTATGAAAACGGACTAATACACTACTATAGTGCCAACAGTAGTATAAATGATATCACGTGAAATATACTGACTCATTTCCCATACATCAGTACTAACTTAAGCATTGTACACACATTACTCTATTTCATTTATTCCTTATAGCACTCCTATGGAGAAGATACTATTCTTCATTATGGAGATGAGGAAACTGAGCTCAAAGAGATTGAATATCTTGCCCAAGGTCACAGTAAAGTAACGACAAATCTAGGTCTCAAACTGCAGTCTCTATATTTTAAGACCTTGTTCTTAACCACCACGTCATATTGTCTACTGAACTTCCAGGTATACGTTGTTGAATACCATTGGTGCAGTTTTTGTGGAAATGTTTCAAAATGATATCAAAGACATTGGTCATTTCAATGAAAAAAAAAAACTCATGCAGTTATTGAATATTTATCTCCTTCAGGTTCAACTTTGCATTACTGTGATGAAGCATATCCTCATCACACTTTGGATCCCCTGAGTTTGCAATCCACTGAGAGCATCAAGATAAACTCGCTGGGAACAGTAATGGATAATTAGAGGCATTACTTGATTTGATGCTAATTTTTATGGGAAGTGCTTTAGGAGTTCAGAGAAGAGAGATTTAAATGAGCTTCCAGGAGTGAGCTAGAACCTAGCATGTGTGGTGTAAGCATGAATGCAGTTATTTAGTATTTACTAAATGCCTAATGTGCCTCCAGGAACTGTGCACCTAGGTTCCGGAGATACACTGAAAAATAAGAAATAGTTATGATGCATAGCAGCACAAAGTGAGAGATCAATCATTTGGCAATCATTATACAGTTGGAGTAGGTGAAGCTTCAGCTGAGAGGCCATAAATAGGTAGAGTTTGGAGGAGTAAAGGGCTAGAGGCAAGGCATGACAGAAAGGAGGCTGGTTAGTAGAGACATGAAAATGGAAAGACATATATGATTTGAATGGTAACGGACTGGTTTAGCCTCATGCCTGGCATAACATGGGTGGTTAATAAAAGTTTGTGGAATAAATGTGGGATGAGTGAACCACAGGAAAAACACAGATAGCACCATGTACTTCTCCTTGGTGGCACTTACCACACTTTGCATTTGTATCTATTTGTGTTGTGCATACATTGGTCATAGGATTACTGTAGGTTAAATTACAGAATTAGTAAACTGGTGAAAATAAGGATGAATAAAGAGGGCGAAGGCAGACAGTGTGTCTTGAATGTCATAAGAGTTTATACTTTTATTAGATCAAAGGCCATAAAAATTATTTTGATTTGGAGAGAAAAATGATGAAAAGTTAAGAAAAATTTGGTAATGTATAAAGGACAGGGAGATGACCAGGCATGGAGAATAGGAAATGCAGACAAAGATCACAGGTTGGCAATGGGAATATAAGGCACAGATATTTTCTATCCTTACTCTACTGTAGCATCTATCAAGTTCTTTTACAATCCTTAGTTATATGTCTGTCTCTTACCCTATACTCTGAGCTCTTTCAAAGCAAGAGCATCATTATTTTCCACTCCTCAGTGCCTAGAGCAATGCTGACATCTCTAATGAATGAATGATGAGACACATTTTGATAACAATTAAAAATGCTGATCAAAATACAGCAAATAGTTCTCTGAAGACACTGGAAAGTGGCCAAAACCAGGTAGAAACTGGAGAGGAGTAGACACAAGGAAGGAAAAAACAGTACTTTGTGTGTTTCCTGATTTTATACATTTTTGCCCATGGGTGGACCCCAGTCAGTGGCATGCAAGATAACTAATACTCAGATAGAAATACACAGTCTTTCTGATTAAGAAATGAGAGGTTAGAGTTCAAGGCAACCATAGTAGCTAGGAAGTAAGTTGTGGAGGGGATGTCAGAAAGAGAGAGCCATAGAAAGGGAATGCAACACTGTGCCTATAAATGCTACCCTAATTTCTGGATGATCTCTCAATTACATGTGCATGGGAACACCAGAAGTAGTCCAGCTAAGGCTAAAATAATGCAACAGAGATTTTAGGACATGTTCATCACAGGAGAGTAACAAAACTTGAAGTTTGAGTTCAGCCAAATAAACTGCCTGCTAAACCAAAAAATCAATACTCAAAAGAGAAACAGAAATAATACAGTGTCTCTAGAATATATCAATCACAATGTCCAAAATATGACCCCAAATCATTATACATATTGAGGAACAGGAAAATGTAATCCATACTTAAGAGAAAAGCCACTTAGTGAACACCAAATCTGAGGTGACACAGGCGTTAGAAGATAAGAATTTTAAAGTAGGTATTTTAACAATGCTTAAGGATGTAAAAGAAAAATATTCTCATAGTTATTAAACAGAGAGGAAACAGCAAAGAAACAAACTATTAAAATACAAATGTAATAGTATTGATTAAATACAATATCTGAAATAAATATATAGTAGATGGGCCTAAGAGCTGATTGGAGATGACCAACAAAAGTGTCCTCGTGAGAATGAGACTTAGACTGGGAGACTTAGAGAGAGAGAAAGAGAGAGAGAGAATATGAATGAGAATATATATTGAAAAAATTAACACCCTGAGTCTCTCAGGGGCATGGGAGACAATAGCCAAAGGTACCATATATGTGGAATTGGAGTCACAGTAAGAGGGAAGAGAGCAAGGAGAAGAAACAAACAAAAAAAAATTAAATGCTGAAAATTTCCCAAACTTGGTGAAAGGAATCAACTTACAAATTCAAGAAAGATGAATCCAAAGAAGACCACGCCATACCGTAATAAAAGCCAAAGATTAAGAGAAAATTTGAAAGCAGCCAGAGGAAAAAAATGACATATTATATAAAGGGAAAGAATGACAAAAATAATGGTTGACTTCTTATAAGAAATAATAATGTCAGAATAGAAAATACTAACATTTTAAGGTGCTGATGGAAAAAAAAACCTGTAAATCAAGAATTCTATAGTGAGCAAAAATATCTTTCAAGGCAGCATATAAAATAAATGCATTGAAAAAAAATAGAGAGAATGTCTTTTGCCAGTTGACCTGCACTGTAAGACATGCTAAGACAAGTTCTTTTTTTTTTTTTTTTTTTTTGAGACGGAGGCTAAGACAAGTTCTTTAGGCTTGGGAAAAGATATCACATGGAAACTCAAATTTTCAGAAAGAAAGGAAAAGCAATAAAAATAGTAATTATGTAGGTAAATACAAAAGACTATGGTTTATTTCTCAGAATTTCTTTAAAACATTTATGTATCTTTGACATGGACTAAACTGTGTTCACCTCAAATTCATATATTGAAGCCTCAATCCCAAATGTGACTGTATTTAGAGATATGGCTCTTACGGGGGTAATTAAGGTTAAACAGCTCATGACAGTGGGGCCTTAATCTGATATAACTGGTGTTCTTATAAGAAAAGGAAGGAATACAACCGTTTTCTCTTCATATACACATACTGAGAAAAGGCCATGTGAGGTCACAGAAGGCAGCCATCTACAAGTTAGGAAGAGAGCCCTCACCAGAAACTGCATTTGCCAGCACCTTGATCACAGACTTTTAGCCTCCAAAATTGTAAGGAAATAAATGTCTGTTGTTTAAGCCACCCAACCTGTGGTATTTTGTTATGGTAGTCAAGAGTAGACTAATACATTGTTTAAAGCAAACAATATGACAACTATTTCATTATTGGGTTTATAGCATATGTAGATATCACACACAAACTACAGCGTGAAGAGCTGGGATAGGAGTGGTAAGTAGAACTACACAGTTGAAGGGTATTTATACCTTTCATGAAGTATCATAATATGCATTCAAAGTAGGCTGAAAAGTTTAGGATATTTATTATAATTACTAGAGCAACCATTAAAAAATAATGCAAAAAGATGTGTAGAAAGCCAAGATGCCAATAGATAACTTAAAATTGAATTCTTAAAATTGAAAAATAGTCATTTAATCCAAAAGAAGTCAGGAAGGAAAGACAGAAGTGATCACAGAAAACAAAAAACAAAATGAAAGATGTAAATCAAATCATATTTATCTTTATATAAAGTATCTAAACAACCCAAGTAAAATTCAGAGATCATAAAATTGAAAAGCAAGACCCAACTATATGCTGTGTACAAAAAATATACTTTACATAGACCAGGAGAGGAAAAGTGCCACGGTGATTTGCCCAACAGTGCTAGGAGTGGAAGAAAGAAAAGAAAAGAAAAGAGAAGAAAAAAGAGAGATGGATTGGCAACATATTTTGGAGGTGGAACCCTTAGGACTTACTGATGGATTAGATGTGAGGAGAGAGGGGAAAGGAAGAGTCAAGAATTAATCCTAATTTTTTATTTTATTTTTTGGCTTTAATAAAAATATAAATGATGGTACTCTTTACTAAGATGAAGGAAGATAATGGAGGGTCAACTTTGGGGATCAGTTACTACCATCAGAAAACGTAGTAATTCTTGACTCCTTCCTCCCTCTGACTCCATAACATTGAATCCACCTTCACCCATTAATAGCAATGCTACATTCCTCAAGCCTTGGCCTCTCTCTTTTCTGCACACTTCACACTTAATCCATCAGGGTGTGAAGGTCAAGGTCAAGGTTTGAAGGTGGCTCTACCTTCAAAATATATCCAAAATCTAACCATTCTTTACCAGCTCCATGCCATCATCCTCCTCACTCAGCTGGCTTACTACAATAGCCTCTTTCTGACTTCTGTGCTTCCCTCCCCCTACTTCCACTCCCCAGTTAACAATCAGCAACACAGTAGGCAGCAGTAAGAATGATTCTTTGAAAACCTGTCATATCACATCACTCCTCCGCTCATTATTCTCCAATGGTTTCCATTTCACTGAGAGTAAAAACTATTACTGTGGCCAATAATGTAGACCCTATCACCTCTCTGAACTTGTTCCCTGCAACTGTCATTTTGGTTCACTCTGCCGCATCCATTGTGACCTTGTTGCTATTCCCATAATACCCCAGGCAAGCAACCCTCTCAGAATCTTTACACTGGTTGTTCCCTTGACCTGGTATATTCTTCCCCCAGGTTTCAAAATAGCTAAATTCCTTCCTTTCCTCATTCTTTGTTCAACTGTCACATCAGTGAGGTCTACCCTGACCACCCTATTTAAAACTACAACCTTCCCATCTGAACTCACAAGCTACCTCCTCTATTTGTCTTAATAACTTATACCATAAAGTGGAATTTATTTATTTTTTGTGTATTATCTGTCTCCTCCTGTTAGAATGTAAGCTTGAGAAGGGTACAGGAGTCTTGGTGGAGTGCAGGAGAGTGCAGAAGAGGCTGTTTTACTCACTGCTACTTTCTCACTCAGAACAGTACCTCAAATATAGTAAGCACTCCGTAAATACTGGCTGTATAAATAAACATCACTCTAAAGAATTAAGACTTTATTCTAATGACAACTGAAGAGCTATCACAAGTGACAGACTCATAACTGTTTCAGAAAGACTTCTATACCTACAATGCAACAAAGGGATTAGAGGGGGAAAGATTACAGGCAAGAAGCCAATTAGGAAGTTGTGTAGCAATCCAGGTGGGTATACAAAAAATAAGCAAAAGCCAGGGCGGGAGAAGGGAACAGGGAGGCATTTGTTTTTGCAGAGTTAGTCCTTGTATCCATGAAGTAATTATAATTAGTGGATGTGAAATGCTGGGGACACACCTACATCTGTACATAGATCGTGTCAATGCTAATTGACCTTTGGCTATTGTCTCCCATGCCCCTGAGAGACTGAGGGTGTTAATTTTTTCAGTGTATATTCTCATTCATATTCTCTCTCTCTCTCTTTCTCTCTAAGTCTCCCAGTCTAAGTCTCATTCTCACTGAGGACACTTTTGTCATCTCCAGTCAGCTCTTAGGCCCATCTACTATATATGTATTTCAGATATTGTATTTAATTTATTGTATTTAATTATTTTTCTCCCATGGCCTTACAAAGCCTGCCAACTGTATTTGTTTCAAGACACTTAAAGAGAATGTCATGTTAACGGACAACAGTTGCTTCTCAAAGAAGTCTACAAGAGAACTGAAAGAAAAACTCAGAAATGCACCTCCACAAAAGTCAGATTCAGTTTTGGAAAGATCTTGGGCCTCTGGTGGCCAGCTTGGGTTTGCATTGTGGCTCTCCTACTTATAACTGTAAGATTTTGATCAGATTACCTTGACATTCTCAGCCTATTTCTTCATCAGTAAAACTAATATAACAACACTGACCACATACACATGCTGTGAAGATCAGATGAAATACCAAATCCTAATGGGCCTAAAAATATTTGGTACATAATAGGTACTCAGTATTAGCCTCTATTTTTCCAGTAGGCTATAGTGATTGTACTATCTATTTTTATGTCCTACAATAAATTATAATGATCAGTTCTGTATCCAACTTTCTTATTTGATGGTGGATGACTGGAGTGACCGTATTCTTGGCTGGCCCAGTGGAATCACTCAGGAAATCTCTGTAACGCGATGGAAGGAGTGAATGAATGAAGGCATGAAATCATTATCTCCATAATCTGTACTACACTGTGCACACTGCAAGTCATTCCATACACCCATTTATAGCAGAATGTCTTCCATAGGTGACATCCTGAGGCTAGTCCCAGCCTTGGCAATGACGCAGGAGGCAGATAGACACTCACAATGTACACATCCTAAAATCCCAAGAGCACATAGTAACTTGTTGCATTGTGACCTTGTGACTCAATCCAAGCACAATTGTTCCAGAAAGTCAATGCCACCATAGCAGTGGCTTAGGAACTTGTCTTAGCCTTCCTTACCCAATGCCATCCCCAATAAAAATCACTCCACGTGAGACAAACAAGAGCACCTGGAAAGGGTGATGGCCAAGGTCCAGCTGGAAATAAGCTTCAGTATCTGGATGTAGGAACTGCACGGGGTCAGTGTTCTGTGGACAAAGTCTGGGGAAAAAGCAATGCTTTTTTGCACAACTATTCAGAAGAGAATATCGGCAAGCATGAGACAGGCCTTGATGTGTGATGAAACTAAAATCAATCATCCTTAGGAAGGGAGTATGTGTTTTCTAAGAAGAAGTAAATATCAAAAGATCCTGTCCTGTTTCTTTTCCTTCATTCTGAGGATAACCAGATGAAGATTTTTTTTAAAAATACAAATCTATTCACATACTTAGAATGAAATAATTGCTTTGTAATGGAAGATCTGCATTTAATTGTAAAAATGAGACAAATATCTTTTTTTAAAATCCATGGTTTTTAATATATTTTTCATTTCTTTTCCTTCTCTTTTTTTCTATTGTTTCTTCTCCTTTACTTTCCTTTTTCTCTGTTTTCTCACTTCCCGTCTCTTATGCTTTAGGTGGTGTATTTATGACTGTGTGGCATCGTTGAAACCATGGACAATGTACTACTGGAGCAGACACCTTCAGATGTGGCTTATTAGAGAAGATGTGCATATGCAAGCGGGAATAAAAAAGATGCAACTTTTTCTTATCATGTCCTATGTGACAATGATGTATTTTAAAACCAGAGATTGGAATTTACAAGAGAATAAACAAGAATTAGTAAATGGTAAGGAAAGGTGAGTAGTAAATAAAACATATTAAAAGGCCATCACTGGTGGGTGAGGAGACTCTCCAGGCTGTAATTGCTACCTTTAGTCACTTAACTATAAAATACAGATAATGACTGTATCTATAGGTATGATCATAGGACTTTTGAGAATATTAATTAGATAATACATGAAAAGTTCTTGGAACTGAGATTGGAAACAAGCCTTCAAAATAATATTAGGCATTGTAATTATGACTATCATTCAAAGTTTAACAGAATTATGTCTATAAATCCCTCTCACAAAAAAATACTCAGTAAGCTACAATTATTACAATTAATATTACCATCATTATAATATTTTATTTATTTTTTTATTATACTTTAAGTTTTAGGGTACATGTGCACAACCTGCAGGTTTGTTACATATGTATACATGTGCCATATTGGTGTGCGGCACCCATTAACTCGTCATTTAATATTAGGTATATCTCCTAATGCTATCCCTCTCCACTCCCCTCACCCCACAGCAGGCCCTGGTGTATGATGTTCCCATTCCTGTGTCCATGTGTTCTCACTGTTCAATTCCCACCTATGAGTGAGAACATGCAGTGTCTGGTTTTTTGTCCTTGTGATAGTTTGCTGAGAATGATGGTTTCCAGCTTCATCCATGTCCCTACAAAGGACATGAACTCATTTTTATGGCTGCATAGTATTCCATGGTGTATATGTGCCACATTTTCTTAATCCAGTCTATCATTGTTGGATGTTTGGCTTGGTTCCAAGACTTTGCTATTGTGAATAGTGCCACAATAAACATACGTGTGCATGTGTCTAATAGCAGCATGATTTATAATCCTTTGGGTATATACCCAGTAATGGGATGGCTGGGTCAAATGGTATTTCTAGTTCTAGATCCCTGAGGAATCACCACACTGACTTCCACAATGGTTGAACTAGTTTACAGTCCCACCAACAGTGTAAAAGTGTTCCTATTTCTCCAGCACCTGTTGTTTCCTGACTTTTTAATGATTGCCATTCTAAGTGGTGTGAGATGGTATCTCACTGTGGTTTTGATTTGCATTTCTCTGATGGCCAGTGATGATGAGCATTTTTTCATGTGTCTTTTGGCTACATAAATGTCTTCATTTGAGAAGTGTCTGTTCATATCTTTCGCCCACTTGCTGATGGGGTTGTTTCTTTTATTCTTGTGAATTTGTTTGAGTTCATTGTAGATTCTGGATATTAGCCCTTTGTCAGATGAGTAGATTGCAAAAATTTTCTCCCATTCTGTAGGCTGCCTGTTCACTCTGATGGTAGTTTCTTTTGCTGGGCAGAAGCTCTTTAGTTTAATGAGATCTCATTTGTCAATTTTGGCTTTTGTTGCCGTTGCTTTTGATGTTTTAGTCATGAAGTCCTTGCCCATGCCTATGTCCTGAATGGTATTGCCTGGGTTTTCTTCTAGGGTTTTTATGGTTGTAGGTCTAACATTTAAGTCTTTAATCCATCTTGAATTAATTTTTGTATAGGGTGTAAGGAAGGGATCCAGTTTCAGCTTTCTCCATATGGCTAGCCAGTTTTCCCAGCACCATTTATTAAATAGGGAATCCTTTCCCCATTGCTTTTGTCAGATTTGTCAAAAATCAGATAGTTGTAGATATGTGGCATTATTTCTGAGGGCTCTGTTCTGTTTCATTGGTCTATATCTCTGTTATGATACCAGTACCATGCTGTTTTGGTTGCTGTAGCCTTGTAGTATAGTTTGAAGTCAGGTAGCGTGATGTCTCCAGCTTTGTTCTTTTGGCTTAGGATTGACTTGGCAATATGGGCTCTTTTTTGATTCCATATGAACTTTAAAGTAGTTTTTTCCAATTCTGTGAAGAAAGTCATCAGTAGCTTGATGGGGATGGCATTGAATCTATAAATTACCTTGGGCAGTGTGGCCATTTTCATGATATTGATTCTTCCTACCCATGAGCATGGAATGTTCTTCCATTTGTTTGTGTCCTCTTTTATTTCATTGAGCAGTGGTTTGTAGTTCTCCTTGAAGAGGTCATTCACATCCCTTGTAAGTTGGATTCCTAGGTATTTTATTCTCTTTGAAGCAATTGTGAATGGGAGTTCACTCATGATTTGGCTCTCTCTTTGTCTGTTATTGGTGTATAAGAATGCTTGTGATTTTTGCACATTGATTTTGTATCCGGGGAGTTTGCTGAAGTTGCTTATCAGCTTAAGGAGATTTTGGGCTGAGATGATGGGGTTTTCTAGATATACAATCATGTCATCTACAAACAGGAAAAATTTGACTTCCTCTTTTCCTAATTGAATACCCTTTATTTCCTTCTCCTGCCTGATTGCCCTGACCAGAACTTCCAACACTATGTTGAATAGCAGTGGTGAGAGAGGGCATCCCTGTCTTGTGACAGTTTTCAAAGGGAATGCTTCCAGTTTTTGCCCATTCAGTATGATATTGGCTGTGGGTTTGTCATAGATAGCTCTTACTATTTTGAGACATGTCCCATAAATACCTAATTTATTGAGAGTTTTTAGCATGAGGGGTTGTTGAATTTTGTCAAAGGCCTTTTCTGCATCTATTGAGATAATCATGTGGTTTTTGTCGTTGGTTCTGTTTATATGCAGGATTACGTTTATTGATTTGCATATGTTGAACCAGTCTTGCATCCCAGGGATGAAGCCCACTTGATCATGGTGGATAAGCTTTTTGATGTGCTGCTGGATTCAGTTTGCCAATATTTTATTGAGGATTTTTGCATCGATGTTCATCAGGGATATTGGTCTAAAATTCTCTTTTTTAGTTGTGTCTCTGCCAGGCTTTGGTATCAGGATGATGCTGGCCTCATAAAATGAGTTAGGGAGGATTCCCTCTTTTCCTATTGATTGGAATAGTTTCAGAAGGAGTGGTACCAGTTCCTCCTTGTACCTCTGGTAGAATTCGGCTGTGAATCCGTCTGGTCCTGTACTTTTTTTGGTTGGTAAGATATTAATTATTGCCTCAATTTCAGAGCCTGTTATTGGTCTATTCAGAGATTCAACTTCTTCCTGGTTTAGTCTTGGGAGGGTATATGTGTCCAGGAATTTATCCATTTCTTCTAGATTTTCTAGTTTATTTGCATAGAGGTGTTTATAGTATTCTCTGATGGTAGTTTGTATTTCTATGGGATCGGTGGTGATATCCCCTTTATCATTTTTTATTGTGTCTATTTGATTCTTCTCTCTTTTCTTCTTCATTAGTCTTGCTAGCGTTCTATCAATTTTGTTGATCTTTTCAAAAAACCAGCTTCTGGATGCATCGATTTTTTGAAGGGTTTTTTGTGTCTCTATTTCCTTCAGTTCTGCTCTGATTTTAGTTATTTCTTGCCTTCTGCTAGCTTTTGAATGTGTTTGCTTTTGCTTCTCTAGTTCTTTTAATTGTGATGTTAGGGTGTCAATTTTACACCTTTCCTGCTTTCTCTTGTGGGCATTTAGTGCTATAAATTTCCCTCTACACACTACTTTGAAGGTGTCCCAGAGATTCTGGTATGTTGTGTCTTTGTTCTCATTGGTTTCAAAGAACATCCTTATTTCTGCCTCCATTTTGTTATGTACCCAGTAGTCATTCAGGAGCAGGTTGTTCAGTTTCCATGTAGTTGAGTGGTTTTGAGTGAGTTTCTGAAACCTGAATTCTACTTTGATTGCACTGTGGTCTGAGAGACAGTTTGTTATAATTTCTGTCCTTTACATTTGCTGAGGACGTCTTTACTTCCAACTATGTGGTCAATTTTGGAATAGGTGTGGTGTGTTGCTGAGAAGAATGTATATTCTGTTGATTTGGGGTGGAGAGTTCTGTAGATGTCTATTAGGTCCACTTGGTGCAGAGCTGAGTTCTATTCCTGGATATCCTTGTTAACGTTCTGTCTCGTTGATCTGTCTAATGTTGTCAGTGGGGTGGTTTAAGTCTCCCATTATTATTGTGTGGGAGTCTAAGTCTCTTTGTAGTTCTCTAAGGACTTGCTTTATGAATCTGGGTGCTCCTGTATTGGGTACATATATATTTAGGATGGTTAGCTCTTCTTGTTGAATTGATCCCTTTACCATTATGTAATGGCCTTCTTTGTCTCTTTTGATCTTTGTTGGTTTAAAGTCTGTTTTATCAGAGACTAGGATTGCAACCCCTGCCTTTTTTTGTTTTCCATTTGCTTGGTAGATCTTCCTCCATCCCTTTATTTTGAGACTATGTGTGTCTCCGCACGTGAGATGGGTTTCCTGAATACAGCACATGGATGGGTCTTGACACTTTATCCAATTTGCCAGTCTGTGTCTTTCAATTGGAGCATTTAGCCCATTTACATATAAGGTTAATATTGCTATGTGTGAATTTGATCCTGTCATTATGACGTTAGCTGGTTATTTTGCCTGTTAGTTGATGCAGTTTCTTCCCAGCCTTGATGGTCTTTACAATTTGGCATGTTTTTGCAGTGGCTGGTACCAGTTGTTCCTTTCCATGTTTAGTGCTTCCGTCAGGAGCTCTTTTAGGGCAGGCCTGGTGGTGACAAAATCTCTCAGTATTTGCTTGTCTGTAAAGTATTTCATTTCTCCTTCACTTATGAAGCTTAGTTTGGCTGGATATGAAATTCTGGGTTGAAAATTCTTTTCTTTAAGAATGTTGAATATTGGCCCCCACTCTCTTCTGGCTTGTAGAGTTTCTGCCGAGAGATCAGCTGTTAGTCTGATGGGCTTCCTTTTGTGGGTAACCCAACCTTTCTCTCTGGCTGCCCTTAACATTTTTTCCTTCATTTCAACTTTGGTGAATCTGACAATTATGTGTCTTGGAGTTGCTCTTCTCGAGGAGTATCTTTGTGGCATTCTCTGTATTTCCTGAATCTGAATGTTGGTCTGCCTAGCTAGGTTGGGGAAGTTCTGGATAATATCCTGCAGAGTGTTTTCCCAGTTGGTTCCATTCTCCCCGTCACTTTCAGGTACACTAATCAGACGTAGATTTGGTCTTTTCACATAGTCCCATATTTCTTGGAGGCTTTGTTCGTCTCTTTTTATTCTTTTTTCTCTAAACTTCTCTTGTAGCTTCATTTCATTCATTTGATCTTCCATCACTGATACCTTTTCTTCCAGTTGATCAAATCGGCTACTGAGGCTTGTGCATTTGTCACATAGTTCTCGTGCCATGGTTTTCAGCTCCATCAGGTCCTTTAAGGACTTATCTGCAGTGGTTATTCTAGTTAGACATTCATCTAATCTTTTTTCAAGGTTTTTAACTTCTTTGCCATGGGTTCGAACTTCCTCCTTTAGCTCGGAGCAGTTTGATCGTCTGAAGCCTTCTTCTCTCAACTCGTCAAAGTCATACTCCGTCCAGCTTTGTTCCGTTGCTGGTGAGGAGCTGCGTTCCTTTGGAGGAGGAGAGGCACTCTGATTTTTAGAATTTTCAGTTTTTCTGCTCTGTTTTTTCCCCATCTTTGTGGTTTTATCTACCTTTGGTCTTTGATGATGGTGACGTACAGATTGGGTTTTGGTGTGGATGTCCTTTCTGTTTGTTAGTTTTCCTTCTAACAGTCAGGACCCTCAGCTGCAGGTCTGTTGGAGATTGCTGGCGTTTCACTCTAGACCCTGAGTATCACCAGTGGAGGCTGCAGAACAGCAAATATTGCAGAAATGTTGCTGCCTGATCCTTCCTCTGTAAGCTTTGTTTCAGAGGGGTACCTGGTTGTATGAGGTGTCAGTCGGCCCCTACTGGGAGGTGTCTCCCAGTTAGGCTACTGAGGGGGTCAGGGTCCCACTTGAGGAGGCAGTCTGTCCATTCTCAGATCTCAATCCCTGTGCTGGGAGAACCACTTCTCTCTTCAAAGCTGTCAGACAGGGACGTTTAAGTGTACAGAAGTTTCTGCTGCCTTTTGTTCAGCTATGCCCCGCCCTCAGAGGTGGAGTCTACAGAGGCAGGCAGGTCTCCTTGAGCTGAGGTGGGCTCCACCCAGTTAGAGCTTCCAGGCCACTTTGTTTACCTACTCAAGCCTCAGCAATGGTGGGCACCCCTACCCCAGCCTCACTGCTGCCTTGCAGTTGGATCTGAGACTGCTGTGCTGGCAGTGAGCAAGGCTCTGTGGGCGTGGGACCCTCTGAGCCAGGCGCAGGATATAATCTCCTGGTGTGCCGTTTGCTAAGACCATTGTAAAAGCGCAGTAGCCGTGTGGGAGTGACCCAATTTTCCAGGTGCCATCTGTCATGGCTTTCCTTGGCTAGGAAAGGGAATTCCTGGACCCCTTGTGCTTCCCGGGTGAGGCGATGCCTCGCCCTGCTTCGGCTCACGGTCTGTGGGCTGCACCCACTGTCCTGCACCCACTGTCTGACAAGCCCCAGTGAGATGAACCCAGTATCTCAGCTGGAAATGCAGAAATCACTGGTCGTCTGCATCGCTCATGCTGGGAGCTGTAGACTGGAGCTGTTCCTATTCGGCCATCTTGGAACTCTGTAGCTCTATTTACAATAGCAAAGACATGGAACCGACCCAAATGCCCATCAGTGATAGACTGGATTAAGAAATTGTGGCACATATACACCATGGAATACTATGCCTTCATAAAAAGGCATGAGATCTCTTTGCAGGGACATGGATGAAGCTGGAAGCCATCATCCTCAGCAAACTAACACAGGAACAGAAAACCAAACACTGCATGTTCTCACTCATAAGCAGGAGTTGAAGAATGAGAACACATGAACACAGAGAGGGGGACAACACATACTGGGGCCAGTTGGGGAGTTAGGGGCAAGGGGAGGGAGAGCATTAGGACACATTGCTAATGCATGGAAGGCTTAAAACATAGATGATGGGTTGACAGGTGCAGGAAACCACCATGGCACACATATTCCTATGTAACAAACCTGCAGGTTCTGCACTTGTATCCCGGAACTGAAAGTAAAATAAAATAAGTTGACTAAGTACATAGCACAAGTTTAAATAGGAGAATATAAAGTGGGCTGCATTTCTACTGTACTGTAGCCATAGATGATGTCTTCCTTCTCAACTTTTCTAGCACTGGTTACTGAGACCAATCAAACATGATTTATTTCATACTCAGGGATTCCCCATCCAAGTATGAGCTCCTTAAAACCAGGGACTGATGAGGTCCAATTCATTTAATTCATTTCTGTAGCCTGGCACAACAGTAACGTACAGAACATGCCCTTTGAATCCATCTACCCACCTATGCTTCCATTTACTTTGAAAGAGAATTTGAGGCAGTCATGTATAAAATAGGATTATACTAAGAAATGTAAACTCACAGATATTTGCATATACATCCAGCTTTGAATAAGATCATTTCCAATTGGCTGAACATTTAGAAGAGTTGGTAGGCAAATCACATCATAACATAAGCAGATATTTCCAATTTAACAGTAAATGTGAGTGTGTGTAACTGAGCCTAGGTCTCACTTTCTCTGTATTCCACATTTGATCTCTCAGAAGCCTGCCAATCTCTTGACCTCAATTCCCAGTCATCATTATTACTGTCCTCATTCAAGTCCTTGTGGCTTTTTGTCTGTTGACTAACCTACTAAAACTAGTCTCCCTGCCTCTGGCCATGTGTCCTCAGGCCTTTACCCTCATGGCTTCTAAGCAGAGATTTTTACAACTGAGTTAT
Source organism: Homo sapiens (assembly GCF_000001405.40). Taxonomy (NCBI): domain Eukaryota; kingdom Metazoa; phylum Chordata; class Mammalia; order Primates; family Hominidae; genus Homo; species Homo sapiens. Next base: position 59,609,358 of record NC_000001.11, on the reverse strand, counting down.
GAACATGTCCACATACTCTTCTAACCTTTCACTGGTTCCTCTTGGTCTGCTAGACGAAGTTCAATTCCTTAGCATGTTTTACAGGGATGTGGTCTCTGCCCTACTCTCTAACTTTTATCGTAAGCCATTTTTCTAAGAATAGTTTGTGCCACAGCTGAACTTCTGGACTATTTGCCATTACCCTCAAATTAGCCGTTATTTTTCACTTCCATGTCTTTTTTCCCATACAAGTTTCCTACCAAGTAGACTATCTGTACCCTTCTTTACCTGGTTTGTCCTTATTTATCTTTTAAGGCTCAGCACCAATGCCTTCTCCCCTGTAAAGAGTTTCCTAACCTAGCTTTGTGCCAACTCTGTACCGTGTACTTCTGTTACAGCACTCATCTCACTTTTATGAATCTTCTCTCTCCCCTATTGGACAGCCTTAATAATTCAACAAGTTTGTATTAAGTACCTTCTATGAACCTGGCACTGAGGTGGATACAAAGAGAACTTGTCTTTATTTTGTGGGGTTTTTTTTTAAGACGGAGTTTCGCTCTTGTCGCCCAGGCTGAAGTGCAGTGTTGCATTCTCAGTTCACTGTAATCTGTGCCTCCCAGATTCAAGTGATTCTCCTGTCTTAGGAGAGTATCTGAGTAGCTGAGATTACAGGCGCCTGCCATCGAGCCCAGCTAATTTTTGTATTTTTAGTAGAGATGAGGTTTCACCATGTTGGTCAGGCTGTCCTTGAGCTTCAGACCTCAGGTGGTCTGCCCGCCCCAGCCTCACAAAGTGCTGGTATTATAGGCATGAGCCACTGTGTACCGCATGGCCCTTGTCTTTAAGGAACTCAGAGTGTTCTAGAAAAGGGGATTAGTAACCAATAAGAATAACAGAGTGTGCTAAGAGCTGGAGTTGGATCTTAAAGGACAAGTAAAATTATTGAGGTGGTAAAGAACTCCCCAAGCAGGGAAAGAAGCCTGTATAAAGGGACAGAGAAGTGCAATGACAGGAGGCATGGAGAAGCTGTGAGGAGAGCAACCTAGTGTAAATTACAGGCACATGTGTGGGACTGGAGGGGATAGACCATGAAGTGTATAATGCAGCCAGAATATTATCTGAGCCATGTCTCAAGGGGCTATGGGGAAAACTGAAGGATTTGGGCTGGGGAGTAACATGTCGTTTTCTCTAAGTAGAATATCATTCTCATCACTCTGAGAAAAATGGATTGATGTAAGGAAAGATCAGGTGAGAAGAAGGGCTGGTCATCACTGCCTGCTGTAACACTTCTTCCTTAAGCAATATATGCTGCATGTGTATGACATGTTAGGCTGTGCACTAAGAGAAAGTACACCCCGATTCAGGGGTCTGCAAATCCTCCAGATATTGGGTATATGGGTCATGTGACAAAATGGACTAATCAATGACATAAAAACATCCATGACCCTATTGAGAAAGTGTCAACTTACCAATTTTCCAGTAACGCTCTGACCACCTTCATTCAGCCAGAACCCAGGTACCATGGCTGAGAAATAAGGCCCCCAGACGCCTGGTACAAAAATCGGGTCTTTGCTGATCTGGAAAGAAAGATGGAAAATATGTGAAAACATTGACTCTCAGGGGTAGGGGAAGGGTTCTCCTCCTAATATTTCTATGACCATGGAATTCAGCTTCTTATTGAATGCCTTTTATGGTGGGGAAGTCACTCTCTCCCAAGAAAGGCCATGGCTCCTTTTTTTAGAAACTTTCCTGATAAATTCATTTAAATGTTAAGGTAATAAAAATGGTCATTTTGGAAAGAAACTGATAAGGTGTTTCCCTGTTGGCTCCCTCACTATGGCAGAGATTGCAAAGGTGGTCCCCATTCTCCACCCTTCCTGTGTCAACACTCTTTGCAATGAGACTTTGCAGCTCCTCACATTGAGATGTGGGTCTATCTCCCTACCCCTTCAATCTATGCCAGTCTTGTGACTTGTTTTGCCAAGAGAATGAGGCAGATGTGACACTGGGTCAGTTTTCCAAGCCTAGGTCTCAAAAGGGCTGTGTGCTTCTGTTCTGTCTTTCGCTCCTCAAACTTGGCCACAAGACCATGCCCTACAAGGCTGCTGGGTGACAGGAGATGTGCAACAGAGCTGAGTCTGTTCAGTTGTCTCAGGTGATGTCCCACATATATGAAAGAACCCAGGTAACATCAGCAAATATTTGTAGGTGACCAGCATTGACTAGCCCAGATCATCAGACTCACCTAGCCAACCAACAAACTTGTGAGCAAAAATAAATGTCTACTGTTGTTTGTCACTAAGGTTTTCTATTTGTCTGTAACTTAGCATTTGGGGGACTATAATAACTGATAGATTTCTTTCCTTTTACAAATATGTACTGCTACCTAATAGCAATCCTGTCCCCCTATTGGGTGCTGGGGACACAAAGATGAATCAGAGTTCTTACTTTCAAGAAGCTCCCATCTAGTGGAGGAGCTATACAAAAAAATAGACAAATAGAATATAGTGTGGTTCATGAGATGGTAAAGACAAAATACAAAATATTGTGGATGGGCACAGGAGGTGAGGAATGTACTAAAGATTATACAAAGATAGAGGCCGCCATTTAGATATATACCCCAAGGCCAACTGCCCAGAGTCAAGTGGTAAAACTTAAGTCATTCTGATTTCCCTGAGTTGCTAGCTCTCATTATAAACAAAGCATAAAACATAAGCTTTATCTCCCTGTCAGCATGATTTGATGAAATTAAAACATAAGCTTTAGGTCCTTGTCAGCATGATTCAGGAAAATTAAATCAATCAACTATAGACAAATCAGTTTAAACAGTCCTGTTTCCCCTGAAAAAAAAATGTTAATACATAACAGCCAATGACTAAAAAGGTCAAAATACTTTCTCCTTAATGCTTCATAAACTGCACTGTAACTGCCGTAAGGTGAGCTTCTTACCACTTGAAGTCTTGCTGATGGCAATTGGTACTTTTTGTAAGATAGAAAACTTTCAAATTTTTCCCTAACTTGTTCTCATTTTACTTTTGACAAGTGGAAGGGTACAGAGGTGGCTTCTTAGAGAAAGGGACATAAGCTAAGTTTGAAAAGACTAGTAGGATTTTGCTAAAGTGAAACAGGTGTTCCAAGTAGAGGGAGGAGCTTGAACAAAGCCATGTGGGTAAGAGAGGTGCTCTCAGTAATCAAGATAGTGCCATTTTTTTAAAATTTTTTATTTTATTATTATTATTATTTTTTAACAGACCATAGCAGTCCCTTCAACAGTAAGGAAAGCATTTAAAGAGATGAACTAGAACGGGTGGGGATAGACCATGTGTTCATTCATCTGCAGTGGTACATGTTTCTCATCTATTCAGCAGTAAGGAATGCTGAAGTCACATTTATGGTCACAGAAATGTTTAGCTAGAGGGTAGGGAAGAAAAGGGAGTTAGGCATACAAGTTGTATTCCAGCAGGTCTTGAGGCTGGGCAGAAAATCTATTCATTTATATATTTCACAAATATTTACTCAGCCCTTACTATGTGCTTGGTAATGTGCTAGGCCCAGAGGATACAGAAGTGATTACTAGCATTTTAGCATGGGGACAGACCTTATTTGTCTTGACCTCAGCTACCCCGGTTCTCTCTTTACTAAACAAGTGATTCCTCAAATCAGTAGGATTTCCAACCACAAAATGGGAAGGGGGGGAAGGAAGGCAAAAAACAAAAACAGCATAACATTGTGAACTTTAAATTTTGTCAAATAAGGACAGTTTTTCAAAAGGGATATTTTAACATCAAAATAGAATAATTTCAGGGAGAAAAAAGATAGGCTTTCATAAGAAAAGTAAGTTCAGCTTAGATTAACATATACATTTACTTCTTTACTGGTTAACAGATGTTTCCTGAGTTCCCAGTCCAGGTCTGTGCCAGGCACAGAGATAAATGGTGAACAAGAGCATAGTGCCTGTACTCAAAGAGCATCCGATCTTGAGAGGGAAGCAGACCAGAGTGAACAATTACGCAGGTTTGGCCAGGACTTTCCCAGTTTCAGCGCTGAAAGTCTTGCCTTCTGGAAAACCCCTCAGTTTCAGCCAAACTGGGGCAACTGGCTACCTTAAGAAAAATATTAATCAGATCATTACACAAATATGTAATTACCAACTGTGAGAAGTAAATGAGGGAAAGCCAAAAGGTAGTAAGAGAGCACACAAGGGAGGTACCTAATTCAGTCTAGGTGACAGGGAATGCTTCTCCAAGGAAATGGTACATGAATTAAGATTTAAAACATGCATGGAAATTATTCAGGTGGGTGAGTGTGAGTGTTGTGTGTATGAGAGAGAAAGAATGCACGAGTGAGCTATGGTGAATGTTCCAGCCACAAGGAGAGCATACTAACTGGTACTTATTTTCACCACTCTGCCTTTCTTTGCCCAGTGAAAATTTTATCACGTGCCAATTCTAGAAATTGCTTTCCTAAGTCCCAGAGCTTCTTTGAGATGAATGAGGCAGTCCATATTCATTACCACTTAGGACCCAGGGTTTGCACAGGTAGAGCCAAAGCCAAGTCATCTCTTTCTGTGTCTTGCAGCCCCTTGCCTCCAGAACTCTTGGCCCCATTTGACAGATTAGTCCCCAAGAGGTTGTGTAAGTTGTCTATGGTTAGTACATGGATGACCACGATGGGATTTCAACTGAGGCAGATGTTGACCTCAAACTCTATGATAATGCTCTTTACTTGTATGCATAAATTGCTTAGGAAGGATACACTTCACCTCCCTTCTCCCCATCCCCTGTCCCACAATTTGGGGATGTTACTGCATCAGCTGCAGCAAGACTTCATTAGAAGATTGTGGCTTTGCTGCTTTGCTGCTCAGAAATGTCAGAGAATGGTTTTGCTTGGCTCTGTCCAGGGAGAAAGTTTTGAGTTGACCTCTGTTTGTGCCCACTCATCTGGAATAGCACATGCTTCTCCTCAGACATCCTGTGTAAAGCAAGGAAACAAAGAGTACTTCTAGTCACTCTCAAACCCTGTGTTCTTAGAAGAATCTAGGAATTCCTAGTTTGTTTTGAGAGAGAGAGAAAGAATGTACACTTGTGTACTTATGTGTTGTTTAATCTTTTGCAACAAACCTAAATATTTAAAAATCTTTTTGTGAAAGCCCCTTCCATGCTGATGGCTGTCTTGGCCTGGAGACTGCTCCATGACCCTAAAGAAGGGGAGCTCATCATACTACATTGATGACAGGTGTCCATGCAGGACACTGACTTCCCAGTAATAACGGCACTGTTGGCAACAACAACAATAGTTGAGACTTACTGTGTACTTAGTAAAGGCCTGATTCTAAGCATATTACAGGTATTAAATCACTTAAAAATTCTGTTATTATTCCTATTGTACAGATATGTAGACTGAGGCAGAGAGTTAAATAACATGCCCAGTGTTACAAAAACTGAAAGCAGTCAGGCATCAGGTTCTATATTTGTCTCTGCCAAATTATAGTCTTAATTTTAGGCTACCATTACTTCTTTGAGTCTTTCATCTGTTTTGAAGAGCAGAAAGCAAGGGCCATTAGAGCCAACACAGACTTACTCAAACTGAACATAACCTTCTGGCCTTGATGACAAGTAGGTTAGGGAATCTTCATTTCTAAAAAGTTTCCATTAAGTGTTCCCTGATATACCAGTGAACAACAGAAGAGAAACTATGGGTCGGGACAAAGGCCCATCGTGATTCTAGTCCTGACTCTGCCCAATTCTCAGCTAGGCGATCTTACGTAAGGTAGCCTTTCTGAGCCTCAGTTTCCTCAACTCCAAAATGGGAGGAATGCATGAATGCTGGGGGACTTTTGTAAAGATTAAGTAAGCTGTCACATATCAATGGTTTATTATATGTTAAACACCAAATAAACGTTAGCTCTCCTTGAAATGAGGCTTGTATGATGGAATAGTCAGGTGACTGGCTGAACAACCACAGGCAATAGTAATCACAACCATGTAAAGGGGTCTCTAGATTTGTCCTTGGTCTTGGTTTAATCAATATGCTTAATAATGGAGTAGAAGATGATACAGAAGAAAAGCTTATATTTTCAGATGCTAACACTTGGAAAAATAGCTTATTATGGGACATGTTCAAATCAAGATTCAAAATTACCTCAAAGAGCTAAAACACTAAGCAAAATTAAGAAAACAAGTAACATTTATTTACTCACACAGTTAAAAACTTACACTTAAAAGGTATTGGCAATATTCTCTTTCACAGGTTTGGTGGTGGGAATACTGGTGTTCATTTTGGTATTTTGTTTAAACTGTACTTAGACATCTGGTGTACTCTTTGTGTCTGATATAAATATCATTATAAAAACTTCAAAAACAGTAATAAAAACTTTGGTTGCATACTGTATGTCAGACACTGAGCTCAATAAAGCTATAACAATAAGGCAAAATATTACTATTACTATTACTACTACTACTAATGAAGTGGCATGGTCGCTTACCTCAGGGAGTTCCTAATCTGACAGGGCAGCCAGGTAGAAATAAAAAAATAACAACAAAACATGGCAAGTGCTACAAAAAGGTAAGAGAGGAGTGCAGTACGAGCCCAAAGGAAGGAATAACTCACTGCCTGGGAAAAGAGTGAGCATTTCACAGAGATGGCCACCTTGAAGCAAGGCTTTGAACGAGGAGGACATACTTGCTTGGGCAGAGAGGAAGGGCAGCCCGGGCAGAAACAGTCATGTAGACAAGGCTCAGAGTCATGAAGCTGTAAACACATTTTGATTTCAGGGGGCCCCATATAAAGTTCTGCATTTTACTTTAAATAAAAGATCGCATGGTTTGAAGGATGGGTATAGTTTTGCATCAACAGATCCTACTGATTCTCAAAAATCCAATTTTAAAACAATTATGGTTGGGGAAAAAACCCACTGAAATGAGCCTTTAAATCAGTTAACAATTATAATAATAAATCATATAGAAATAATAAAATAGTCATTGCTAAGAGTTATTTGCATTTATCATATGCTACAGACTCTTCTAGGTTCTTCACATATATTATCACATTTAACACTCATGACAACCCAATGAGAGAGGTCCTATTATTATATTTACTTCACAGATGAGGAAATAGAAGCTGCAGGAGGTCAAATAGCTAGTAAATAGAAGAGGAGGGCTTTCAGGATCCAAATTATGAACCACCAACTTATTTCTCTCTCTATAACTAACTCTCCTTAGCTATAAAATCAATTGATTGGACTAGAAATATTTAATATCTCTTTTGTCTTTGAGGTTTTCTAAGATTTCATGAAGCTGAGTTGTTCTAGCCCAGCTGGTCAATCAGAACTCTTCAGCTAGCTATTTCAACACAGACTCTGCCCTCACATGGCCTGGGCTTCATGGGATTGTCTTGGGCTAACTCCTGGGGCTTCTTGAAGTACTTACTTTGCTCTGTTGGTAGTACCCCTAGTACTTGCTTTGCTCCATAACCTGTGGCCAAGATTATTGTGGGTTTTTCTGTCAACTTCATGAGTTGTATTTAATGGCTACTATCTAAAACATCTTACATTAGCTGATTAAGTATTCAGTAAATATTATTGGATACACACTGATTTCAAACTACTGTTTTAAACATGAAAAGATATAGAAAGACAGACATCAGAGCCAATAAGTGATGTAGTCTCCGTCCTCCCGAAGTTTATAATCTAGGGGGACTTGGAATTCAGTATGGGCTGGGGCATAACTCAGATATCAAGTGACTTGTAGGTGTACATTTGCATTCAGACTTAGAGTTACCCTGACAGTCTATAGAGTCAAACACAGTCAGCCCATATTATAGCTGAAGACACAGGCATGAAGAGGGTAAGCAAATTGCCCAGGATCATAAAGATCAGAAATGATGGAGCTGGGATTAGAAGCCTCTTTCCATGTGCTCCTGCCTCTCTTTTTGTCTATGCTCAAGCTGGCTCCATGAGTGCATGCCATTGGCTTAGTTTCATCTAAGGCAATGTGCCCGTCAGCCGAGTTTCCCTGTGGTGACAAAGCCCAGAAGCCTGCTCACACCTCTTCTGGGAGAGATGACTGGGCTCAGAGTGGGGAGCTGCTCCAGCTCCGTTTGTTCTGCCTCCCTGCAACGCCATCACTCCGAGGCTGGCCTAAGCCTCTGGCAGGGGCAAAAGGCAGGCTCCAGGCGCCAGTCGTCCTGGGAGGGAACAGGAGGTTTTGTTTTGAGTGCCTCCGGCCAGGTTGGGAATTTTAGAGGGTAGCCACAGGCATGTGTGGGACCGGGTATTTCCATGGTGGCTCATCTCACCCTCCAAATGGACGGTGCTATCGTCTTACTAGAGAAAAACCATTTATACACAATCCAGCCAACTCCTAGATCACCACATGGTACAAAAAAAAAAAAAAAAAAGCATAGAGAATTTTGTTTATGAATGGGGGCTCTCAGCATTCACCTTTATTTCTACATTTCTCAGATTGAATTGTAAATAGCTGTTAATGTCTGCCTCTCCCAGGAAATAGTGAGGAGCCATATCTTATCTTAAAGGCAGAAACATGGTTTAGTAACATGAGCACAGACTTAGGAGTCTGACAAACTTGGATATTTCTGGTTAGGTCATTTGCTGACCTGAGACTCAGTTTCCTTATCTGTCGATGGGGATCATCTCATTAACCACAGAGCTGTGTCTAAGTCCTAGATGGGGTAATGTGTATAAAGATCCTAGGACACAGTATGCTCTCAAGGCATGTTAAGCCACAGATGGCTTAATTCTGCAACTTTCTGGGACGGTGGAAAAGTTTGGTGTCCAAAGAGCTGGGTGCAGGTCCAGCCTCTACTCATTATTAGCTTCGTCTCTTTGGTAGGCTCTTCTTTCTCTTCCCTCCTGGATTCTCTCCTATGTTCATCTCACTGCCTACATCTCTTAGGGTCAGCTCATCCAGTCCTATGTGTGCAATGACAATTTTTATCCCACACTCAGGCCTTGCTCCTGAGCTCCACATGGAACCTTTGACCTGGATGGCTAATCGACATGTCTTGTTCTGTAGCTCTGGGATGAAGGATGGCACGTTATATTTTTGACATGTCAGAAGTATCTCTGTCTCAGGATACCATTCTTGACTTCCTGATCATTCATCGCTCTCATCTGCCCCACAGTAGGTCACGGTGCTCTGTCAAATATTTTTCAAACACAAGTCTTCCTGTTTCCAACTATTGCCACTACGTTAGTCCAGCCCTTCATCATTTCTTGCTTGGATTATTACAAGGGTGATGAAACTGGATTAAACTCGTTTCCCTGACCCAAATAGTGTCCTCCATCCTGTACTCTCTTAAGCGTCACTCAGAGAATCTTTCATACCTCCACCACAATGATCTTTCTAATACACAAATTTAATTCTATCATTCTCCTTACTAAAGTCCTTGAGCAGCTTGCCACGACATATGGGACTGTCTGATGTAGCTTTTACCTTTTTGTCTCCTGAAATCCCCTATGTTATCATTTCCCAATCCTCTGCCCCCATCATTTTTATTGCACCAAGCCCATCATAAGCTAGGCCTCAGACTTAAGTGAACCTGAAATTCCCCTTGTGCCATTTTCTTTCTCAACTCTTAGTGTTCATAAATTCTTGTCTCACTGATTAGAGGGCACTCCCTCTCGCTTTCCCCTAGCTAACTTATACATATTCCTTTTTTTTTTTTTTTTTTTTTGAGTCTTGCTCTGTCCCCCAGCTGAAGTGAAGTGGCAAAATCTCGGCTCACTGCAACCTCTGCCTCCTGGGTTCAAGTGATTCTCCTGCCTCAGCCTCCCAAGTAGCTGGGATTACAGGCACATGCCACCACGCCCAGCTAATGTTTATATTTTTAGTAGAGATGGGTTTCACCAGTGTTGGCCAGGTGGTCTTGAACTCCTGACCTCAAGTGATCCGCCCGTCTCGGCCTCCCAAAGTGCTGGGATTACAGGCATGAGCCACTGCACCCAGCCACTTACTTATTCATATTCTTTTAAGAACATGCATAACCCAGCACTTTGGGAGGCTAAGGCCAGCAGATCACTGGGAGGTCAGGAGTTCTGAGACCAGCCTGGCTGACATGGTGAAACCCTGGCTCTACTAAAAATACAAAAATTAGCTAGGTGTGGTGGCACGTGCCTGTAGTACCAACTACTTGGGAGGCTGAAGCAGGAGAATCACTTGAACCCAGGAGGTGGAGGTTACAGTAAGCCAAGATCGTGCCACTGCACTCTATCCTGGGCGACAGGGTGAGACTCCGTCTCAAAAACAAACAAACAAACAAACAAACGAACATGTGTAGGACTGAACTCAATGTTATCTCCTCTGAAAAGCCTTCCATAAACCCTGACTTCTACCACAATGCTGGGTTAGGTACTCCTGCCTGCATCTTCACTTAACTCTGTAATTCCTGTATTGTAGCTTGTCATAACATACTCTGCATATGTTGTAAGTGTACATCTCTACAAATACATCTGTAATGTGTATTAACAGGTAATGTGTACCTGTTTGTAAATTAGATCACTACACAAGTGCAGGACATGGCTACCATTATCATTAACAGGACAATGACACTAACATTAAGGGCAATAATAGGATATAAAACACATCTAATATTATCTGTAAGCAAGACATGGTTAATAAAGATCGGGCTTACCAAATTTTCCTCTTCTATTTGGGGGTTTCAAAGTGGTTAAGAGTGTTCTCATAGAGTTTGCCTTTCCTAGAAACCCAATCTCTTTATTTCAGTCTCAGCAAAACAAGATACACACAAAACCTATCCACAGGTATCTCCTGAGGTTTAGCAATCTGAGTGGGTGGGGAGGGCACTGAGCAGGTCTGTCACCCTACCAAACAGTCCTCAAATTTGGATAGAGGGAGGCAGCCAAATGTTGCCTGCAATATCCTGAATTACTTGCAAAGTATTCTGGACTCCTTAAACACTGAATTCCTTATTCTTTATCATTCTTGAAACTCATATGTGATCACAGATAAAATTTAATCCATATGTTTCTCATTCATTTATAGTTAATGCACCCAGATTGCTTTGCAAGAGAGAGAGAATAGCCAAAAAAACTCTGAAGCCTTCCAAAAGTTCCTCCACATTTTCTCTCTCCTATAGACAAGAAGCCACACTTGGCCTTCTATATACAAATGCCTAACTGGCTCCAGTGAGCCCAGACTGGTTTTCAGCTTTGAAAGCTCTGAGAGCTGTGTGCCTTCAAAGATATAAAATTATATCATGCATTTTTCACAATCCAAACAATCTGTGGTGGGTAAACACATATTGGTCTATTCTATGGATCACGCAAGGGAGGAGGAGTGGGTGGGGCAGAGTGGGTGCAGGGGAGAGAGCTAACGAGGAGGTAGCGTGCTCCATCTGCACAATACTCATCAGTTGCAGTCTTAGCTCTGTTGCTCTGACATCACGTAGTGAGGTGGATCCTGAGTCAGAACCATATCTTCTATTTCTGTCAAATCCTCCAGGAGTGAGCATAGTACTAATTATGAATTAGTTCTCTAATACGGCAAAACCAATGCTCTTTTTTGATTCTAAACTGGCTGGTAGGAAAAATGGCTCCCTCCTGCAGACTTTAGAGTTCCGTTAAAAGGATGCCTGAGGGCAGTCTCCAGCCGAGAGTCTCTGCTGTGTGACCTTGGTCTTTGGGGTGTTCATCTGAAAAATGGGACAAATAAGACCTCTCTTACAGATCTGTAAAGATTAAATGTGGCACAGTCTATTACTGGCCTTGGTACAGTGCCGGGTACATTCAGTGACCCAGAGAAATGTAGCCTGTGTTAATATCATCACCTCCATACAAGCCAGGGTGAGTTTCTTATTTATGGATTGGAGCTCATGTGGGGGTTTAACTTTTTTTTAAAAGACTTGACACTATCTTGATTAGAATTCTGAAGTAGGGTACAGAGGTTATAATGGCTCTAGAGAAGAGGGAGAAAGAATCAACACGATCACTCAGATGGGTTAATTTCTACTTGTAAGATCTGTCAGTGGGCATAAGTAAAATTGAGGATTTACCCTGTTTACCGCATATTGTATAAAGGCAAGGAGAGTCCTGCTTGATTTATATCCAAGCATCTTTTACTAAAAGTCAGAATTTCTGTGCATAAGCATCAATCATTGCCTTTTGGAAGTGTTTCCCAATAGAACCCACTTGTGCTTCTCAGGCTTAGCTCAGAGGAATTCAGGATACATCCCTACAAGTCTAGACCTGAAGAATCCTGACCTTCAAAACACTTTCTCCATTTCTGGCCAGATAGAAAATGAGAAGACTAAACTGAATAGGCAAAAAGAATTCAAAACTTTCCATAGACACCTGGGTAGCTCCCCTGCTTGAGTGCAAAAGTATTATGAACTGAGAGGTGTTTATCAAATATCAGTGGAAGTGATGAGGGTGAAGGAATTTAACCCTTCCATCTTCTCTATAACAAAGGGGATTGATGAGAGGATTAAGAAAGTATGATGGCTGGATGGGAGGAAGTCAGCAGAAGAGAACTGAAGAGAGAGGGTCTGAAAGCCTACATTCCCTAGCTGCCTGATATGTTACCTGGGGCAGCACACGGCGGTACATGTGCCAGCACATCTGCGGCAGGCAGAACTGCTCACAGCCTCTTTCCTGCCAGGTCTGGACTAGGCCTGTGAATCTTTCCCAGGCCTGGGTGCCTGGAAGCCACTGCAATCAGCAGGGTGACCTATCTGTGAAAGGTGGGCCAGTTTCACACACATTCTTCCAGCTAAGATACTAGGCAAGCCTGAGTCACTCCCAGTTTTAATGGAAAAGGAAACTGAGCTTCAGAAAATCAACTCAAGTTCCTTCCTGGGATTACACATAGGGCAGAACCAAGACTTAGACCCAAATCTGACTCACAAGTCCATATCCTTCCTAAGTCACTTTTTTTTTTTTTTGGAGAAAAAAAAAAGATTGAAATAAGGAGAAGCAAGGAAATAGCAGGCAGACAGCACCTTCTTCCACATTAGGTCTGGAGGCAGCCCAGGTCCTTCTATGCCCTAAATGGAATATGTCCCTTGGTAAATTCAAGAGAGGTAATGGGATTTTCCTATGTCAGGAAAAAAGAAAAAAAAAATCACACATTTTGGTGGTATCTTTTCCCTCTTCTCCATATTCAACATTTTCTAAAAATGTTAAGTGAGCCTCATGTTAAAAAAAAAAGAAAACACTTAAAAATTGTTTTTCTATTTAAATGAATTTCTATAAAAGAGAAATGGTTTGTAACACAGAGGCAAGGGACAGTAAAAAAGAAGAAAGAGCCCTCAGAGGGAAAGTGGATCCGGGAGGGCTTAACCTCTGCCTGTACTCTATAAAAGATCACGCTAATATGTAAGGTATGTAAACACTGCAGAACAATCAGAAACAAATGAAATGATGGCTTCAGAGTAACAGTATTCAGCTGCAGGCAACAGCCAGGAGGCAGCTTTTGTTATGAACAGATCATAACAAAATGCCTTCGATGTGAAGCAGGCCTGATTTTAACCCTTGGAATAGGCTATCTAGGGTATGAACCTGTATCTGGGGCTCATCTGGACTTCTTTAGAAGAATAAAAGGAAGAAAAGCAACTGTCTGTCAAATATATGACATGATATAGGGTACAGTCAGTCCTGTGAGAGTGGCTTAAATAGAGATTGTGGTTTTTATTTATTTTTTATTATTATTTTTTTGAGATGGAGTCTCACTCTGTCACCCAGGCTGGAGTGCAATGGCGCGATCTCGGCTCACTGCAACTTCTGCCTCCTGGGTTCAAAGGATTCTTCTGCCTCAGTCTCTCGAGTAGCTGGGACTGCAGTTGCTCACCACCAAGCCCGGCTAATTTTTTGTATTTTCAGTAGAGATGGGGTTTCGCCATATTGGCTAGGCTGGTCTCGAACTCCTGACCTTGTGATCTGCCCACCTTGGTCTCCTAAAGTGCTGGGATTACAGGCATGAGCCACCGCGCCAGGCCAGAGATTGTGTATTATTGATCTGTAACATATTTAGCTCATAAAGCAACCTGTGCCAATTATAATTGCTCTTACTGTCATTTTTTTTTAAAAAAAGGCATTACAAATGAATGCAGTGGGGGAAAAGGGAGGGAAGGCAACTAACATTTGCCAAGCAGCTACTATGTGCTGTTTCATATTCTTATCTATAATTTTCATGATAATCTACCATTTCCTTTAGTTTACAGATAAACCATGGCTCACAGAAGGTCAAAGCCTTGCTCATTGTCCTACAGGTACCAAGTAGCAGAATGGGGATTTGATCTGGGTCTGACTCCAAAGCCTGTTCCTTTTATATCCAGCTGCCTCTCAGCTACTTGGGAAGCAGGAAACTCAATGAATGCAGGGGCATCAGTGGAACCAGCCCTTCCCCTTTCCAGACATTTTAGCTGTTCTTGTGTGTTTACAGAGAGGGGCCCAAGGGTCAGAGTACTGCCCAGGGGTATTCTCAAGAGTGAACCCAAACCCCATTTCTGGAGATCTGTGCACTTTCCTTCTCTCTCTCCACTCATCATGTGGCTGAGACAAGATAAAATGAAACTGTCTACCAGGGTCAGCCTGGCTTCCAGGATGTGTGAATTCCCACAGAACCCTCTTTGTGTTGATACCCTCTGTGCATAGTGTGGGCTTATTTGCCATTGGCCTGGCAATTTGAGAATTTGGCTCTCACCTGCAGGGCAGATGTCAGAGTCAGGAGTAAGAGCTATTTTTCCATTTCATTGGCTTGCTCTCATAGGGTGTGACTGAGCACTCAGCCTTGGTGGGAGGAAGCACCCCTCCATGCCTAGTGCTGGTTGCTGAGGCGTGGGGGCTAGTGGAACTGATTCCTTGGGTGCCTGGTGCCAGGAAGAAGCAGTGTTGGGGTGTACCCAGGTCAGGAATCACAGATCCATGCAGCAAGTTATGAGGCCCTCTTGAATCTTGGCTTCTTCCCGTGTAAAAGACAGACAAGAATATTCACCTTACCGGATATTTGGGAAAATTGGAGGCAATGTTAGACAAACCCTACATACTGCCTTCACATAGTAAATAATCAACATGTGAGAGCTAACTATTTAACTTTCTGCACTCTATTTTTTTAAGCTAGGAAATGTTTAATCTACATGTTTCTGAGTTCAGAGTCCAGACTAGTATGGTTAATCCTGGTAAGATACAAACAACAAAGGTGCTGGAAGAGGGGAGGGGATGGCTACAAACGCAGCAGGTGCAGGTGGAAGAAATCCAGGTCTTAAGTTTTCCATGCCAGATGAGGGTTGCTGGGTTCTCAATTTGTGTCCCTAGTGGGTTGAAGGTAAAGAGACATCAGATGTTTACACTTGAGGGATTTGTGTTAATTGTTGTAAGAAGTTTATATAATAGCTGCCCCCCAGGGTTGCAGAGCTATGAACTACAGCCTTTTGTGCAGAGCCCCTGGCTTAGTTTCTGACACAGAGTAGCTGCCTAATATGGGATAGGAGAGTAGGGGCCAGGAATTATCTGGGGCTCTTGGGAATCAAGATTCTCCAGAACAGAGACACTTCACATGACCCTTCGGCAAACATTCAGCTGAGCACCTTCTATGTGTCAGGTCCTGTGAAAAAGAGAGATGAAAAAGATACTGTGCTTGTCCTTGTTTCCCATGCAGTTGGGATATCTAACAGTTAATGCAAGAATGGCAAGATATTCTGATAAGCACCTCAATAAAGATAAAAGTTCTTAGTATAATATCAGCTTGAAGAAGGCATGGTTTGGCTGAAAGGTAAACTATACAGTAAGAATTTTTAAAAATCACAAATGCTGGATTGGCATATGTGTGATGAAAAGACAGTGGATTTATTTGCACTTTCTCATTTTATAATTATCACAAGCCGGTGAGATAGGTATCTTTATCCCCATTTTAAAGATGAGGGAACTGAGGATTAGCAGGGTCATGTAACTTGCCCAAAGACAGGCAGCCACGGAGCAGATGTGAAAATAAAATGTCAGACCTCTGAGTGGAAGGGCAGGTATGTGTCAGATCCTAAAGAACCCTTCATGACATGCAGAAATAGAATTCTGTTTTTCTTGAAGGCGATGGGAAGATGATCCCCATTTATATGTTGATTGCCTTGTAACTAGATGTCCACAAACACACTGAGGACCCTCTCAAGGATGCATTCAGGGGAACCCAGCTGAACCTGCACAGTGGTTCATTTCTGTTTTGATTCACTCAACAAATGCTCATCACCTGTTCTGCTGCTGACGGTTCTTGTGGTCACAGGCCACATAAATGTCCCACACAGAGTGGGGCCTTCCCTAGCTCTCTGGAGCTACTGGGCTCTAGATCAGCATCAGGGTGTATATGTGTGGTTTCTTCTATTTTACCCCATCATCAGTTCTACACAGAGGAAAAGAGGCTTTGCCTCAAATGCATTTCTCTTTTATTTTTTTATTTTTACTTTTTCTTATTTTATTATTACTATAGTTGAAGTTCTAGGGTACATGTGCACAATGTGCCGGTTAGTTATATATGTATACATGTGCCATGCTGGTGTGCTACACCCATTAACTCGTCATTTAGCATTAGGTATATCTCATAATGCTATCCCTCCCCCGTCCCCCCACCCCACAACAGTCCCCAGAGTGTGATGTTCCCCTTCCTGTGTCCATGTATTCTCATTGTTCAATTCCCACCTATGAGTGAGAATATGCGGTGTTTGGTCTTTTGTTCTTGCTATAGTTTACTGAGAATAATGATTTCCAATTTCATCCATGTCCCCACAAAGGACATGAACTCATCAATTTTCATGGCTGTATAGTATTCCATGGTGTATATGTGCCACATTTTCTTAATCCAGTCTATCATTGTTGGACATTTGGGTTGGTTCCAAGTCTTTGCTATTGTGAATAGTGCAGCAATAAACATATGTGTGCATGTGTCTTTATACCAGCATGATTTATAGTCCTTTGGGTATATACCCAGTAATGGGATGGCTGGGTCAAATGGTATTTCTAGTTCTAGATCCCTGAGGAATTGCCACACTGACTTCCACAATGGTTGAACTAGTTTACAGTCCCACCAACAGTGTAAAAGTGTTCCTATTTCTCCACATCCTCTCCAGCACCTGTTGTTTCCTGACTTTTTAATGACTGCCATTCTAACTGGTGTGAGATGGTATCTCATTGTGGTTTTGATTTGCATTTCTCTGATGGCCAGTGATGGTGAGCATTTTTTCATGTGTTTTTTTGCTGCATAAATGTCTTCTTTTGAGAAGTGTCTGTTCATGTCCTTTGCCCACTTTTTGATGGGGTTGCTTTTTCTTGTAAATTTGTTTGAGTTCATTGTAGATTCTGAATATTAGCCCTTTGTCAGATGAGTAGGTTGCGAAAATTTTCACCCATTTTGTAGGTTGCCTGTTCAGTCTGATGGTAGTTTCTTTTGCTGTGCAGAAGCTCTTTAGTTTAATGAGATCCCATTTGTCAATTTTGGCTTTTGTTGCCATTGCTTTTGGTGTTTTAGACATGAAGTCCTTGCCCATGCCTATGTCCTGAATGGTAATGCCTAGTTTTTCTTCTAGGGTTTTTATGGTTTTAGGTCGAACGTTTAAGTCTTTAATCCATCTTGAATTAACTTTTGTATAAGGTGTAAGGAAGGAATCCAGTTTCAGCTTTCTACATATGGCTAGCCAGTTTTCCCAGCACCATTTATTAAATAGGGAATCCTTTCCCCATTGCTTGTTTTTCTCAGGTATGTCAAAGATCAGGTAGTTATAGATATGCGGTGTTATTTCTGAGGGCTCTGTCCTGTTACATTGGTCTATATCTCTGTTTTGTTACCAGTACCATGCTCTTTTGGTTACTGTAGCCTTGTAGTATAGTTTGAAGTCAGGTAGCGTGATGCCTCCAGTTTGTTCTTTTGGCTTAGGATTGACTTGGCGATGCGGGCTCTTTTTTGGTTCCATATGAAGTTTAAAGTAGTTTTTTCCAATTCTGTGAAGAAAGTCATTGGTAGCTTGATGGGGATGGCACTGAATCTATAAATTACCTTGGGCAGTATGGCCATTTTCACGATACTGATTCTTCCTACCCATGAGCATGGAATGTTCTTCCATTTGTTTATATCCTCTTTTATTTCATTGAGCAGTGGTTTGTAGTTCTCCTTGATGAGGTCCTTCACATCCCTTGTAAGTTGGATTCCTAGCCATTTTATTCTTTTTGAAGCAATTGTAAATGGGAGCTCACTCATTATTTGGCTCTCTCTTTGTCTGTTATTGGTGTATAAGAATGCTTGTGATTTTTGCACATTGATTTTGTATCCTGAGACTTTGCTGAAGTTGCTTATCAGCTTGAGGAGATTTTGGGCTGAGACGATGGGGTTTTCTAGATATACAATCACGTCATCTGCAAACAGGGACAATTTGACTTCCTCTTTTCCTAATTGAATACCCTTTCTTTCCTTCTCCTGCCTAATTGCCCTGGCCAGAATTTCCAACACTATGTTGAATAGGAGTGGTGAGACAGGGCATCCCTGTCTTGTGCCAGTTTTCAAAGGGAATGCTTCCAGTTTTTGCCCATTCAGTATGATATTGGCTGTGGGTTTGTCATAGATAGCTCTTATTATTTTGAGATACGTCCCATCAATACCTAATTTATTGAGAGTTTTTAGCATAAGGCGTTGTTGAATTTTGTCAAAGGCCTTTTCTGCATCTATTGAGATAATCATGTGGTTTTTTCCTTTGGTTCTGTTTATATGCTGGATTACATTTATTGATTTGCCTATATTGAACCAGCCTTACATCCCAGGGATGAAGCCCACTTGATCATGGTGGATAAGCTTTTTGATGTGCTGCTGGATTCGGTTTGCCAGTATTTTATTGAGGATTTTTGCATCAATGTTCATCAAGGATATTGGTCTAAAATTCTCTTTTTTGGTTGTGTCTCTGCCAGGCTTTGGTATCAGGATGATTCTGGCCTCATAAAATGAGTTAGGGAGGATAACCTCTTTTTCTATTGATTGGAATAGTTTCAGAAGGAATGGTACCACTTCCTCCTTGTACCTCTGGTAGAATTCAGCTGTAAATCCATCTGGTCCTGGACTCTTTTTGGTTGGTAAGCTATTAATTATTGCCACAATTTCAGATCCTGTTATTGTTCTATTCAGAGATTCAACTTCTTCTTGGTTTAGGCTTGGGAGGGTGTATGTGTCGAGGAATTTATCCATTTCTTCTAGATTTTCTAGTTTATTTGAGTAGAGGTGTTTGTAGTATTCTCTGATGGTGGTTTGTATTTCTGTGGGGTCAGTGGTGATATTCCCTTTATCATTTTTTATTGCGTCTATTTGATTCTTCTCTCTTTTCTTCTTTATTAGTCTTGCTAGCGATCTATCAATTTTGTTGATCCTTTCAAAAAACCAGCTCCTAGATTCATTAATTTTTTGAAGGGTTTTTTATGTCTCTATTTCCTTCAGTTCTGCTGTGATTTTAGTTATTTCTTGCCTTCTGCTAGCTTTTGAATGTGTTTGCTCTTGCTTCTCTAGTTCTTTTAATTGTGATGTTAGAGTGTCAATTTTGGATCTTTCCTGCTTTCTCTTGTGGGCATTTAGTGCTATAAATTTCCCTCTACACACTGCTTTGAATATGTCCCAGAGATTCTGGTATGTTGTGTCTTTGTTCTCGTTGGTTTCAATGAACACCTTTATTACTGCCTTCATTTCATTATGTACCCAGTAGTCATTCAGGAGCAGGTTGTTCAGTTTCCATGTAGTTGAGCGGTTTTGAGTGAGTTTCTGAATCCTGAGTTCTACTTTGATTGCACTGTGGTCTGAGAGACAGTTTGTTATAATTTCTGTTCTTTTACATTTGCTCAGGAGAGCTTTACTTCCAACTATGTGGTCAATTTTGGAATAGGTGTGGTGTGGTGCTGGAAAAAATGTATATTCTGTTGATTTGGGGTGGAGAGTTCTGTAGATGTCTATTAGGTCCGCTTGGTGCAGAGTTGAGTTCAATTCCTGGGTATCCTTGTTAACTTTCTGTCTCGTTGATCTGTCTAATGTTGACAGTGGGGTGTTAAAGTCTCCCATTATTATTGTGTGGGAGTCTAAGTCTCTTTGTAGGTCACTCAGGACTTGCATTATGAAACTGCGTGCTCCTGTATTGGGTGCATATATATTTAGGATGGTTAGCTCTTGTTGAATTGATCCCTTTACCATTATTTAATGGCCTTCTTTGTCTCTTTTGATCTTTGTTGGTTTAAAGTCTGTTTTATCAGAGACTAGGATTGCAACTCCTGCCTTTTTTTGTTTTCCATTTGCATGGGAGATCTTCCTCCATCCTTTTATTTTGAGCCTATGTGTGTCTCTGCATGTGAGCTGGGTTTCCTGAATACAGCACACTGATGGGTCTTGACTCTTTATCCAATTTACCAGACTGTGTCTTTTAATTGGAGCATTTAGTCCATTTACATTTAAAGTTAATATTGTTATGTGTGAATTTGATCCTGTCATTTTGATGTTAGCTGGTTATATTGCTCGTTAGTTGATGCAGTTTCCTCCTAGCCTCGATGGTCTTTACAGTTTGGCATGATTTTCCAGTGGCTGGTACCGGTTGTTCCTTTCCATGTTTAGTGCTTCCTTCAGGAGCTCTTTTAGGGCAGGCCTGGTGGTGACAAAATCTCTCAGCATTGGCTTGTCTGTAAAGTATTTTATTTCTCCTTCACTTTTGAAGCTTAGTTTGGCTGGATATGAAATTCTGGATTGAAAATTCTTTTCTTTAAGAATGTTAAATATTGGCCCCCACTCTCTTCTGGCTTGTAGGGTTTCTGCCAAGAGATCTGCTGTTAGTCTGATGGGCTTCCCTTTGTGGGTAACCCGCCCTTTCTCTCTGGCTGCCCTTAATATTTTTTCCTTCGACTTTGGTGAATCTGACAATTATGTGTCTTGGAGTTGCTCTTCTCGAGGAGTATCTTTGTGGCGTTCTCTGTATTTCCTGAATCTGAACGTTGGCCTGCCTTGCTAGATTGGGGAAGTTCTCCTGGATAATATCCTGCAGAGTGTTTTTCAACTTGGTTCCATTCTCTCCGTCACTTTCAGGTACACCAATCAGACGTAGATTTGGTCTTTTCACATAGTCCCATATTTCTTGGAGGCTTTGTTCGTTTCTTTTTATTCTTTTTTCTCCAAACTTCCCTTCTCGCTTCATTTCATTCGCTTCATCTTCCATCCCTGATACCCTTTCTTCCAGTTGATCACATCGGCTCCTGAGGCTTCTGCATTCTTCACGTAGTTCTCGAGCCTTGGCTTTCAGCTCCATCAGCTCCTTTAAGCACTTCTTTGTATTGGTTATTCTAGTTATACATTCATCTGAATTTTTTTCAAAGTTTTCAACTTCTTTGCCTTTGGTTTGAATTTCCTTCTGTAGCTTGGAATAGTTTGATGGTCTGAAGCCTTCTCTCAACTCGTCAAAGTCAATCTCTGTCCAGCTTTGTTCCATTGCTGGTGAGGAACTGCGATCCTTTGGAGGAGGAGAGGTGCTCTGCTTTTTAGAGTTTCCAGTTTTTCTGCTCTGTTTTTTCCCCATCTTTGTGGTTTTATCTACTTTTGGTCTTTGATGATGGCGACGTACAGATGGGTTTTTGGTGTGGATGTCCTTTCTGTTTGTTAGTTTTCCTTCTAACAGACAGGACCCTCAGCTGCAGGTCTGTTGGAGTTTGCTAGAGGTCCACTCCAGACCCTGTTTGCCTGGGTAACAGCAACAGTGGCTGCAGAACAGGGGATTATCGTGAACCGCGAATGCAGCTGTCTGATCGTTCCTCTGGAAGTTTTGTCTCAGAGGAGTACCCGGCCGTGTGAGGTGTCAGTCTGCCCCTACTGGGGGGTGCCTCCCAGTTAGGCTGCTTGGGGGTCAGGGGTCAGGGACCCACTTGAGGAGGCAGTCTGCCCGTTCTCAGATCTCCAGTTGCGTGCTGGGAGAACCACTGCTCTCTTCAAAGCTGTCAGACAGGGACATTTAAGTCGGCAGGGGTTACTGCTGTCTTTTTGTTTGTCTGTTCCCTGCCCCCAGAGGTGGAGCCTACAGAGGCAGGCAGGCCTCCTTGAGCTGTGGTGGGCTCCACCCAGTTCGAGCTTCCAGGCTGCTTTGCTTACCTAAGCAAGCCTGGGCAATGGCGGGCGCCCCTCCCCCAGCCTTGCTGCCGCCTTGCAGTTTGATCTCAGACTGCTGTGCTAGCAATCAGTGAGACTCCGTGGGTGCAGGACCCTCCAAGCCAGGTGCGGGATATAATCTCCTGGTGTGCCATTTTTTAAGCCCATTGGAAAAGCACAGTATTAGGGCGGGAGTGACCCGATTTTCCAGGTGCCATCTGTCACCCCTTTCTTTGACTAGGAAAGGGAACTCCCTGACCCCTTGTGCTTCCTGAGTGAGGCAATGCCTTGCCCTGCTTCAGCTCGTGCACGGTGCGCTGCACCCACTGTCCTGCGCCCACTGTCTGGCACTCCCTAGTGAGATGAACCCGGTACCTCAGATGGAAATGCAGAAATCACCCGTCTTCTGCGTCACTCACGCTGGGAGCTGTAGACCAGAGCTGTTCCTATTCGGCCATCTTGGCTGCTTCTTCCTCAAATGCATTTCTCTAAGAAGTCCTTCAATGTGTCACCTCATTCTGTCTATCTACTCTTCCCCAAATCCCCCTCTCTACCACTTTTTTTCCAGGCTTTGAATTGCCCAAGCCTGCTCATTTCACGTGGTCTTTTATTTTTTATTATTATACTTTAAGTTTTAGGGTACATGTGCACAATGTGCAGGTTTGTTACATATGTATACATGTGCCATGTTGGTGTGCTGCATCCATTAACTCGTCATTTAACATTAGGTATATCTCCTAATGCTATCCCTCCCCACTCCCCCGACCCCACCACAGGCCCCGGTGTGTGATGTTCCCCTTCCTGTGTCCATGTGTTCTCATTGTTCAATTCCCACCTATGAGTGAGAACATGTGGTGTTTGGTTTTTTGTCCTTGCGATAGCTTACTAAGAATGATGGTTTCCAGCTTCATCCATGTCCCTACAAAGGACATGAACTCATTTTTTATGGCTGCATAGTATTCCATGGTGTATATTTGCCACATTTTCTTAATCCAGTCTATCATTGTTGGATATCTGGCTTGGTTCCAAGTCTTTGCTATTGTGAATAGTGCCACAATAAACATATGTGTGCATGTGTCTTTATAGTAGCATGATTTATAATCCTTTGCGTATATACCCAGTGATGGGATGGCTGGGTCAAATGGTATTTCTAGTTCTAGATCCCTGAGGAATCGCCACACTGACTTCCACAATGGTTCAACTAGTTTACAGTCCCAACAACAGTGTAAAAGTGTTCCTATTTCTCCACATCCTCTCCAGCATCTGTTGTTTCCTGTTTAATGATTGGCATTCTAACTGGTGTGAGATGGTATCTCATTGTGGTTTTGATTTGCATTTTTCTGATGGCCAGTGATGATGAGCATTTTTTCATGTGCCTTTTGGCTGCATAAATGTCTTCTTTTGAGAAGTGTCTGTTCATATCCTTCACCCAATTGTTGATGGGGTTTTTTTCTTGCAAATTTGTTTGAGTTCTTTGTAGATTCTGGATATTAGCCCTTTGTCAGATGAGTAGGTTGTGAATATTTTCTCCCATTCTGTAGGTTGCCTGTTCACCCTGATGGTAGTTTCTTTTGCTGTGCAGAAGCTCTTTAGTTTAATGAGATCCCATTTGTCAATTTTGGCTTTTGTTGCCATTGCTTTTGGTGTTTTAGACATGAAGTCCTTGCCCATGCCTATGTCCTGAATGGTGATGCCTAGGTTTTCTTCTAGGATTTTTATAGTTTCAGGTCTAACATTTAAGTCTTTAATCCATTTTGAATTAATTTTTGTATAGGGTGTAAGGAAGGGATCCAGTTTCAGCTTTCTCCATATGGCTAGCCAGTTTTCCCAGCACCATTTATTAAACAGGGAATCCTTTCCCCATTTCTTGTTTCTGTCAGGTTTGTCAAAGATCAGATGGTTGTAGATGTGTGGTATTATTTCTGAGGGCTCTGTTCTGTTCCATTGGTCTGCATCTCTGTTTTGGTACCAGTACCATGCTATTTTGGTTCCTGTAGCCTGGTAGTATAGTTTGAAGTCAGGTAGCGTGATGCCTCTAGCTTTGTTCTTTTGGCTTAGGATTGACTTGGCAATGTGGGCTCTTTTTTGATTCCATATGAGCTTTAAAGTAGTTTTTTCCAATTCTGTGAAGAAAGTCATTGGTAGCTTGATGGGGATGGCATTGAATCTATAAATTACCTTGGGCAGTATGGCCATTTTCATGATATTGATTCTTCCTACCCATGAGCATGGAATGTTCTTCCATTTATTGGTATCCTCTTTTATTTCATTGAGCAGTGGTTTGTAGTTCTCCTTGATGAGGTCCTTCACGTCCCTTGTAAGTTGGATTCCTAGCTATTTTATTCTCTTTGAAGCAATTGTGAATGGGAGTTCACTCAAGATTTGGCTCTCTCTTTGTCTGTACTGGTGTATAAGAATGCTTGTGATTTTTGCACATTGATTTTGTATCCTGAAACTTTGCTGAAGTTGCCTATCAGCTTAAGGAGATTTTGGGCTGAGATGATGGGGTTTTCTAGATATACATTCATGTCATCTGCAAACAGGGACAATTTGACTTCCTCTTTTCCTAATTGAATACCCTTTATTTCCTTCTCCTGCCTGATTGCCCTGGCCAGAACTTCCAACACTACGTTGAATAGCAGTGGTGAGAGAGGGCATCCTTGTCTTGTGCCAGTTTTCAAAGGGAATGCTTCCAGTTTTTGCCCATTCAGTATGATATTGGCTGTGGGTTTGTCATAGATAGGTCTTATTATTTTGAGATACGTCCCATCAATACCTAATTTATTGAGAGTTTTTAGCATGAAGCGTTGTTGAATTTTGTCAAAGGCCTTTTCTGCATCTATTGAGATAATCATATGGTTTTTGTTGTTTGTTCTGTTTATATGCTGGATTATGTTTATTGATTTGTGTATGCTGAACAAGCCTTGCATCCCAGGGATGAAGCCCACTTGATCATGGTGGATAAGCTTTTTGATGTGCTGCTGAATTCGGTTTGCCAGTATTTTATTGAGGATTTTTGCATCGATGTTCATCAGGGATATTGGTCTAAAATTCTCTTTTTTTTTGTTGTTGTGTCTCTGCCAGGCTTTGGTATCAGGATGTTGCTGGCCTCATAAAATGAGTTAGGGAGGATTCCCTCTTTTTCTATTGGCTGGAATAGTTTCAGAAGGAATGGTACCAATTCCTCCTTGTACCTCTGGTAGAATTCGGCTGTGAATCCATCCGGTCCTGGACTTTTTTTGGTTGGTAAGCTATTCATTATTGCCTCAATTTCACCTGGTCTTTTAAACCACCTGAGTAGTCCAGGAACAAAAGCCAACACATAAGTGGTGAGCCGTCGACACTTCCGAGCAGCAGTGGTTAGCTGTCAGCTGCATCAGACCTGCTTCCACCCTGCACGGTCATCTCTCTCTCATTCAAAACAGGTCTCATCTTGAGGGTCTCCAGTTGAATTTGGACCTCTCACTCCTCACTCTCTTTGACATCTTTGGCTTAGATGTGCTCCACTGGCTCTCCTGGCTCGGGGTATCTTGGTGAGGGTGACTGTTCAGAGGTGGACTCAGATCAGGGCACTAGCCTGGCACCAATACCCAGGAGGGGTGTGTGAATGTTGTGAAGGGCAAAGGTGCTCTCCCATTGAGGAAATGCCCCTCAGGTGTGCCCCCCATGAAGCTTCCTCCATGCGCAGTCCATTTCAATGTCCCTAAAACATGTCTAAACAACCAAGGTTTTCTAGAGACCTTTCATGCTCACTACTTCAACCAATCCTCAAGATACCTCCATAAATAGAAAAGATCCTCATGTTCTTAGATGAAGAAATGAAGCCTCTGAAATATCAAATGAATTATTCAAGTTTACCTAGATTGAAAGTGTCAATGTAAAAATAAGACCTTTATTTTTATTTCTAAGGCTAGCAAGTTTTCCGCTGACATAATATTGACAAGGAATGTATGTCATTTCAGAGAAGTCAGAATCACCCTTATAGCTTCCCAATGCCATCATCCTACCAGTTTCTTGCAGGATGATGGGCCGAAGAGAACTTCATTCATTGAAGCTTTGATTCAGGTAAGATGAAAGATGTTGCATAGGGACACTTCCTATAGTTAGTTACATCATGGTATAAAAGGACCTGCAGGCATTTATTTTTCCTTAGTGGCAGTGACCAGATACTATGAGATCATCAGCATGGGGTGAGGAGGCTCTCCACATAGCCTGTGCCAGATCTTCCTACTGATGTTCCTGGTGAAGCTCAAGGATGGGACCTGAGCATTACAGACACCAGTACACATCTGTGGCATTACAAAATGGTAAACTCCTTTGGATCCTCAAGCATGGGAGAGCCTTCAAAATATCAAAAACGATGAGTATTCAACACCATCACATCTCTAATGTTTGCCTCACTTCAGACCTGAATCCAAGTGAGTGATTATTTCTTTCAAAATTTCCTGAAAGCTGACTTTGTGTGAGGAGCTTTATGAGGCCGTGGTGATATAGAAATGAATGCTCCGCAATATC
Organism: Homo sapiens; assembly: GCF_000001405.40. Lineage (NCBI taxonomy): Eukaryota > Metazoa > Chordata > Mammalia > Primates > Hominidae > Homo > Homo sapiens. The sequence continues at coordinate 59,582,761 of NC_000001.11, read as the reverse complement.
TGTCCTCAAGGAATTCACAGCAAGGAAGACATAAGCCAGTTAACTAACAACAAACACAGAAGGATACGCACCATGACAGGTATGTACCATGGATGCACATAGATACACCACCTAATCTAGTCTGAAAGCTTCCAGCGAGAGGATATTAGATGCCTGAGCTAAATGTGAAGGGTAAGTAGGACTTAGGAGAAGGAGTAGAGGGAAGGGTGCTATAGGCAGAGGGACAGGAAGCAGAGAATAGAGTGTGTTCTATGCCACAGATGAAGGACAGAAACTGTGAGGGGTAGTAGTGCAACGTGAGGCTGGAGAGGTCATCACAGGCCATACCATGCAGGGGATAATCAGACTTGCTAAGGATTTAAAAGTAATTACTGTAAGGACAGTGCAAAAGGAGAAGAATAACATGATTCCAACTGACAGAAGAAATAATGGCCAAGACCTTTTCCCTTCTGGGACTCAATTTTTGCATCTGAAATTAGAATACTGAATTGGATGATTTCTGGGGGTTTTTTTGAGACAAGTTCTTGCTCTGTTCTCAGGCTGGAATGCAGTGGGCATGATCATGGCTCACTGCAGCCTCAAATTCCTGGGTTCAAGTGATCCTCCTGCCTTAGCCTCCCAAGTAGCTGGGACTACAGGTACCCACCACCACCACATCCAGCTTTTTTTTCTTTTTAAGAGAGAAGGGTCTCACTATGTTGCCCAGGCTGGTCTCAAACTCCTGGCCTCAAGTGATCTTTCCACCTTGGGATTACAGGCTGAATGATCTTTAAAGCTCCTTTTGGGTTTATCACTCTGACAATTTATCAAATAGATGATCACAGCTAAATAAATATTTTTCATGTTATTACAGAGTTGATAGCTAAACATATCGGTCCCTGAAAGATCACTTAAGCTCTAATAAAGGAGAAAGGACAGAAAATTTTGCTTTACATGGGTTACATTCAAAGACAGGTCTGCTACTTACTAGCTGGGTAAACCACTTATGTACTTTCTCTCATCTATAACTAAGGGATAACAATGCATTTTAGGGTCACTATAAAGATTAAATAACACCAAATATTTCAAAATACCTGGCACATAGCAGTTATTCAACAAATGTCCACTGACTTTTAATTGGACAGGGTAGACTGCAGCTCAATATAGTCTTTCCATTTTTACTGTATGTCTATTATATGCTAGTCTTTGGGTATGGAGAGATGAATAAGCCACAGCCACAGCCCTCCAAAGCTCAAGAACTGATGGGAGAGACACAGTTAATACATTTTTAGCAAATAAAATGTTATGAATGCAACAACAGAAGCAATGTTATAATGAAAAGGTGCTATTTAAGCTGGTGACCAATAGCTTCTAAACAAGCTATTTAAGATAAAATTCAGTGTATGTCACTCAGAAGAAGTTGTGAGATAATTTGATATCCAGGTTCCATTTTCTCCAATAGAAATGTTCTCAACTAGGGATCCTGATTAAATTTCCCCTCATGCAAATGGTCTCAGGGAATAAAAATAGGAAAGAATAAAAAGATAAATAATGAGAAAAAGCATTTGTTCATCTGTGAATTTTTAACTTTTCCAAGTTTTGTCATAAAATATTACTGTCTTCTTGGTCAAAAACCTAATGCAGATCTCACTATGGAGGTGCAGCACTAAGATGACTGATTGGTCTTCTCCCCCAAAGCATTTCAGGGAAGAAAGAAAATGACTTCATGTGCTCAACAGCCAGTGTCATTTCCCCTATGTATAAATTACATGAAAAGTTTATCAAACTCCTTACTGGCCACCACCATTTAGCTTTGTAATACAAACTGTCAGGTGCATTTCAACTGCTAAACAGGCCAAGGGACAGAAAAACTGACCACTTTCTATAGTCATAGGAAAGGTCACTCAATGGAATAGATGGGCTTTTCTCTAAACTATTAAGTGAAAGATGTTTGAAGAAAATGAATAACATATAATATGTGCTTGGGACTTTTTTTGTGATGAAGAGGAAGTAGTAGAAAAAGAAGGAGAAATGAAAATACATGCGGTAGAATAGAGGGATTGAAAATTCTAGGTTTAGGATTCATACAGTTGCATGCAGTTAAAAAACAGCTACTTTACAATTCTACAACATGAGAAGGACCTGCGGTTGCTGAATTTGTCATCTCTAAAGCCTTAAAATCAAGAAAGAACAAGAGTCTGAAAGACACACAATGTAGTGGTTAAGGGTACAAACTTGATTAAAGCAAAATAAAACTGAAAACTTTGAGTTCTGGGGAAAGAGGAATTAAATCTGACTCACGCGGTGTCACAGAGGAGGTTGTATGAAACTGGAGTCTGAGAGGATGCACAGGATTCTAACAGGCTCACTTGGGGCTGGGGTGTAACAAGGCGGGGGGTAAAGGGAAGCAACTCTTGCCAGAAAGAACAGCATGTGGAAAGGCTAAAGCAAGTTAGGAAGCACCCTCCATTTGAGAACTATTTGTGAGAGTCTATTACATGCAAGGCACTTTGAAGGGGCTGGGGATTCAGTGGTGAAAAAACAAAGTTCTGTCTTCATGGAACTTACAGTCCAGTGGAGCGTAGGACGATAACTGTGTGTAGAAAAATAAAGAAGGATAGAGAGGTTAAGCAGTGAGTGAAGGCAAGTGTTGTTATTTTAATATAGGGTGGTCTGGATAGACCTTAATGATGAGGTTACATTACAGCAGAGACTGGAAGGGAGTGAGTGAGTGAAGCATGCAGTTAAGAGTGATGCAGGTGGAGAGATAAGAGCAAGTACAAAGGCCCTGTGGCAGAGGTGTGCTTGCTATCTTACATGAACAGCAAAGAATCAGGGCAGCTGCAGTGGTGTGAACAGTGAGAAAGGGGACAGAAGATGAGAGCTGAAAAGTAAGAGGAACAGATCTTTTATTTTTAAGGACATTGGCTTTAATTCTCAGTGAAATGCAAAATTATTGAAAGGTTTTGAGCAGAGGAATGACATAATCTGAGGCAAGTTTTCAAGAGGCCACCCTGGCTGCTGTGAGAACAGAATCCAGGGCCCAGTGGTAAAAACAGGGAGACAGTCAGGAGACTGTGTCAATAAACCAAGAGAGGGAGCACAACTGCTTGAACTAGGTGGTCCACATTGGTGGATTCCATCAGTAGAACTGACAGCATTTACTGGAGCACAATATGAGAAAAAGAGAGGGATGAAGGATGTTTTCAAGGTGTTTTGACATAGGCAAGTGTATGAATAGAATTGTTCTTTCATGTTCTAGGAAAGACAGTGAGAGGAGATTTCCTGGGGGCTGAGAGGAATTAGGCTTTTGACATGCTAAATTTTAGGTATCTATTAGAAAGCCAAGAAGAAATGCTGAGTAGGTGATTAAATATATTAGGATATCAGGGTCAGGCTGGAGATATATGTTTGGAGGTCATACTCTACAGATGGTGTCTTAAAGCTTTGAGTCTTAATGAGGTCACTGAAGAAGCAAGGGGAAATGGGCAGGGAAGAGGTCTTGGGCAGAGGCTTAACGCCTTCCAAAATTTAGAAACTGGTGATGGAGAGCAATTAGACAATGGGACCAAAGAGTCAACTACATGCAAGTGAGGGGTTTTGAGAAGGGAGGGCGCAGCTGTGCCCAATGCTGCCAACAGAACGATCTGAATGAGGACTACTGGATTTAGGAACACAGACCCTGGTCACAGGAGCCCGAAACAAATGGTCAAGGGTTATTTTCATGGAGAAGTTTGTACAAATGTCTGATTGGGCTCAAGAGAGAGTGGGAGGGGAGGAATGGGATTATACAGCACTTGAGAAGCTGTGTGGCAAAGACAATAAATGGGGGAACAGGAGGGCGAAATATAAGGTCAAGGTTTTTCTTCTACCTCGCTCTCCCCCTCCCATTCTTAAGATGGGAGCTATTAAAGCAAGCTGTAGTCTTACATGATTACGTAGAGACAGATTTGCTGATGTAGGAGAGGGACGAGAGGACAACCCCAGCCTTGTGTGTGTTCTGGTTTATTGAAGGATCTGTAGTACCATTATGGGTGTGCAGGAAAAAACAGCTCTATTCTCTTCTCCTTGGTAAATTTGTTCCACGAACTGTTCTTCCTCATTCCTGGGATGAAATTTCAGGGGGATCCACTGTATTCCTACACTCTTCAATTATAAAAGTCCTCAGGCCAGCTTCTAGCAGTAAATATGTACACTCTATTATAATAATTAAAACTCCCATTTTGGCTAATTGAAAATTCTCCCTTCTGCAGCTACAGTATATTTCAGGCTTAGCGTATACACACTTCAAGAAGGGGACTTGCTGGCTTCTCTCTCTCCTCCTTCTACTTTTTCCTGCTGGACAGCTGGGTGTTTTGGGGTTCCTCCATACAGGGGTCAAGGTGCCTGGGGAAGGTCTCACTTGATGCATATACGTTGTTATCTGGCTTCATTATGTCCTCAGGGTGTGGTGCCTGTCCAAAGCTGGCTATCTCTCCGTCCAGTGGTCTGCCCACAACTCCCTTTCAGTCCTGGCCTTCAGGTGATCAAGTCCTGCTCTGGGATCATTCTGCTCCTCTAGTTGAACCTTATGGATGGGATTCCTTTTAAGATATCCCCAGCTGGCTCCCTTGTGCTGGACCCACACACCTTTTCCTTGTCTTCACTTTTTGCTCTACTCTCTCAGATACAATCATCAACCTCAGCCTCTTTCCTTAGTCTTGACCTCTGACTTCTTCCACCTCTTTTATATCCTCAGGGTGACGTTTAGCACAAGTTTCACAATCTTTTAGCAAGCTCTGCATAGGTGGTCTGGGCTCTGGGGCCTGTTCGAAACCTCCAAGATAGGAAGAGCCCTATGGTAACATTCTGTTACATGTGGCTGAAACAGAGAGTGTGTATGGTAGGAGTGCAGGTGGACAGCGCTGGCTAGGGCTAAATAAATTTTTACTCTCCAGGCAACGAAGAGTCATCAAAGGCTTTTGAGCAGAGAGTTCCAAGTCAGGAGAAGGTAATCAATTTCTGGACACTGAAATTCTAATATTGGGTGTTACTCTAACTTATGAAATGAAATACCTTTTGAAATAGGAAGTACATATATGATTAGAGCCATCATAAAGTATTTAAAACTACTAACATATTCCTACTTAACTGCTCTTTTTTTGATAACCAACCTCTCTCCCTTATTCACCAATAAATCCAAATACTTACTTTTTGGATTTGCCATACTCAGGCATTCAACACTGTTTTTTTGCAGGTAAACTTTAAGTTTACCACTATACCCAACCCCTCTCTCCAAGTAATACTGGAATTCTGAACCCTCTAGTCACACACCAAGACAATTCTTTGTGAATAATTTTGGCTTAATTCAGAATAATCACTTTCAATAATTCATGGACAACATATATAAATTGAAAGACAGTGGCCAACTTTAAGGAGATGAATGGCCAACTTTAAGAAGAAAATGCAATAAGCAATTATTCCATTAAAGAGAGTAGAATTTTATTTTTGTCCTGATTAAATCATCTTTAACCACCTGGCTTCAGTTCAAATAAAGTTCAGAATCTTTAGGGGCAAAGTCTATCAACTGGCAGCAGAATGCTCTGTGATTGACTCATTCATTTATTCCTTCATATGTCAAATGACTACTGACTGTACCAGGTGCTGGGAGGAGGTAAGGATGGCGGCAAAATGAGCTCAACTCATTGAATAAAGAAAATGGAAAGTAGTGATATTTTTGGCTCATGCTTAAAAAGAATTTGCTAGCTTTGAGAATGAAACAGATATTAACTATCGTTCATCCATCCATTCATTCATTGAATGGATAGTGAATGCCTAACTTACAGGCATTGTGCTAGATACTGAGTATCCAATGGCAAGTGAACAGTTTCCTGCCCTAGAGAAGTTCAGAGTAAGGATACAATGGTGAATGAATAGTTCCTGCCATAGAGAAGTTCACAGTATAGTGACAGAGCTCCATGGCCATGGAATGGGACTATCATATAAAATAATTCTTAGGGTTATTAAAACATGGGCTGCTATTTGCCCTGAATGCTTTGGAAGATCATTTACTCAATTTCATAAGGAAATGTGTGTGTGTGTGTGTGTGTGTGTGTGTGTGTGTGTCTGTCTGTCTGTCTGTCTGTCTGTAATCTCTAGCAAATATCACTCTCACTGGAAAAATTTTATATACATTCCCTCTAAGATTAGAAATAAGATGAGAATGCTTATTTATTATTTTACTTTAAGTTCTGGGATACGTGTGCAGAACGTGCAGGTTTGTTACATAAGTATACATGTGCCATGGTGGTTTGCTGCACCTATCAACCCGTCATCTAGGCTTTAAGCCCTGCATGCATTAGGCATTTGTCCTAATGCTCTCCCTTCCCCTTTCCCCCTACCCCCCGACTGGCCTCAGTGTGTGATGTTCCCCTCCCTGTGTCCATGTGTTCTCACTGTTCAACTCCTGCTTATGAGTGAGAACATGCAGTGTTTGTTTTTCTGTTCCTGTGTTAGTTTGCTGAGAATGATGGCTCCCAGATTCATCCATGTCCCTGCAAAGGACATGAACTCATTCTTTTTTATGGCTGCATAGTATTCCATGGTAAATATGTGCCACATTTTCCTTATCCAGTCTATCATTGAGGGGCATTTGGGTTGGTTCCAAATCTTTGCTATTGTAAACAGTGCTGCAATAAACATATGTGTGCATGTGAGAATGCTTTTTATCACCACAACTGTTCAGCATAATACCAGAGGCCCTAGCAAACACAATTAGACAAAAATTAACAGCAAAAGAAGATATAAAGAAGGGAAGAGAGAAGCAAAATTTGCAGATGATATGATCTTGTATATATAGCTCATACTGTCCTCTATGTTTGGACCACTTTTTTCCTAACCAAAATATCACAGATATCACTTCCTTACAGAAGCCTTCACTGACCATCCAAACCATATGAGAATATTTAGTGTTGTACCTAAAAATTACTGTAACATTTATAATGCATGCAGAGCATATATAATACATGCACATTTTAAAAAAATAAGAAAGTTTAGCAAGGTTAGTGGGTAGAAGATTAACTTTTTAAAAATCTGTGGGAATGTAAACTAGTACAGGCATTTTGTAAAACAGTATGGAGTTTCCTCAAAAAAATGACAAATTACCATGTGATCAGGCAATTCTACTTCTGGGTGTATCTAAACGAAATGCAAACAATATGTTGAAGAGATGTCTGCACTCTCATGTTCACTGCACCATTATTCACAATTGCCAAGATATGAAATCAACCTAAATGTCCATCAACAGATCAAGAAAATGTGCCATAGATTCAAAACAAAATACTATTCAGTCTTAAAAAAGAAGGAAATTCTGTCATTTGCAGTGACACAGACGATCCTGGAGAACATTATGCTAAGTAAAATAAACCACACACAGAGGGATAAATACTGCACGATTTCACTTATATGTAAAGCTTAATAAAGTTGAACTCATAGAAGTAGAGAGTAGAATGTTGGTTATTAGGGTGGGGTTGCCAAGGGGTAAAGCAGAGATGTTGGCCAAATTGTACTAAGCTTGGGTTAGACAGGAGGAATAAGTTTTGAAGATCTGTTGCACAGCATGGTGACTATAGTTAATAAAAATGTATTGTATATTTGAAAATTACTAAGAGAGTAGATTTTAAATGTTCTCACCACAAAAAAGTATGTGAGGTAATGAATATGTCAATAAGCTTGATTTAATCATTTTACAATATATAGTATATCAAAATTCACATTGAACCCCATAAATATATACAATTTGCATTTGTCAGTAAGAAATAAACGATAAAAATAAATTAACATACACTTTTTAAAAACCATAAAAGATAACTATTTTTCTCAGCAACCTATATTAAACATAACTAGCACTGATTTTAGTATATTAGCATTTGGAAGCAAATTTGATGTATAAAACTTTGCTTCTTTTCATTGGAAATCTCACAGGTATTATTCATTCATATTAACAAATAATTTACTTTCTAAAAAAAGTCAAATATATTTCTCTATTCCAGAAATAACCAAATAGGAAATATAATAGAAAATTCAATGTAATTCATAAAAGCAATGAAAAATCACTAAACAGAAATTTGATTTCTTTTATCTTTGTTCCTTCACTATACACAGAGTGCAGAAGTACTTTATATTTTCCAAATAAATTAATACTTTATTTTTATGTACCTTAAAAAACACATTTAAATGTCACTTCTTTCCATAAAGGGTATGGTAGGCTGAATAATGGCTCCTGAAAAGATCACCATGTTCAAATCCCTGGAACCTATGAATGTTACTCATATGGCAAAAAAATAAAAAAGAAAGAAAAAAAAAGGACCCACAAATGTGATTAAGGATCCTGACATGAGGAGACAATCTTGGATTATTTGAGTTGGCCTAAATGCAATCATAACTGTTCTTGTAAGAGACAGGGAGAGGCAGATGTGACCACAGATGAGGAGGAGGCAATGAAACCACAGAAGGCAAGGCTGGAATGATGTGGCCACAAGCCAAGGAATGCCAGCAGCCACCAGATGCTGGAAGAAGCAAGGAACAGGTTTTCCCCTGGAACCTCCAGAGGGAGTACGGCCCTGTTGACACTTGATCTTGGCTGAGTGAAACTGGTTTTGAACTTCTAGTCTCGAGAACCATAAGAAAATATATGTGTGTTGTTTTAAGCCACCAAGTGTATGGCAACTTGCTACAATAGCAGCCATAGGAAACTAATACAAAGAGTTTGAGATATTTTATCTACCACTCCCACAAACATACATACACAGATAATATAGTACAGAGTGACTAGAAACAGTAATGCAAGACAATTACAGCAAAAAGAAGAATGGAAATATGCTATGTAGTAGAAGGCTCAACAGTTTAGCTTGAGTGTTAAATTTTTAACTCTGAGTTTCCTTGGCTTCCAGGGCCAGAAGAAAAATGTAATCCATTATATAGCTTTTATTACTGGAAAGATGAAAATACACCATTTGAGATTGAACAACACTTTTCCAAATGGTAAATTCTAAAATAAATTCTCAAGTGGGATTTTATATGGGGCACAATGAGTGGTATATTAACTCATGGTTATGCCAAATATAAGCATGGCCTTCACATGACTACTTCCTTCTATTAAAAAACACTTTTAAAATGTTTTATTACAAATGATTTAACACTTATGAAATAGTTGTAAAAATAGAACAAAGAATTATTGTATAATATTCACCTAGATTTTCCCAATGTTTTACATAAACATATTGTTCACATATTGTTCATAAACATATATATATGAACATACATGTGTGTATATATATGAACATATATATACACACACACATATGTGTATATGTATGTAGTTTTTCTGAACCATTTGAAAGTGGCAGACATAATGTCCTTTTACTCCAAAATATTCAATAATTCAGTGTGTATTTTATAATAACAAGGATATTCTCTTATATATCCATAATACAATTATCAGGAAGTATACATAGATACAATTCTATTATCTAATCTACTGATCTTATTAGAATGTCATCTATTATCCACTAAATGTCCTTTACAATAAAACTTTTAAAAAAGTTTCTCCAATTCAATTCAGCATCACACATGTCCTTCAGATATCATGTCTCTTTCGTCTCCTTTGATCTTCCTGTAGTTTTTCTTTTATGACCTTGGCATTTTTGAAGACTAGAGGCAAGTTATTTTATAGAATCTCCCTCAATTTGGGTTTCTGATATTTCCTCATGATCAGATTCAAGTCAGGCATTTTTGGCAGAATTACTACCAAAGCAATATCGTGTCCACATGGCTACTTCTTGAGAAGACCTTTCATAAGAGACAAGGGTAAAATATTTAAAACAACCTAAAAACAAAGCTGACAGTGCAAACCAAAAATGTTTCTCTCTAGTGAATCCAGTCTGTCCAAGGAATGCCTGAACGACTACTGCTCTCTCTCCAGATATCTCTACTCACTGGGGAGCAGCTCATCTTAGGAGTTTGGGTGAGATACCTAATAAGCCTCTATTGTGTTTGCCCTGCAGCCTCAACAGTTTTCACACCAAGGAAGTGCTGCTGATTTTATCTTCTAAACATCTTTCCAATATATCGACATCTCATCTCCCCCACCATAATCTGAGACAAGTTAGTATGATATCATCTCTCACACAGACTCCCAGTCTTCTTCTGGTTTCCTAGTATCCTAGTACCACTCAGGTCTCTTGCCAATTTGTTCTCCAAACTGGAATTATTTCCATCCTTTGTAATTCAATTATCTTATCCACTGTGCTTAAAACCTTTCAGTTTCTCTTACATAAAAGACTAAAATCCCTCAGAAGGCTTACAAGCCCAGCATATGCTACCCCTTTTTGCTTCTCCAGCCTTTACTTGTAGCATTCTTCTCTCTTGCCCCACACCAAAGCTGCCAATTTCCTTCTGCTTATTCTTCTGTACTCTCTTTCTGAACAAATTTTTTCTCTTGACCACTGCCATGCACAACCCTACTCCCTCCCCGTCAGGCTCTCTGCTTAGTTACCTAATCAAAATCTCCCAGCTCAAACATCACTGCCTTGCCTTCTAGACCACCCAAATTATATGGCACTTGGCTCTATGTTCTGATAGCTTCTCTGCTTTCTAGCACTTACATATCATACATACAGAGGAGTGTATAAAACTTATGTGAACATTAAAAAAACTGTTAAGTACTCATGTATCCTTCAGAAGCAAATGCTAGTTCCCTCAAGCTCTTCCTGAAAGCATCTTTTAACCTCAACAACCTGCAATTCCAAGCCATCTAATTCACCAGTGTCCTGATATTTGTGGTAATTATTCCCTTGCTTGTCTTTTCTAAGCTTAGTGCTTTTGTAGGCATTTTTTAAAAGACATTGTCTTTTTTGCTTCTTTTTGAATTTTCTATGAATGAAATAATTCTGTATGTATCTCTTTCATGTCTTGTTTCTTCCACTTAAAATTGTTTGATCCATCTATGTTGTCATATGTAGCTGTAGTTCCTACATTTTAAGTATGTCTACCACTGTATGAATATAATACAACTTAGTTATTCATGCTATTATTGATGAAATTTGAGTTGATTCAAATTTGTAGCTATTATAAAAAATAATGCTATGAATACTCTTGTACTTACTTGTCTCTGGGCACTTACTGGTACACAAGTACAATTGTTTCTCCAGCTTCCTACCTAGGAATGGAATTGGTAGAGTACAGGGCATGTGCACAGTCAAATTGATCAGACAATGCCTCACTGTTTTCCAAAGTGACTGCCCAATTTATACTTCCCCCAGCAGGGTATGAAAGCAAAGCACTTATCAAGGTCTGTAATTATACATTTTTGTAATTGTTTGCTGAGTATTCATCTCCTCCACTACACTGTACAGTCTAGGTCTACTGCTCACCATTTTCTCTCCAGTACCTGGCACAGAGTGAATGCTCTAAACAACTGGCTACATAAAATAAAGCAGTCTGGTAAGAAAGCTTAAGTCTTTTGGACATGAACACAGATCTGCCTAACTTTAACATCCATGTGTTTTCTACCAGACTACATTTTCCTTATTTCAAAATGGTGATGATCGTATCCTATTAATTATTTCCCAGTGTAATAGTAGTAATCAAATGAGATTACAGATGTCAATGCAATGAACACAGAGTACATATTAAGCATCACCAATGTTCCACTACTCTGCACCTGGACCCAGGGGTCCACAGATGGGGTATATGAAAGACGGCTGTCCATGACAAGTGCTTTTTGAATGTATATGGATTAAAATTACTTTGTGGAGGAAGATGTGGCTTCAAATATCATGGCAGGGAAAACCAAGGAGACCAATTAACGCTTTCAAATGCAAAGTGCACCTGTGTCCCAAATTATTCACTAGCACAAACAAAAGAAGCTCACTCCAAGACCTGATCAGAACAAACATTTTTGAATGCTTTTACCCAGGTGGCATCATCATCTTTCATCTGTGCCCAGGCTCAAGGAAGGGCTGGGTAGAGAGCTGGATTAAACACTGCACTTCAGCTTGGCACTGTGGGTTCGGAAGTAAACTCTGACTTCCTATTTACATTGAAAGATCTCAGGCCTTTGTGGTTTCCTGTTGCGTCCTGGTGTGTCTGCGTTCTGGTTTCTGGGTTTGTCTGCACAGAACTACAAACAGGATCTCTCACTGTTTCACTCCATCCTGCTTTCCATGAGAAAATAAGAATTCCACAATCTCTAATTGTTGGCAGATTCTACCAGGTACTTTGTCCAAGTCATGACTTCTCAGTATGTCTTACCCAGACCTACCAAGAGATATTTTATTTGAAAGGATGGAGATAAAGGGATTCCTCAGTGTGCTCCAAATCTGGCAGGAACTGACTGATTCTCAAACTTGTTTTCCTTCATTTTACATTAATTTTACATTTATTTACTTCACTCTTATATTCATCAAGTGTAAATTTAGAGTACTGTCTATGTACAAGGTGCTCTGCTAGGCACTACGGAAACAATGAAGTAAAGATATAATTGCTACTCTGAAAGAGCTTAAAGCAGTTTTTTTGAAAGTTTTCCATTAGAATCACCTGGGCACATGTTAAAATTACAGATTCTCATATATCCCTTCCAGCAAGACTTAGAGAATCAGACCCTGTGGGAGAGGGGCCTGAGGAATTGCATTTTTAAAACAGTTACCCAGGTATATTTTGTGCACATTAATTGACAGTCACTGGCTTGCAGCTCAATGGAGAATTCACAGTCACAATGGAAATTAGAGACAAGGAACCAGGAACTCTTCTGCAATGAACCAGACATTCACCAGCCGCAGGATCCTTCAATTTGAGTAAATGAAGATGAACCAAGGATTGCAAGATTGCAGTGGACATGGCTCAGGGGTCTGCTCAGATACATATCTGAGTCTTGGCCCTATCATTTATTAGCTGTGGGACACTGAACAAATCACTTAATTTCTTTGAGTCTCATTTGAAAAAAAGAAAACATCTGCTCTGACTGATTCACTTAGTTATTCTGAGCATCAAATTCCATAAGACGTTTAATAAACTCTAAAGCACCAAGGAAAAGTTAGCTCTTACGGTCACAAAAACTTCCATAAACAAGAAAATAATAGAGCCAACCTGTGAGGTTTCTATTAAGCAATCAGAACCACCCCATTTCTCTGAACAATCTCAATCTTTGTTCGTGGGACCCACTTTCTCTTGAATATTACAGCTGTGTTATGTGGTTCTTTCAGGTTCTAACAGCTTTTTACAAAAGCAGAGCTCAAAACTGCACCCAGTTCTGAGGAGGACAGCAAGATATACTTCTGGTACCATGTTAACATAATTCAAGGAATGGGTATAAAATACCACATACTAGCCTGTAATCTCTTTGACCTCAATTCCATCATCTCTCAGATGTGGAAATATATTCTATTGTGCAATTTTATGTGACTGTCCTCTAATGATGCTTAATTTATGTTAAATCTGAATATATTAGGATCATTACCTTTTGTTCTTTTTATTCTGATCTAAGACATGGTTACCATATCTTTCTCTTTCTTATATAGCTATAATTTTTGTCCATTCAGGGATTCGACAATTAGCCTTACATATTTGTTGTGAGGATTAGAAAGTTTATACACAGAATGCCTAGCAGAGAAACTGTCACATGTGAAGTATTTAATAAATCCTAGCTGTCATAATTTTTAAGTATAAATGTGTTCCTTGCCCATTCTTGAACTGTTGTCCCCAAATTCCTCTTCTTTACATACCATGCATAAAAATGAGCAGCCTTTTTTTTTCTGAGTATTTTTTTCTTTTGTAAATCCAAATTTTATATCCTTGAACTTGTGATTTGGTGTTTACTATTTATTTTAATGATGATACAAATTGTTATCTGTTACCGTATCACTTTAAACTAACTTAATTATAAACTATGTGTTGACTACCTACTGTATGCCCTAGAGATAGAACACTGAAGTAGACATTTTTCCCCAACTACTCAAGGAGTTTAGGCTCATGGGAAAGACAGAGAATGAGAAGCAGTGCACCACAGCTATGCATAAACAGCTGTGAAGGCCCAGAGGAGTCATAATCTATTAAACGTGGTGGAGGAAGGGAAGAGGGCCTTAGGAAGGTGACACCTGAACTGGACCTTTGGGGAAGACGCACACACGGACAGTGTAGTAACTAAGAACCCAAGGTTTGTTGTCTCCATACTTTTTGGTTCAACCTCAGCTCTACCTCTTCCTAGCTCTGTGACCTCTCCAAGCTTCAGTTTCCTCATCTAAACACTGGGGGGATGTAATACAATAAGAACACCCCCCCCCGCCCCCCCGACCATAGAATTTGCTGGGAGTAACAACATAGTAAATCCTCAGTATATGCAATGATGATTCTAGTAATGATGCTACTCAACAGGCAGAGGGAGATGTGGCCATTCCAGGCAGGGAAAACAACATGCCCAAAGGCCAGATGAATAAGAGAGCACAGGCTCTTTTCAAGAAAAGCAAGTACAGGTCTACCACACTTCTTCAACCCAAAGCATTTCAAATACCAAAAGTCTTTTCACAATTCATTTGATGGTAAAATCTGATCTGAATGGATCAAGCCATTTAAAGCTGACTTAACCTGTTTGGTGTGAATATTCATATGTTTTACTGTAGAGATATTAGTATGCACGATTACAGGTGCTGCTCCAAACTTCACTGGCAGTGTTATGCATTATATTGTATATATACAGTATTAACTGCCTAAAATCTGGTCATTCTCTATGCTCAAACATCTCTGGTTCCATAGAATTCAAACAAGCGTGTGCAGATGCACCTGCTAGAACACAGGATGAATGGTGAGGGATAGCACGGAATGGTATCAGAGGTAGACAGGGGCAATAATGCTGGATCTCGTATGCCTAGCTAGCATTCAGGAGACTTGACAAAGGATTTTTTATCGACAAAGGATTTTTATCAGGAGAATGAAACCATCAGATTTAATATTCAGGACCAGTTTGACTGTGAGTCTGTGGGAATAAACAGGTCCAAGCAATTTGGTGTTCTGCACACCACAGAAGAATGCACACATATATAAAAATAACTGACCATTTTATCTGTGGGCACCTCTTCTTTTTCCTGGGCCATTCCCTTAATTCCAGAGAAGCTATGCCCTGTCTTCCAAGATCATAGCAAATACATCTGCTAAAGATTACATGGAAACCTGTAATTTTATCATGCAAACAGATGATAGGAGAATAAGTCATGGAAGCCCCAAGACTGCTGTATGTCAAATAGTACCTGGGTAGCTGATCATTCATTCAAAAGCATCTTCCAGTTAAATATTTCCTCAACCAACAGAATTGTGGCTTAGTCTTTGCCTGGTGCCACACAAGGCTACAACGATCAACTAAACAGCCCAAATACAAATTGGCAATTAGTTGTTCTTAATGCTTTTCAATCAGTTTTACATATATATATATATTTTTGGCCTGCTTTGAGGTATAATTCAGTGGACAACTCGGTTGTGCACAGATAAAATTGTGTGACTGACTTAACCAATGCTGCTGTGGCATGTGGGAAGGGTCAGTTAATCAAGGAAAGAACCTAAGGCCTGACCAATAACTTGGTGGTTTATATGCTGTATCTCCCTTTCTCTGCCCAGCCTTTCACTCCATCAGAGAACAGAAATCAAATAGGTATGGCACGATTTCTTCTCCAACAAACCTTTACAGTTGCTAACTGGTATTTTTCTGTCTGTCCTTATGCTCATGTATATATCTATTATTTAACGGACACCTATTATGTGTCAGGTACATACAAGTAAATGGCAATGTACTATTGTATGATATCCTTCTGTTATCTCCCTAAGTAATAAAGACCACACACTAGTATCATCCCATAATGTAACCTAAAAAATGGGCAGTAAGTCTCCTCTTTCTCAAACATCACTATACTCAGTTCTCTAGATGTTTTAAAAATACAAGGGGATAAATTTCATGGTATGTAAATTATCTTTCAACAAAAAGATTTACAACATACATGACAGTATCACTGTCAGTATAACTGACAGTAACTTTCATTTAGGATTTAAGACTTCGGTTTTATTCTAATGCAATATATCCCAAACCCATAAGAACACAGCCAGAAGGTCCACTCATTGTCTCATCTGAACTTTTTTTTTTCTATTGGCAGTAGGGAGCCACTGATGGTTAATTACGTAGGGACTTTCAATTTCATTCCTTCAGTGCTGATTGCTCAAAAAGCTTCCCATTGGTTCTTCTGAGTTCTTTGATCTCACTGTTATTTCTCCTGGGGCTCTAACCATTGGTTAAGTGAAAGAGTAGAAACTACCTCAAACTTCTGACAGCTCTTAAGAGTACTTTCAAAAGATATAAAAATGTAATGTATGAAAAAACAGACATTTGGAACACACAAACAGAATAGGAGAAGAGGATGAAAAACTAAGAGAAAAACAAGGCATAAATACTAAAGCCTCTGAACTAAATGTATGTAGAACTAAATGAGCTCATGCATGCAGGCACTTGGCACGGGACCCAATGCTTGGTTAGGGCTCCACCATGACTGCCTCATCATCTATTTCATCCACACCAAACTTCTGGAAAAGGACAAACCCTCTCCTCTTACTGAGGGTTACTGCCAGGTAACCCTCAGCAGCCACAATATCAGAATCACCCACACAACAGATGTGTGGTAAATAGGAAAAGGAAAAAAAAAATCAATGTGGTTTTCATCATGCTCTCCAAACAAATAGAAAAACATCTTCATGAGTTGGGAAGTCAGCCGCATGTCTTCACATTGCCAAATTTGGTACTTGACCACAGCGCAGCAGGGAACAGGGGAAGATTAAATAGGGAGTCTCATAAATACTCTCTTCCCAGGGGATGATGGTGACAAGTGATGTTGTTTATTTTTATTGTTATCATTAGGCTGGTGGCTTCTTGAAAGGAAGTGATTTGGAAGACTGGGAAAAAGGGAAAATGAAAGCACTGCGGTCTAGCTGTGATCCAGCCTTAACTGTGCAGTTCTCATCAGGCTCTGGGAAAGATCTGCTGTGTAATCACTCTACCTCATTCCCACAAAACACGTGTGTTTATGGTCAACCCATCCCACAGCCTGTGTCTCATCATTCTGCTTATTGTTGAGAGTCTGAGCTCTGGAATCCAACTGCCTGAGTGGCAAACCTATCTGTAAGACTTACGGCCAGGCGCGGTGGCTCACGCCTGTAATCCCAGCACTTTGGGAGGCTTAGGCGGGTGGATCACAATGTCAGGAGATCGAGACCATCCTGGCTAACGCGGTGAAACCCCGTCTCTACTAAAAATACAAAAAATTAGCCGGGCATGGTGGCGGGTGCCTATAGTCCCAGCTACTCAGGAGGCTGAGGCAGGAGACTGGCGTGAACCCGGGAGGCAGAGCTTGCAGTGAGCCGAGATGGCGCACCTGCACCCCAGCCTGAGCAAGAGTGCGACAAGACTCTGTCTTAAAAAAAAAGAAAGGACTTACTAGCTAGACAGCCTTGGATAAGTCACTTGTCTCTCTGAGCCTCAGTTTCAGTCCCCATAAATTGGTAAGATAATTCTGACAACTGTATAAGGTTATTATGAGGGTTAAAAAAATCCAAATAGACCATGATAAACATATAATAAATATTAGCTGTTATTGTCATTGCTGCTAATCAAGGCAGTCCTCCAGAACTTTCCACTCCCATATACCACCCCCATCCCACCCCATTCCCTTGTACCCTTGGGAGAAGAACCCATGCTGCCAATCAGGAGGGAGCTAAAACACAGCTGCACCATTTTCGTCCTCTACTTCTAGAGGAAGAACTTACACCATTCTTCCAGGCAACTTGCAGTCTTTTGTGGAAAACTGGGCTCAGGCCATCTGATAGATAGATTCCCCCTAAAGGCTTTTGTTCCTGACCTTCTGAGATGCCTTGTTTCACCTGACTTTGCCGTGTTCCTAGTGGGTTTCCAGAAACATGGGGCCAGATATCCCTGCCTGGCTTTTATAGAAATGGAATGTCTGGATCACAGGGTAGAGTAGGTTTTATGAAACTGCTAAAATGTTTTCCAAAGTCGTTGCATCATTTGACATTCCTGCCAGTGGCATGTGAGTTCCAGTTCCCCACATTATCACCACAACTTCAGCCATTCTAGTAAGTGTGGAGTGGATCTCACTGTGTCTTTCACTTGCATTTCCCTAACGACTAATGATTTTGAGCATCCTCTGCTCCTCTAACAAACAAACACTGTGCAGTGCCTCATGGTCCTGGATGAAACATGGGCCCCCCAGGCCCAGGCCACACCCTTTGCCTCTGGGGAACGTTTTCTTTGGTGTTCTGAGGAAGCTGTAAAGTGCTGTTATAGACATCACCCAGAGAACACAGCTCTAAAAACGTAGCATGGTCTGAAGGGTGGCTTTTCTGTGGTTAGAGCCCAAAGACACTAAGGCCAGAGGCTCTCTAACTGATTTCTGAACAGTTGTTAGATGGAGATACTGCAAAATTTTTCTCCCAATTTGTAGGTTGCCCGTTCACTCTGATGACAGCTTTTTTGACTGTGCAGATGCTCTTTAGTTTAATTAGATCCCATTTGTCTATTTTGGCTTTTGTTGCCATTGCTTTTGGTGTTTTAGTCATGAAGTCTTTGTCCATGCCTACATCCTGAATGGTACTGCCTAGGTTTTCTTCTAGGTTTTTTACGGTTTCAGGTCTTATGTTTAAATCTTTAATCCATCTTGAGTTAATTTTTGTATAAGGTGTAAGGAAGGGGTCCAGTTTCAGTTTTCTGCATATGGCTAGCCAGTTTTCCCAACACCATTTATTAAATAGGGAATCTTTCCCCATTCCTTGTTTTTGTCAGGTTTGTCAATGATCAGATGGTTGTAGATGTGTGGTGTTATTTCTGAGGCCTCTCTTCTGTTCCATGGGTCTACATATCTGTTTTGGTACCAGTACCATACTGTTTTGGTTACTGTAGCCTTGTAGTAGAGTTTGAAGTCAGGGAGCATGATGCCTCTAGCTTTGTTCTTTTGGCTTAGGATTGTCTTGGCTATACAGGCTCTTTTTTGGTTCCATATGAAATTTAAAGTAGTTTTTTCTAATTGTGTGAAGAAAGTCAATGGTAGTTTGATGGGAATAGCATTGAATCTATAAATTATTTTGAGCAGTATGGCCATTTTCACGATATTGATTCTTCCTATCCATGAGCATGGAATGTTTTTCCATTTGTTTGTGTCCTCTCTTATTTCCTTGAGCAGTGGTTTGTAGTTCTCCTTGAAGAGGTCCTTCATATCCCCTGTAAGTTGTATACCTAGGTATTTTATTCTCTTTGTAGCAATTGTGAATGGGAGTTCACTCATGATTTGACTCTCTATTATTGGTGTAACCCGTCACATAAACAGAACCAATGACAAAAACCACATGATTATCTCAATAGATGCAGAAAAGGCCTCCAATAAAATTCAACACCCCTTCATGCTAAAAACAATCCATAAACTAGGTATTGAATGAACATATCTCAAAACAAGAAGAGCTATTTATGACAAACCCGCAGCCAATATCATAGTGAGTGGGCAAAAGCTGGAAGCATTCCCTTTGAAAACCGGCACAAGACAAGGATGCCCTCTCTCACCACTCCTATTCAACATACTATTGGAAGTTCTGGCCAGGGCAATCAGGCAAGAGAAAGAAATAAAGGGTATTCAAATAAGAAGAGAGGAAGTCAAATTATCTCGGTTTGCAGATGACATAATTGTATATTTAGAAAACCCCATCATCTCAGCCTTAAAATTCCTTAGGTGTATAAGCAACTTCAGTAAAGTCTCCAGATACAAAATCGATCTTTTTTCTGTTTTTAAAAAGCATTATTGAGCTAATAGCTTTCAATAAACTGTACATATTTAAGATGTCTGATTTGGAAAGTTTTGACATAGCATAGATCAGTGAAGTTATTACCACAATCAAGATAAACATACCCAAATCTTTCCTTGTGCCCCTTTTTGATCCTACTTTCCTGGCCCTTGTTGTGCCCATTTCATGATTCCAGGCAACTACTGATCTGCTTTTTGTCACTATATATTAGTTTGCTTTTGCAAGAATTTAAATAATGGAACTATTTTTTATTCAAGAAAGTTTGCATTCGTTTCTGGTACAGTGACTTTGGAAAACAGTTTGGCAGTTTCTTAAAACTTACATCTACCCTGTGATCCAGACATTCCATTTCTATAAAAGCTGGGCAGGGATATCTGGCCTCATGTTTCTGAAAGTCCACCAGGAACATGGCAAAGTCAGGTGAAACAAAGCATCTCAGAAGGCCAGGAACAAAAGCCTTTAGGGGGAATCTACCTATCAGCTGGCCTGAGCCCACTTTTCCACAAAAGACTGCAAGTTGCCTGGAAGAATTAATGGCTTCTGTCACTCAGCATAATTATTTTGTGTGATTAATCCATGTTGTACCTTATATTATGGTTCATTCCCTTTTACTGCTTAGTAGTATTTTGTTCTCTTGATACACCAAGAGTTGATCTATTCACTCTTGAAAGATATCTCGGTTGTTTCCAGTGCTGGACTATTACAAAGCTTTATTTGTTGGTATGAACATTACTGTACAAATTTTTGTATGAATACATGCTTTTGTAAGAGTGGAATGGCTAGATCACGTAGTAGGAATATGTTAACTTTGTAACTGCTAAACCATTTTCCAAAATGGTTGCATCATTTTACATTCCCACCAGTGGTGTGTGAGAGCTACAGTTCCTCACATCTTCAGCCATTCTAAGATGAGTAGGAGTAGTAGAGAATCTTACTGTGGTTTTAATTTGCATTTCCCTAATGACCAGTGCTTTTCATTCAAATTTCTCCTTTGGTGAAATGTCTGTTCAAACATTTGCTCATGTTTGGCCCTTTTAATTGAGTCTGTTCTCCCTTTCCTCTAGGCCTTTGAGGGAAGCTATACAGCTGAAAGGGAGGAGGAAGGACTCTCTGGTCAGTCTTCCAGAGGGCTCAAAGTGTTGCATTCCTACACATTGTGTGACCCACTTAACCACTCTTTGCCTCAGTCTCCTAACTTGTAAAATGAGGGACAGTATGGTGCCTACTTGGTAGGATTGTTGAGCTATTTACATGATACAAAGTTTTAGTAAGGTGCTTAGTACATGGTCCGTGGTCAACAGATGGTAGCAAGTAGTATTACTGCTTATCTCCTCATGAGGATTGAGGAAAGGGTGCTACTGCCTGGGTTCAGAGATATTAAACATACTCAGTCCAGCATAATGTTTCTATGTTTCTCAAATGTCTTGAAAAACAAGCTACCTTGAGCTTCTTGAGTGCACAGTCTGTCTCTCATTGTCCAC
The DNA here is from genome assembly GCF_000001405.40 of Homo sapiens. Taxonomy (NCBI): domain Eukaryota; kingdom Metazoa; phylum Chordata; class Mammalia; order Primates; family Hominidae; genus Homo; species Homo sapiens. The sequence goes on along the minus strand of NC_000001.11, from coordinate 59,561,426 downwards.
TGAACCACATCAACCCTCTCCTCGCCGAATCAATGCCTAGCATATACTTTGTTTTCAAAACATGCAGTCTGAGAGCTAGTCTTGACACAGAGAGTGTCCTGAGAATGCTGGTTCCTAGAGGGCTGACGACAACAGGTCCTGGTAAACAAAGAGGAAGCGAGGCACCTTCTGAGCAGCACCTCAGCACTTTCATTGTTAGGTGTAACAGTGGTCTACTGTACCGTGTGGAATCCCATCCCACTCCACCCCTCTGGTAACTTCTGCCAATGTCACTTGTTAAAGAGACCATGACAGAGAAACTGGTCCCACTTGCCCACTCTTCTCAGCTAGTAACAGAAGACCATCAGTTCATAATACATGACTGTGCTGTCTCCCTGTGGTGCCCTCCCAAAGGGCTCATACACACCCACATCCTGCTCAGGCCTCAGGGGAAGTCAGCTGTGAGGCTTTGTGGACACAGCAAAGAAAAACAAAGTGGAGAAGACTGAGGAAAGGGCCTACTACAGAAATTGGGCTGGCAGGAACAGTGTCTCAGTGGGGGCGGGGAAGCCATGATCCTGCAAATATCTCTTCCTATAGGAAAACCTCCTCATCTACCCAAGACTTGGGACAGCCCCTTCTTCCTACTTCCACCACACTCCAGCCATGCATTAACTATAGTAGTTACCATTTTGTATTGTAGTATCTCCTTTTTCTGTCTGTCTTTCTCAATGTGCCTGAGCTCTTTGAAGGCAGGCATGACATTTTATCTTATGAAGACTTTTAGCACTTAGCCAGGTAAATTAAAAAAAAAAGTTTTCTTTATGAGTGAATAGTTAATGAATATTTTAAAAATAAATTTTAAATTTTAGAATAGTTTTACAATATAAGATGGTTGTAAAGATCATATATACCTCACATCCAGTTACATTTCCCCTATCATTACTATCTTGTCAAGTATATATGTCACAGTGAATGACACTGATATATTATCATGAACTGAAGACCATACTTTATTCAGATTTCCTTAGATTTTACCTAATGTTCTTTCTCTGCTCCAGGATCCCATCCAGGATACCATATTACATTTAGTTATCATGGCTCTTTAGGTTCCTCTTGGCTGTGATAGTTTCTCTGACTTTCCCTGTTTTTTGATGACCTGGATGACAGCTTTGAGAAATACTGGTCAAGTATTTTATAGGATGTCCCTTAACTAAGATCTGTTTGGTGTTTTCCTGGTAATTAGACTGGGCTTATAGGATTGGGGGATGAACACAACAGAGACAAAGTGTCATTTTCATTACATCATATCAAGGGTACGTACTATCAACATGACTTATCATTGTTGATGTTGACCTTGTCACGTGGATGCTGTTTCTCATATTTCTCCAATGTAAAATTACTCTTCCCCCGTTTTCCATACCATATTTTGTGGAAGGAAATCGCTATGTGCAGCCCACACTTAAGGAGTGGAAAGTTATGCTCCACCTCCTTGATGGTGGAACATTTATATAAATTATTTGGAATCTTTCTGCATGGGAGATGTCTCTCTTCTTTTCATTGATTTATTTATTCAAAATAATTTATGTCAGTATGGTCTTATGGATATTTATGTTATACTTTGAGTTATAATTCATAATACTTCATTTTACTGCTTAAATTGTTCCAGTTTTGGCTAGTGGGAGCTCCCACAGTTGGCTCCCTGTGACATATTCTCATCTTTTTTGTTGAGAACTTCCTAACTTTCTGGCACTGCAAATGCTCCAAGCTCATCTTGTATATTTCCTATTCCAATCCTAAAATCAACTATTTCTCCAAGGAGTCCTGGTTCTTTGTATTGGATAATGGTATTAGATACCATGATCTGGACACTATGTGCTTGTAAAAACTAGCTCTTGAGGTATCCTTATTTCTAGACCATCTCAGCTAACAGAGCCAGGAAATAAATATGTGTTTACTAACCTGTATATGTATATATATCCATAACTATTTCTATATGCATCCATCTGCATCTATGTTAAACTAAATATGAGTTTGTTTCAGGAAGTCAGGGACCTCAAACAGTGGGACTGGCTGGAGCTGCAGCAGAGGAACATAAATTGTGAAGATTTCATTTTAATATGGACATATATCAGTTCCCAAATAATACTTTTATAATTTCTTACGCCAATCTTTACTTCAATCTCTGAACATAAATTGTGAAGATTTCATTTTAATATGGACATTTATCAGTTCCCAAAATTAATACTTTAATAATTTCTTATGCCTGTCTTTACTTTAATCTCTTAACCCTGTTATCTTCATAAGCTGAGAATGTACTTCACCTCAGGACCACTATTGTGTTAACTGTACAAATTGATTGTAAAAGATGTGTGTTTGAACAATATGAAATCAGTGCACCTGGAAAAAGAACAGAATAACAGTGATTTTAGGGAACATAGGAAGACAACCATAAGGTCTGACTGCCTGTGGGGTCGGGCAAAAAGAGCCATATTTTTCTTCTTGCAGACAGCCTAAAACAGATGTGCAGGTAGGGAAGATATCGCTAAATTATTTTCCCAGCAAAGAATATTAATAATTAATACCCTGGGGAAGGAATGCATTCCTGGGGGGAGGTCTATAAAAGCCACTCTGGGAGTGTCTGTCTTATGAGGTTGAGATAAGGACTGAAATATGCCCTGGTCTCCTGCAGTACCCTAGGCTTATTAGGGTGGGGAAAAAACCCACCCTGGTAAATTTGAGGTCAGATCGGTTCTCTGCTCTTGAACCCTGTTTTCTGTTGTTTAAGATGTTTATCAAGACAATACATGCACAGCTGAACATAGACACTTATCAGTAGTTCTGAATTTGCCCTTGTACTGTTTCCTCAGAAGTATGTGATCTCTGTTCTCCTTTTTGCCTTTGAAGCATGTGATCTTGTGACCTACTCCCTGTTCTTGCACCCCCTCCCCTTTTGAAATCCTTAATAAAACTTGCTGGATTTAAGGCTCAGGTGGGCATCATGGTCCTACTGATATGTGATGTCACCCCCAGCAGCCCAGCTGTAAAATTCCTCTCGTTGTACTCTTTCTCTTTATTTCTCAGCCGGCTGACACTTACGGAAAATAGAAAGAACCTACGTTGAAATATTGGGGGTGGGTTCCCCCAATATGAGTTCATACTGATGTCTCTAATTCTAGTCCATAACCACATGGATTGTTCATGTGATTAACAACTCATTTTTAATAACAATATCATATTTGGTATTTTGTGCCAGGTACAGTGCCAAGTCATTTACAAAGATGGCCTAATTTGAACCTGAACAAAACTTTATGGGTAAATACTATCACTCACATTTAACAGATGCAGAAACTGAGGCACTGAAAGATGAAGCATCCTGCCTAAATTCACACAGTAAGTGGTGGGGGCAGCGTATGAGCCTATGTCTTTGAGTCTCCACATCCCTTCAATGATAGAGAACCACTATCTCAATATTAAGACTGAAAAAACTTCAGTTCTGAGCGATTTAAGATGCAGATGTAGTTCCCAGCTCTCTTCAGGTATTGTTCTGCTCAAATCTTACCTCCTCAGTGTTTCTCCCTACCCCGACCCCCCCAGGGTCCTGTCCCCATCTGACATGCTAACTGGAAGACAAGTTGCCAAGTTACAACCCAACCTGACAGCTCAAGAAAAGGATGTCAGTACAATGGCAAGGATCAGCTCCATCTTACCCCATGACTTTTCAACCTCTGGCTAACCCCTGCTGTGTATTATCTGGGGTTTTGGTGACTTGGTAGTAATTAACTCTGAACAAGCAGCTCTGCTTTCATGGAGTTAAAAAAAGAATGGCATTTTTCCCCTGTTAATTAAATCACCCACAAGGAAGATAAATGTGCAGCCCATGCTTGTATCTTCTAAAATATCAAAGGCCTTATTAACATGTCTTATGTTCAACCTCAGGCTTTTTCTCCAGATTCCTGGAAGCAACAGGAACCTGGAGGTACGAAGCTTCTAAGTATTTACCAATACTCACTTATGTGGTCATTCGTTCATTCATTTATTCTTTTTGGGTGATCTAGAAAGAGGCAACCTGGATCAAGCACAAAACGTTCCTGGGAATTTTGTCTCAATCTACTAAATTGGAAACATCAGAAGTAAGCAGACAGGAAGAAAGAGGATCCTTCAGATCATGCTGAAAACCACTTTTTGAAAAGCCCGCATCACCCTTTGGTCCCTGTGTTCTGTTTGGTTAATTTTTCCTCACAGTGGCGGTTTTATTTGCCAGAACCACAACAAAGGGGGTCCTTGAGTCTCCCTGGGAGTGTTTCCTCAGACCTGCACCTCTCCTAGACCTCACAAAGGTGTTATTGTTGCTGGGTTCCCAGCACCTGAGGAGATCAAAGGCACTTTCCCATGCCAGCATGACCACAGTCTCACCCTCATGACATAACATTAAAGCTGATGATTAATCCCCTTGGCCCAGAGGGTCCCTTCCCACTCCCAAGTACAAAGCAGGATGGGGGTGGGGACTTTATTTCCAGCACAACACAGCCATCATAAACTGGCCTTTTATGGCCCTCATTCATCGCAACCAACTGCAGCTGCCCATCAAACTCGTTAAAGCCCAAACAGTTGCTTCATGTGAGCCGTTTACATCACTAGGAAAGTTTAATAACAATCTCCACCATTTTTGAGTGTCTGCTGTGTGCTAGGTACAAACCTACATAATGCATGTTACTCAACAACCCTGTGAGACTGGCATCATTATCCCCAATTTGATGGATGAAGAATCTGAAGCTTAGAGAAGTTAAGTAGCTCACTCAGGTCAGAGGGCCAAAACATGCATGAGCAGATGTTCAAGCTTGCCTCTGGACAATGTAAAAGCCCATGTTCTCACCATTCCTCTATGGGTACATCATCTTCATGCACAATTCAGGGAGGCAAGGAGGAGTATGAGCTTTGGAATCAGAGTTAGATTTCAGTTCTTAGCTCAAGAACTTCAAAGCTTTGTGACTTTGGGAAAATTACTGGACTTTTCTACGCTTTAGGTCCCAAATGTGTACATTAAATGGGTAGGGAAAGCCAGCCTCATCTCCATTAAGAGACAGTAAGACTAAGAAGCAGGCCATCACAGAGACACTTGCATCCATTTAGATTTGCTTCTGTTCAGAAATCTGAATTGAGTGGGGTAAAAATGCCTGAGATTCAGATCTCCCAGGAGAAGCCTGATTAGATGTATCCCTGTGAAAATAAGAGATAATTTAAACAGGATTAAATCAGTATTCAGTGAAGACAATCTAACAAGTGTAGACTCATATCAAGGGAAAGAAGGGCTGGCTCCTGGGCTGGTGCCTTCTGGCTTAAAGAGGCCTCAGGCCTCTGCAGATCTCTCCCTTCAGGGACAGCTGAGCCTTACAAAAGGGCTGCTGAGCAGAAGAAATATGCTGAAATTATTATTATTATTTTTGAGATGGAGTGTCGCTCTTGTTGCCCAGGCTGGAGTGCAATGGCACTATCTCGGCTTGCTGCAACCTCTGCCTTCTGGGTTCAAGCAATTCTCCTGCCTCAGCCTCCCAAGCAGCTGGAATTACAGGTGCCTGCCACCACGCCCGGCTAATTTTTTGTATTTGTAGTAGAGACGGGGTTTCACCATGTTGGCCAGGCTGGTCTTGAACTCTTGACCTCAGGTGATCCACCCACCTCGGCCTCCCAAAGTGCTGGGATTACAGGCGTGAGCCACTGTGTCTGGCCAAATATGCTGCAATTTTTAAACTTAGAAAAATTCCATTCAAGACTGCCCAGAGCCCAAACAGAAGGAAATCTATTTCCTTAAAGTCCAGCACAAATGTCACCTCAAGAAGATTCTATCACCCTGCACCCTCCCAGGCAGAGTCAGCCACTGTTTGCTTTCTGCTCAGTAACAACAACAGTCCTAGTGATTAAGAGTGAGCCCTTGTGATGTGCTTACTGCATGTGGAGCACTTAGTATCACCTCATTTAATTCTTGCAGCACTCTGACAGGTGCTGTCACTCTCTACATATTGTAGATGAGGAATCTGGGACCCAGAGAGTTTAAGTACCTTGCCCAAAGGCCCACACTTAGTAAACTGAGGAAGTGGGACTGGAAACCACTCGGGCTGGCTCCCTCAGCCATAGAAAATGGGATGCCATGTGCAAGAATACCTCGCATATTGCTTGGCACATAACAGATGCTTAGTATCATGAGTTCAATTTGTATCTACATTGGGGGGCCTCACATTATATTCTAATACCTGTTATAACTTCATCTCATCCCACTGAGCCGATGTCATTCTTATATCCACAGTTTAGCACAAGAGCAGGGATTGATAAGTAAGTACATGTATTTATATCAACTGAACTAGAATATCTGATGGTAAAAAGGCTCAGGGGTCCCTACAGTTGCAAAACAGTCTCACATCCCACTTAATTTCCTCCATAGCTGCTTTGGTTCTGCCCTGGGCTGTGTCCCGCTCTAATCTCTGCTCATCTCCCTGCTCCTCCCCCACTCTGCCCTCTATTATACTTATCTGGGAAAATTCCAAAGAGTCGTCGATTTAAGTTTAACAGAGTAATGACTTTTAAATAAAAATATGGTAGAAATGGGTACTTATCGGAATGGAATGCTTTCAGACTCATGCATTTAAAGAAGATATAAATTTTAGGGCAGGCACTAAATTTTAACTGCAATCTTGGAGAAAGCCTTTTCACTAATTCATGGAGAAAAATTAACAAAGTGAAAATTGCTTATCAGTGTTCTTTTGAAGTCATGATACGCAGGCTAATTCTATAGATCATCAGGACGCTCCCAGGGAGATGGATTTATATTGATTGAGAGAGAGTTCCCTGGCCAAGGAAAACAGACACTCTTTGCCGAGAAGACCCCGCTACCCATTAGGGACAGATCAGTCTGGGGGAGCTAGACTTTGTCACCTTAGGATCAGATGTCACCATTCATGCCTGGGCTCTCTGGCCAGGGTGACGTCAAAGGGAGCACTCAATCCTTTTCATGCTTACTAAGAATTTGGCCCCTGGAAAAAGATCCAGCAAATGTTAAGCAAGGGAGGTAGAGTGGGGAGCTGGGCTTCTGGCTAGACAAAGCACAAGGGGCAGGCAGGGAAAAGAGGAAAGAAGTGAAAGGGTGAAGAAGCCAGCACTCAGGGTCTCCTTCCAGGCTACCTCCTGCTGTGTGGTGGCCTTGCCTTTGTGCTCAGTGGACTCACCCCCATGTGACAAGAAGACGTTCCACAGATGACAGCCAGCCGTGACGTCACTGGCTGCCCCTCACAGATGAGGCCGTGCCCTCTCACATCTGCCCCAATCACTCCTGTGAGAAAGGAAAACAAAAACAAATCCTCTTTAACACATAAAAAAAGAGGGAGAGAAAGCTAAAAACAAGCATTAACAAATCTTCTTTTTAATAGTCAAACAACATGGAGGAAGGGTCCTGTGTGTAGGGCAGTCTCAAGGAGAAACCCAAAGGGCATACTTGCCTGCATAGGAAACCTCGGAAGCCTGCTCAGATTTTGCTTTGTTCTGGTCAATGTATGGCACCCAACGTTATAATAATGGCAGTAATTGTGATTGTCATAATAAAAGCAGCAGCTATCAGTTA